>NT_187693.1:711200-1066800 GCF_000001405.40 Homo sapiens | reverse complement strand
AAGCTTCAATCTTATCCTTTTAACCCTCAAACCTTTTAACCCAGTCCGACACCCAGCAGCGACTTAGACAATTGCATTAGAGCCTCTGGAAAACCAAGAGTTTAATCGTCCAGCCTTTACCCCTCTCGGGGGCCCAGAGATACTACCACTTCCTAACTTTCCCAGAAACTTGCCCCCAAGCCCTTGAAGTCCCAAGCCTGCTCCTCTGGGTCTCCAGGATCCCAAGCACCAGACTTGGGCTCTTCTTCAAAACCCAAAGGTCCAATTCCCCAGCCTCTCCCCTCCAATATCCAGGGCTCTGTCCTCCTAGGGAGCCCAGGCATGGTGCTTCCCAGGCCCTGGGAAAACAAACTGGCTTCTTCCAGCCTTTTGGGGATCCAGGGATCCAACCTCTCAGACTTTACCCACTCCCAGCCCCCTTCCTCCCTTAGGCCCAGGAATCCGGGTCTCCATTCCCAACTCCCTTAGCCCCAGAAGTCTGGGTCCCGCCCCCTCCCACCCTGCTCCTCCCTCTCTCCCAGCCCCGGCCCGCCCCATCACCATCTCACCCACCTGAGAAGAGCCAGGAAGACAGAAGGAAAAACACAGAAAAAAAGGGGGCGGAGTCAGCATCGGGAGCCCCCGGGACGCACCCCTCCTTGACCCCCTTGCCCTGCCCTGGGGCGGACACTCACCCATTGACAGCGACCTGGGGGGCGCTTTGCTGTAGGAAGTAAGACAGTCGGGTCAGGCGGGGCCAGGCGGACCGGCCGCGCCCCCGGACTTCCCAGCCTCGGCCCTGCTGTGTCGCTTGGGTCACCTGCCGGCGCCTCCGCTCGTGCTGTAGCTGTTTCTCAACTGGGTCCTCCCAGGCGCGGCTCTGCGGGTCAGTGACCGGCGGCTCCCAGCCGCTGAAGAACTCGGGTCTGTATGGGGGTCCCTCCTCCGGGGACAGCTCCAGCCTGCGGCCAGGGACAGGGCCAAGAGCTCAGGGATCCTGATACAGCCCCCAACTTCGTTCCTGCATTAACTTCACTAAGTTTTCCCCTAAAGCTCGCTGTATTCCAACGATTCTAGCCCCGCCACTTTTCACCAAGTCCTGCCGGTAGCTCTAAGCCCAACTCAACAGCAATTTATATTTCTAGACCGGGCACGGTGGCTCACGCCTGTAATCCCAGCATTTTGGGAGGCCAAGATGGGAGGATCGCTTGAGGCCAGGAGTTCCAGACCAGCCTGGGCAAAATATTGAGACCCCATCCATCTCTCTCTCTGGAAAAAAATTGCCTTATCCAGCCTCTAAATCTCACCTGATTCCAAATCAGGTTTTCCGTAAGGTCGGTTTCAGGTTCTGACCCTTTCCCTGCGGAACTGCCAGCCCGCAGTGCACAGACTCTGTCCCATCACCAAAGTTATAGACCAAACCTTCCAGAAGCCCCGCCCCTTCGCGTAGCCCCGCCCCTGCCCCGTAGCCCCTAGCCCCTCTATTCCTTTAAGCCCCCCTTTTCTTTCAATCCGATTGGTCTGGTGGTCTTAAATCTTTCCTTCACGTTAATTCCTGGCCTTTCCTCCAATTGAATCTTGGCATCTGTCCTAAGCCCCGCCCCAACACAACTAAGCCACGCCTCTAACCCCTCCCTACTCTCCTAGTCCTATTTTCCAATCATCATGCCACCCACCTCCCAGCGCCTTATGCTCCTCCAATCACCATGCCCCCTGCCTCCCAGCCCCGCCCCTCACCCGGGGCGGGTCCACGAGTCCCCCAGCGAGGTCCAGAGCTCGTTTTCACGTGGAGTGACGTTGTCCCGCAGCAGCGCCACGGCATCCGATGTCAGATGCGGCCGCCGCACACTGCTCGCGAACTCCGGCCCCCCCGACGTGTTCACAATCTGTCAGGGGAGCAGGAGGGGCAGGCTGTGCCGCCACACCTTCTACAAGTCGAACCCGATTCCTCCCGCTGCAGGGGGGCCCGAGGGCCTGGGGCGGGTCTCACCATCTGCAGAGGCCCGAAAAGGAAGTGCAACAGCTCCGGAGAGGAGGGGTCGGCGATGTTGCCGCGCAGCCGGGCCTGGGGCGTGGGGAGGGAGGTGGTTGGCGTGGGTGCGGGGACGGGACAGGTTCGTCGTGCCCGCGCCCCGGCCCAGGGGCGGGCGCGTCCTCACCAGCAGGCTGAAGGCGTACTTGATCTTCTGCAGCACGTCGGTGTACTCGGCCTCCGAGGGCGGCTTGGCCCGCAGCGTCAGCAAGCCCTCTGAGGGGAGCAGACGGGCGCGGCGATGGGGACGCGGGGCCAGCACCAGGCAGGCAGAGAGAGGTGGACACCCGGTTAAGATGGCGGTGAGGTCAGCCCTGGCAAGTGGCGGGAGGGGAGAGCCTGGGGAGAGCGGGGACATTTGGAAGAGATCGGGAGGGGGTTCAGATCCCACGCCAGGGTGCCCCTTACCCCCAGCCGCCCGGCGCCGGCTCCTGCGGCCGCGTTCCCGGTGCTCCAGCACCCTGGCCGCCTCCGCCGACTTCTGCAGCCTCGATACAAAGCTCTCTACGTCGTCGAACACGTGGTTCAGGATGTCCTAGGGGACAGAGGAGGGGGACGCTCAGGGCTCCCGAGTTCCAAAACCATCCCCGTCGAAGCCCTGAACCTGAGCACCTATACACTTCCCCAGATCAGGCCACGCCCCAAACACCTGGCCACGCCCCACAACCAAGCCCCGCCCCCGACCCAGCCCCTCTTCCATAACGCAGAAGTCTGACCAGAGAACGCCCGTCCCGCAGCCGGCCCCGCCCTTCCACGCCCTAGCCCCGCCTCCAGTCGCCTGGCCCTGCCCCCAGACCCCTTCCTTAGCGGCTCACCACTTCCCGCTCCGCCTGCAGAACCGCCAGGTCAGGACCCCGGGGACCCAGGTCCGGGGAGGCCGAGTCAGCGTTGCTCGAGGTCCCCACCGGCTCAGGCCTCTGCGCCTCCTCTGCCTCGGGAATGGGCTTCGCCTGGGGTCGTCCGCGGCCCGCGCCCCGCTCTACGGTGCTGATCACTGCGCGGACTGACGGGCGGCGCTGCAGGGGCGGGGTCTCAGCGGCGGGCGAGCGGTCGCGCTGCAACTCCTCCTGCGTGGCCCTGCGGAGGGCGACGGGGACACCAAGACTGGGTCCACTGAGGGGTCCAGGGAGGGGGAAATCCAGGGCGCAGAACGAGACACACAGGCTCAAAAGGCTCAAAGGGAGTGAACAAGTTCAACGAGGTAGGGAGAAATCCGATATACGGAGGGATAGCACCTCTCTAGAGTGAAACTGAGGGCCTGGACAGGGAACAGAGAAAAGAAGCAGAGTTCTGGAGAAGGGGTCAGCTCGTCTGGGAGGTACAGACAAGACTCGACTAGGGTGTGCTTGACTCCATGCAAAACTCTTGTTCTGTTCCAGGCTGGTGTTGTAGACTGAGGCACAAGGAGGGGAAACCGGCTTCCCAGAGACCCTGCCAACTTCTTCCCTCTCACCTGAGCGCCGCCGCCCTGCGCTCCCCGCGGCCCGAGCGGTAATTGTGCAGAGCCCCCTGGATGTCCTCTCGGATCAGCTCCGCCTGCCAATCACACCGTCAGGCCACGCCTCCCCACGCCGCACCCACTTCCTACCCGGGCCTCGCCCCTGGCCGATTTTTCAGCTCAGTCCCAGCCCACGTGCGGCTACCGTTCACACCTGTGAACCCACGCACGTCCACGCCCCGAACTCACCCCTCGCCCTACACCTGTCCCTGCCCTAAGCCACGACCCCGCCCATGGAGACCCAGTCCGGGTGGTTCCTCGCCCCCACCTCGTCCTGGCTGCTCCCCCAGATCCTTCTTGGCCATGTTCTGTTCATGTCCTCATCCCACCTTCATGTTCTATCTTGACCCTGGGTCCAATCTCAAACCCCACTGCCTTCCAGAACTTCCTTCCCAGGTCCCCTGCCCTTCCTTGCTCTGATCCCGCCTTAGCCCCAGGCCCCGCCCCACCTAGAGGCCCCACCCATTTCCGCCCCGGCTCCAGGCTCCGCCCAGTTCCAGCTCCACCCCCAGAGCCAGCCCATCTGCTCACCCCGAGGCGCAGGCCCTGGAAGAAGTGCACGTCGGGCTGCGCGCGCTCGGGTTCCTGGCACACGAGCAGCAGCAACGAGCGGCTCCTGCCGGGTGGCATCACCGCGTCACAGCGCACGATGGCGCCCAGTGGGTACGACTCCAGCTCCTCCTGCCGGGTGGGATGGCGGGGTAAACTGAGGCCCCGAAATGATGGTACTACTAAATGGCGACGGGAGTGTGGGCCAGCAGGTCAGGGCAACCTCAGGCGGTTAGGGGGTTAGGGATAACAGCCCTGTTTAATAGATGAGGCTATTAAGGCTCAAGAAGGGGGCTGGGGTCCCTCGCCAGAGTTCCCAGAGGAAGGACGTGCAGGAGCCAAGATTCACACCCAGACCCCCTGAAGTCCCTGCCCCAGACACTCCTCCCACCCACGTGCCCCCCGGCACCTTGGAGGCCGGGTCGAGCAGCGTGACATGGTCGGGAGACACTCGCAGCAGCATCTCCTGTGCCCAGACTCGGCCCTGGCTATCCATGACGGCCAACTTCCTGGAGGCATCCTCCACGGTATGCACGCCATCGTCCTCACCCAGGCAGAACGTCACCAGGTGCTGGTACGGACCATGGAGAAAGCAGTGAGGCCCAAGATGATGCCAGGTGGGCTCAGAATCCCCCAGAATAATCAGACTTTCAGCCTGAGACTAACCACACCTCCTCCAGGAAGCCTTCCTTGATCACCTGTTCCACAAATCAGCTCCTCCTCCCAGTGCCCTTTGTTTCCCTTTCATCAGAGTGACTAGCACCTGAGTCTGGCTTCTCACAGACTGGAGGCTCCTTGCGGGCAGGGAAGGAGTCTGGATTATAGCTCTCTCCTTCTAAATGCCTCCTCGGGTCTCCTGCCATGCCCCCTGCCACCTCCATTAGAGCACCAGGCGCCTCTGTGGATTCCTCTGGACCTTGTCTACCCCTTCCTCATGCAGGGCTGTGTCTTGATTTGCCTCCGTGGTCCCACTGTCCAGCACAACAGCTGGCCTGGAGGAAAGGCTGGCAGATTAAGTGGACCCGAGGCCCCTGGCTTCATATCCATGACTGAGGTGAGGCAACGGAGGTCCATTTTATGGATGGGCAAACTGACTTTCCACATGCTTCCTGCTTGGGGGCCTAGCTGCTTTCAAAAGCCCTATCTCCTGAGGCCACCTTTGCCCCAGAAGATGTCCTGGGGGAACACAGACCCCAGACTCACATTGACTGGGTACTGGGATACATCAGCCATAACAACTGTGGAGTAACGCTTCCTCTGCTCTGCCAGGGGAGAAAGAGAATGAGCCTGGGAGTCCAGGCCCAGCCCCTCCTCCATCAGACCCAGGAGTCCAGGCCCCCAGCCCCTCCTCCCTCAAACCTAGGAGTCCAGCCCCCCAGCCCCTCTTCCCTCTGACCCAGGAGTCCAGGCCCCCAGCCCCTCCTCCCTCAAACCCAGGAGTCCAGGCCCCCAGCCCCTCTTCCCTCTGACCCAGGAGTCCAGCCCCCCAGCCCCTCCTCCCTCTGACCCAGGAGTCCAGACCCCCAGCCCCTCTTCCCTCTGACCCAGGAGTCCAGGCCCCCAGCCCCTCTTCCCTCTGACCCAGGAGTCCAGGCCCCCAGCCCCTCTTCCCTCTGACCCAGGAGTCCAGCCCCCCAGCCCCTCTTCCCTCTGACTCAGGAGTCCAGACCCCCAGCCCCTCTTCCCTCTGACCCAGGAGTCCAGCCCCCCAGCCCCTCTTCCCTCTGACCCAGGAGTCCAGCCCCCCAGCCCCTCTTCCCTCTGACCCAGGAGTCCAGCCCCCCAGCCCCTCTTCCCTCTGACCCAGGAGTCCAGCCCCCCAGCCCCTCTTCCCTCTGACCCAGGAGTCCAGCCCCCCAGCCCCTCTTCCCTCTGACCCAGGAGTCCAGGCCCCCAGCACCTCTTCCCTCTGACTCAGGAGTCCAGGCCCCCAGCCCCTCCTCCCTCAAACCTAGGAGTCCAGCCCCCCAGCCCCTCTTCCCTCTGACCCAGGAGTCCAGACCCCCAGCACCTCTTCCCTCTGACTCAGGAGTCCAGACCCCCAGCCCCTCCTCCTCCAAGACCCTGGATGCCAGGTCCTGTTTCTTTAGACCCAGTTCTATGGGCCTGGGGCTCCCTTGCCCCCCGCTCACCATAGATAGACTTGGCGCTTGGCTTTGGGGCAGCTTCTGGGCTGGTGAAGAAAAGAGGAATGAGAGAGACTGTGGGACTGGGGGCAGATCCTGTGGAAATGCCAAGCAGGGCAGCAAGGGCTTCATGACGAAGGTAATGGGGAGCGATGGAAGGGTTATTATTATTATTATTATTATTATTATTATTATTATTATTGAGCAGGAGAGCTCAGAGCCAGAGCTGGACTTTAAGAAGACAGGTAGGCTGGGCGCGGTGGCTCACGCCTGTAATCCCAGCACTTTGGGAGGCAGAGGTGGGCGGATCACAAAGTCAAGAGATTGAGACCATCTTGGCCAACATGGTGAAACCCTGTCTCTACTAAAAATACAAAAATTAGCTGGGTGTGGTGGTGGGCGCCTGTAGTGCCAGCTACGTGGGAGGCTGAGGCAGGAGAATCACTTGAACCTGGGAGGCGGAGGTTGCAGTGAGTCCAGATCGTGCCACTGCACTCCAGCCTGGCAGCAGAGTGAGACTCCATCTCAAAAAAAAAAAAAAAAAAAAAAAGACAGGTCAGGTCAGGCGGTGGTGCTGGGTGGTAGGGGAGTGTGATCTCTACCATGGCATAGTCCGGGATTCAAACCCTCTGTCTACTGCCTCCTTGCCATAAGACCTTCAGAAGAGGATTTAATCTCTCCTGCCTCAGTTTTTCTTTCTGTAACGTAGTAACCATCTGGTAGGGCTGTTGGGCAAATTCAGTCAGATGATGCAGGTGAAGTATTTTGAAGCCTCAATAACTGTTATTATCATTCTTAAGATGCTGCCAGGGCTTAGCACACAGAAGTTGCTCAATAAATGGGAATGGTTATAATAGCATTAGTGGTATCTGAAGTAGACAGGGAATTATCTGCTTCCCCTCCCACTCCCATGGGCCAGGTGCTTCCCAACCACATCCTTCTCTGTCTCCTCCCGTCCTCAATTTCTTCCTAAGATTACCTTTCCTAAGAATTCTTGAATCCCCACTTGCATGCACATAACAGAAGCTCAGCGATCAGGTGGCGTCAGGGGAACTGAAAAACCCTTTTTCCCAAACTCCTGTTCCTCATCCTGCTCCTGCCAGTCTGATGTCACCACAATTTGATTACCTCTGGGCCAGAGAGCTCACTACCTACCATGCAGGTATTTTGACTCATCTCTCATTGTTTTTCTCCCTGCTTACTCTGGGGGACTTGAGTCTTCATTATAAACAGCCCTGATTTTCTAGCAAAGGGTTAATATTTACTAACAACATAACAATCGCAATAGCGACTCCTATGAGTTGAGCACCTGCTGTCAGTGAGGTGGTCAGCTAAGTCCTGTAATGCACTATCCCTCCAATTTTTCAACATTGTCCCTGTGTCACAGAGGAGGGGCTGAGGCTCCAGGAGGTGATGTCCTCTGACCAGGGTTACATCAGCACTGAGTGTGAGGGCCGAACTGGAGCTCAGGCCTGTCTGCTCTGCAGTGGGGGCCCCTAACCCCAGGCTGGGCAGGGAGGAGAGAGGCTCTGGCTTCCTCCTGAGTGTCGGGGCTTGGGCCAGAGTCTGGGCCGCCGCAAACAGTCTGGGCTGCCGCAAGCGGGTGTGGGTGAGGAGGCGAGGGGAGGCGGGAGGCGTGCTGGGGCTGGGACCTGGGGTCCGGGGGCGCTTACCCTGTGGCGGTGCTCATGGTGCTGAGTGGTAGCTCCTGCCCACCTGGAGGTGCCCTGGGAGCCAGCAAACATGTGAAGGCCTGGCCAGTAGGAGCCTCTAATTCCTACCCCAGCCTCCTCCCTCAATGCAGGCATCCAGGCCCCAGCCCCTCCTCCCTCAGGCCCAGGAGTCCAGGCCCCCAGCCCCTCCTCCCTCAGACCCAGAAGTCCAGGCCCCAGTCCCTCTTCCCTAGACCCAGGAGTCCAGACCCCAGTCCCCTCCTCCCTCAGACCCAGGAGTCCAGACCCCAGTCCACTCCTCCCTCAGACCCAGGAGTCCAGGCCCCATCTCCTCCTCCCTCAGACCCAGGAGTCCAGGCCCTCAGCCCCTCCTCCCTCAGACCTAGGAGTCCAGGACCCCAGGCCCTCCTCCCTCAGACCCGGGAGTTCAGACCCCCAGCCCGTCCTCCCTGAGACCCTGGAGTCCAGACCCCAGTCCCCCCGTCCCTCAGACCCATTGGTCAAGCCCCGGCCCCCTTCTCTCCTGACCCGGATCTCCTTACCTGCCTGCTCAGGCTCTGCCCTGCTCTCCGCTGTCCTTTCCCTTCCAGGCTGCCGGCCCCTCCTCCTGCTCCCTCCCAGGGCCGTCCTGCCTCCGCCTCCGCCTCCGCATACCTGAGCATTCACCTGGCACAGCCTGGCTGGAGTGACCCCGGGGCGGGGCTGGCAGACAGATCTAGGAGGGGCTGGGGGGACTGCAGGGGAGCTGGGAAACTAACTGTCTGCCTTGTAGCAACAGAATAATAGCAACGAACAGTACATTTGATGTCACACTTGTTCACAGGTCAGAGTTGAAAGCTCTGTCTTTAAAACTCCCTTGAAATTCTAACAGCGGGAGGAAGTTCGAGGTTTGATTCCTGCTTGACAGATGAGGAAGCTGAAGGCCAGAGAGGTTGAGCAACTTGTCCATTTCAGCACTTGGTTAAGGAGGGATTTGAACCCGGGGCTGACCTTCTGTCTCCAGGGCCAGTGGCAGCCCGTCTTCTATGGACACCTCCTGCCCACGATCACTGCCTCTGCTCATGCCCTTACCTCCCCACCCATCCCGTTCCACCTTCCTTTGGAAATTTCCCTCAATGACCCCCCTATTCTGACAAAAGCTAAGATTTAGCTCGATAATGCCTGGCCCAGCTCCAAGGACATCACAAAAATGAACAGGCTTTCCAGGCATAAACACCTTTCTGAAATCACTTTTCCAGAACTCCCTCCATGCTGTAGAGGTTACTAGCAAAGCTTTCCACATCATTTCTCCCCAGAGCCCCGTGAGGGGAGTGTGTCTGGGTGGGAGGCTGTCTTCGTCTCACAGATGAGAAAATGAGGAAGAGAAGGGTTAAGAAACTTGCATGGGTACAGTGGCTCACATCTCTAATCCCAGCACTTTGGGAGGCCGAGGCAGGCAGATCACCTGAGGACAGGAGTTCGAGACCAGCCCAGCCAACATGGTGAAACCCCATCTGTACTAAAAACACAAAAATTATCCAGGTGTGGTGGCGGGTGCCTGTAATCCCAGCTACTCAGGAGGCTGAGGCAGGAAAATCACTTGAACCCGGGAGGCAGAGGTTGCGGCGAGCCGATAATTGCACCACTGCACTCCAGCCTAGGCAAGAGAGCGAGGCTCCATCTCAAAAAACAGAAAACAGGCCGGGCGCAGTGGCTCACACCTGTAATCCCAGCACTTTGGGAGGCCGAGGCGGGTGGAACACGAGGTCAGGAGATCGAGACCATCCTGGCTAACACGGTGAAACCCCGTCTCTACTAAAAATACAAACAATTAGCCGGGCGTGGTGGTGGGCACCTGTAGTCCCAGCTACTCGGGAGGCTGAGGCAGGAGAATGGCGTGAACCTGGAAGGCGGAGCTTGCAGTGAGCCGAGATTGCGCCATTGCACTCCAGCCTGGGCGACAGAGCGAGACTCTGTCTCAAAAAAGAAGAAAAAAAAAAAGCTGACATCTTGCAAGGCCTTAAGGGACGTGATTCTGATCTCATCTCTTCCTTCTGTGTGTCAGCACACTGGCCTCCTTGCTGCTCTTGGAACATCCAGACCCGGTCCTGCCTCAGGGCCTTTGCACTTGCTGTTTCCTCTGCCTGGAATGCTCTTCTACCAGATACCCTCATGCCTCACTTTCTTGCCTCCTTTGATCTTTGCCTGAATGTCACCTTCTCAGAGGACTGGCTGACCACCCTGTTTCAAATGGCGGCATCCCTTACTCGACTTCTTTTGTTTTTTTTGAGACAGAGTTTCACTCTTGTTGCCCAGGCTGGAGTGCAGTGGCGCAATCTTGGCTCACCGCAACCTCCGCCCCCCCAGGTTCAAGTGATTCTCCTGCCTCAGCCTCCTGAGTAGCTGGGACTACAGGCGCGCGCCACCACGCCCGGCTAATTTTGTACTTTTAGTAGAGACAGCATTTCACCATGTTGGCCAGGATGGTCTCGATCTCTTGACCTCGTGATCTGCCCGCCTCGGCCTCCCAAAGTGCTGGGATTATGGGTGTGAGCCACCGCCCCCGGCAACCCAACTTCTTTGTAGTCTCTTTCCTCTCTCCCTACTTCATTTTTGTGTGGAGAACTTTTCACCTTCTTACCCACTGTGTTCCTGGTTCATTTTGTCTGTGTCTCCTCCGTTAGAATGCAAGCTTCACAGGCTGGGCACGGTGGCACATGCCTGTAATCCCAGCACTTTGGGAGGCTGAGGCGGATTGATCACTTGAGGTTGGGAGTTCGAGACCAACCTGGCCAACATGGTGAAAGCACGTCTCTACTGAAAATATGAAAATTAGCCGGGGGTGGTGGTGTACACCTGTAATCCCAGCTTCTTGGGAGGCTGAGACAAGAAAATTGCTTGAACCCCGGAGGTGGAGGTTGCAGTCAGCCGAGATCACACCATGTCACCAACATGATAAAACCCCATTTCTACTAAAAAAAAAAAAATTAGCCAGAGTTGGTGGTGCACACCTGTAATCCCAGCTTCTTGGGAGACCAAGGCAAGAGAGTCACTTGAACCTGGGAGGTGGAGGTTGCAGTGAACCGAGATGATCGTGCCACTGCACTCCAGCCTGGGTGACAGAGCGAGACTCCATCTTAAAAAAAAAAAAAGCGGCCGGGTGTGGTGGCTCACGCCTGTAATCCCAGCACTTTGGGAGGCCGAGGCGTGTGGATCACGAGGTCAGGAGATTGAGACCATCCTGGCTAACATGGTGAAACCCCGTCTCTACTAAAAATACAAAACAATTAACCAGGCTTGGTGGTGGGTGCCTGTAGTCCCACCTACTCCGGAGGCTGAGGCAGGAGAATGGCGTGAACCCGGGAGGTGGAGATTGCAGTGAGCCAAGATTGCTCCACTGCACTCCAGCCTGGGTGACAGAGCAAGACTCCATCTCAAAAAAAAAAAAAAAAAAATGCAAGCTTCACAAGGGCAAAGATTTTTGTGTGATCAGTCCTCCACTTAATCTGCAGCACACAGAATTGGGTCTAGCACATAGAAAGTGTTGGAGAGATACTTGTTGAGTAAACGAGCTTTTGGCATTTGGTGCATTCATGTGCATTACTGCTTTGTTGCTTCATTCAAGATATGTTGCCTCCACGGTCTATGCTGAGTGAGCCTGGAAATCAGAGAAGGCACATTTTTGCCTTCGATTGATGGGGATGAAGGAACAGAGAGAAAGAGATATAGTGTGGTCTGATGGCAGAGAGCCTCGGGCAGGTGTGGGTCTGAATCCTGGCTTTGCCACTTGATAATTTTGGAGATACTTATTGTGTGCTTATATCTTCTCAGTACATCATAAATGTGTGTGTGTGTGTGTGTGTGTGTGTATGCATAATCCTCACCACATCCTATGGAATGGGTCCTATTATCCCCATTTTTTTTCTTAATTGAGACAAGGTCTAGTTCTGTGGCCCAGGCTAGAATGCAGTGTCATAATCACAGCTCACTGCAGTCTCGACCTACTGGGGTGATCCTCCCATCTCAGACTATATATAAATATATATACACATATATATAGTAGAGTCTCCTTATGTTGCCCAGGCTGGTCTCCAACTCCTGGGCTCATGTGATACTCCTGCCTTATCCTCCCGAAGTGCTGGGATGACAGGCATGAGCCACCCACCACACCCAGCTTATTGGGAGGATAAAGTCAGGTTATAGAGAGTTGTCAATACAGTACCTGGCAAAGAGGAAACGCAAGGCTGGTGTTAGCAATGGCGAGGACGATGGCCTTTCTTCCCATGCGTGCTGCAAGGGAGGACACGAGGGGCTCTGCCAAGGCCAGGAGAGGCTGCTGAGGGTCAGGACAGGCTGCCTGGAGGAGGAGGACAGGCTGCCTGGAGGAGGAGGGCAGGCCAGGAATCACCTTGAAGGATGAGTTTGACAGCCAGTGTCAATCCTAGAAGATAGGGGTGTTCTGGGCCCTGCAACTGCCTGAGTGAAGGATGGGGGCTGCAGGGGTGGCCAGCGGGGCTAGACTGTGAGCTCCTGGCTACCCAGCAGGTGGTCCTGGTGCGTGTAGCAGCGGGTGGGGGAGGTAGGGGTGGAAGGAGGGCCCTTACGCTTCTCTTTCTTTGGCTTCTGCAATTCTGTGTTCTCATCACATTCATGCCACAAGTATTTTCTGTGCTTGACTGTACCTGAGTTGGGGTTTGAGGGAAGGAGCAGACCCCTTGCCCCATTGACAGGAGAAAACAGAGGCTCAGAGAGGGAAGTCAGTAGCCTAAGGTTACAGTGGCCCTGGGCTGTGACACAGATGCAGATCTGACTGGGCCTGGGCTCATTTCTTCATGAACAAGGGGAGAAAACTATCTCATAGAAGCATTTGGTATGGGTCCGAGGCCTTTGGGTCTGAGGGAGGAGGGGCTGGGGTCTGGACTCTTGGGTCTGAGGGAGGAGGGGCTGGGGGCCTGGACTCCTGGGTCTGAGGGAGGAGGGGCTATCTCATTGCTTTGGGGGTGGCGCAGGCGGCCCTCCAGGCCATGGTCTGGAGCAGCAGGTGAGACCGAAACCCGAGCCTCCACCCAAGTCCCAAGTCCCAGGGCCCAGGGCCTCTTTCCTCCTTCTCTGGCCGCAAAGGAGGCCCCTCCCTCTCTGTAACCCACAGCAAATGCCTCCCAAATACCAGTCAAAGTGTCCACCCCTGCACAGTCTGACTCAGCCAGTCCAGGGCGGAGGCAGTAAAGCCCTGTCTTGGCAAGTCACCAGGGAAATCCATCACCGAAGCACCTCTCTCCCCCCTCGGCCTGGCTATTCTGTCATTGGCACCTGTTCTTGGGTGAGTGACAGGGCTCTGTGGTCAGGGTTTGCCTCTGTCCCAGTCTGGGATAGCTGTCTTGGGGGGCTGGCCTTTCTTCCCTCTCACCTGGGATGTCCCAGGAACGGAACAGAATTCTCCCCTGGGGCTTGAAGAGCTCACCCCCCATCTCCTCCGTTATCCCCACCCCCACACCACCCAACACACATCCTCTAGTCTGTAGGATTTGCTGACAAATTCCTATGACAGCCGGATGTGGTGCCTCACACCTGTTACCCAGCATTTTGGGAGGCCATCACTTGAGATCAGGAGTTCGAGACCAGCTTAGCCAACATGGTGAAACCCCATCTCTACAAAAGTAGCTGGGTGTGGTGGCGTGCGCTTGTAGTCCCAGCTACTAGGGAGACTGAGGCAGGAGAATCACTTGAACCCGGGAGGCAGAGGTTGCAGCGAGCCATTGCGCCATGCACTCCAGGCTGGGTGACTGACTGAGATTCTGACTCAAAAAAAAAAAAAAATCCTATGACAAGGAGAAAGGTCAGATTCCCTGGCAATGGGAGCTGAGGCATGTTCTTGAGAAGGAGGGAGGTTATAAATTAGATGGGGCTGGGTCTCAGAGAGATATAGCTACTTACATATTAAATAATGAGGCTGAGTGTGGCGTCTCACACCTATAGTCCCAGTACTTTGGGAAGCAGAGGCAGGAGGATCCCTTGAGCCTAGGAGTTTGAAACCAGCCTGGGCAACATAGGGAGATTCCATCCCTACCAAAAAAAAAATTAAAAATTAGCCAGGCATAGTGGCCTGCATCTGTGGTCCTAGCTGCTTGGGAGGCTGAGGTGGGAGGATTGCTTGAACCTGGGAGGTCAAGGTACAGTGAGCCACGATTGCACCACTGCACTCCAGCCTGGGTGACAGAGCAAGACCTTGTCTCAAAAAAAGTAATTAATTTATTTATTCAATACGTAGCTCCTGAGACAAAATGTGTGCCGTACTCTAGACCCTGCTGGTGTGCACAATTCATGGGGGATATGTGCGCTAATGGAAGTGTGGCACAGGGCAAGGGTGTCCCCAGAGAAAGCCCTAATCCAGCTTTATGGGTGGTTGTATGAGGCACAGAAGCCTTTCCTGGTTAAGGGATAAATGGATGGGGTTTCAAAGGATGAATAGGAGTTTGCCAAGGACAATGAAGCAAAGATTGACATTCTAAGCATTGGGAGTGTCCTATGCAAAATCCCAAAGTGATGTAGTAGCAAATACTTAAGCACCTACAGTGTGCCAAGCATGTTTCATGTGCTGGAGATACAGAGGAGGAGGAGACAGATGAAACCCCAGCCCTTGTGATATTGTCATCCTAGTAGGTGTGGTGGGGAGATAAACAAGTAGACACCTGCATGAATAAGACTTTCAGATTGTGGTAAACCCTGTGGAGGAAACGAAACAGGTGAAGGAACGGCGTGACTAGGAGCAGGCAGGTGCGGCTGCTTCAGGTAGGGTGGTCAGGGAAGGAGGCGGCATCTGAGCTTTGACCTCAATTTCGAGAATGAGCCAGGAATGCAGAGAGGATTTCAGGCAGAGGAAACCTTAGGGAGGCTGGCGGGTTAAATCTGCAGGGGTGTGGCTGGCCGGAGGAAGTGAGGTGTGAGACAGTCACGTTGATGGTGACAGCAGCAGTGACCGTAGCAGCCTAGAGGTGGCCGAATGCTTACTCTAATGGGCTGGCCCATCCCTGAGTGTCTAGAGTTCCCAGCCCGCTTAAGGAAGGAAGGAAAACACAGGCAGCTCTAAGTGTACGACGAGGGAGGTCTCATCGGCGGTGAGGAAGCCCAGGCGGGTCCCCTTCCCAGCTGAAAGGGGTTCGGGTAGGTTTTTCCTGGGCGTTCCTCTGAGAACAGCCAGCCCTGGTGAGAGTGCGGGGAGAGGCGCTTATGACACAGGGAGGGTGGGTCTGGGAACCAGCCTGGCAGGAGGAGGAGGGAGACTGCCGGTGGCCGGGAGCTGTTTGTTCTCTGGGAGGGATCGTGGCGGGGTGGTTTGTGCAGCCCTTTCCTGAAACCGGAGGAGCCTGGCTCCTTCCCAGGTCTCTGGGGGATGGGTCGGGGCGGGGGGTGGTGACGGGGATAGGACCCCAGACAGACTTGAGTTTGGATCCTGGGTTGGAGCCGGTGACTTCACTCTCAGCTCCCTGAACATCAGGGCCTGCCTTTCTTCCCTCCCTTCCCCTCCCCTCCCCTCCCCTTCCTTCCTTCCTTCCTTCCTTCCTTCCTTCCTTCCTTCCTTCCTTCCCTTCCTTTCCCTTCCCTCCCTCCCTTTATTCTTTTCTTTTTTTCTTTTCTTTTCTTTCTTTCTTGACAGAGTCTTGCTCTGTCGCCCAGGCTGGAGTGCAGTGGCGCGATCTCGGCTCACTGCAAGCTCCGCCTCCCGGGTTCACGCCATTCTCCTGCCTCAGCCTCCCGAGTAGCTGGGACTACAGGCACCCGCCACCGTGCCTGGCTAATTTTTTTGTATTTTTAATAGAGACGGGGTTTCACTGTGTTAGCCAGGATGGTCTCGATCTCCTGACCTCGTGATCTGCATGCCTCGGCCTCCCAAAGTGCTGGGATTACAGGCCTGAGCCACAGTGCCCGGCCTCCTCTTTCTTTTTTTGAGACAGAATCTCACTCTGTCACCCAGGCTGGAGTGCAGAGGTGTGGTCTCGGCTCACTGCAACTTCCGCCTCCCAGGCTCAAGCGATTCTCCTGCCTCAGCCTTCCGAGTAGCTGGGACTACAGGCGCGTGCCACCATGCCCAGCTAATTTTTTGGTACTTGTAGTAGAGACAGGGTTTCACCATGTTGGCCAGGCTGGTTTCAAACCCCTAATCTCCAGTGATCTGCCTGCCTTGGCCTCTCAAAGTGCTGGGATTAAAGGCGTGAGCTACCGTGCCAGGCCGTGGAGTAGCTAAACTTATCTTACACTGCTGAGGTCTCTCAAGATGTGTGTAGGGAGAGAGAGTTGGGGGGAGAGAGAGAGACAAAGGAAAAGAGGAAGAGAGAGACAGGGAGAAAGAGAGGAAGAAAGAGAAAGAGAGAAACAGGAAGAGTGAGAGGAGAAAGAGAGGAAGGGGGAGAGAAAGAGAGATGGGGGAGAAAGAGAGAGAGAGAAGGAGACACAGGAGGGGGAGAGAAAGAGGGAGAGAGCAATGAGAGAGATATGAGACAGAGAAGAGAGAGAGAGGAGACACGGAGGAGGGGGACAGAAAGAGGGAGACAGAGAGATGAGAGAGAGAAAAGACACAGATGAGGGGGAGAGAAAGAGGGAGAGAGAGATGAGAGAGAGATTGATAGCACCCAGCTAATCAATCAGTGGCTTTAGTGCCATGAGCTGGAAGGGAGGAATGGATACTGGGGAACAGTTGGTTGACTTTCCCTGGTGGGACAGCCCCTCTTTCTAGAACTACCTTTCCTATGTCCCCTGTGCTTCTCTCCAGTCCATACTCTACATCTCAGCCAGAAAAGAAGAAATTCTAAAACATGTATCTGCCCGTGACATGACCCTCCTTGGCTCAACACTCTTCAGCGGTACCCAGCGCCCTCTGAGTCAACGCCAAGCTTCCTACCATGGCATTGGAGCCGCGCTCTGGGTCCTTTTACTGATGGCTCCCGCCTCAGCCCTTCCACCCCCTCCCATACCCTGCATGCCAGCCCAGGCAGCCCTCCCTCCTCCCACAATATCTCTCATATGCATTCCTGTCCCATGCCTTCTGCTTAAGCTGTTCCCACAGCCCGGAGTCTCCTCCCTGGCTGAGGGAAATCTTGCCGGCTCACATGGCCGTGATCCCCATCATTTCCTGCAGAAAGCTTGCCCAGCTCTCCGACACGGGGACCTTCTGCCCCTCCTGAGCCCTGAGTCCCCTCCATCTTAACTGGGAGGTCACCTGTTTGCGTGGTGTCTGCTCAGCTTGCAGGCAAGGCCACCAACACCCTCCTTTCCTGTCTTTCCTTCCTACCATCCTCTCCTGTCCACCCTCTGCCTCTCCCTCCCTTCTTCTCTTCTTTCCTTCTAGTTACTGAGCCATGCATGTGTTGCATGCAGCAAGGATGAATAAAATAAAATAAACCTACAGCAATCATTCCAGTTACTATGGCCATATAACAAATTATTCTAAAACTCAGTGGCTTCAGACAAGGATCATATCTATTTTACTCAAAAACCTACCATCTGCACAGGCCTTGGTGGAGGCAGCTTATCTGTGTGCCCTTTGGTGATGGCTGGGGCTGTCAAGAAGCTGGGGCAGTGCTTGGGCTGCAAAGACTCAAATGGCTGGAGTCTGGGACCACTGGAGCTCCTTGCCCCCCTTTGCTTATCTCTACACAGCCACAGGGTCGCTAAACTTACCTTACACTGCTGAGGCCTCTTAAGATGTGTGTAGGGAAAGAGAGTTGGGGGGAGAGGGAGAGAGAGAACAGAGAGAGAGAGACACACACAAGAAGAGAGAGAGGAAGAAAGAAGGAGAGAGAGGAAGAGGAAGGGAGAGGAAGAGAGAGAGAAAGAGAAAGAGGGAGAGAGAGAGGAGAGAAAGAGACAAGAAGAGAGGAAGAAAAAAGAGGAAGAGAGGGATAGAGGAAGACAGAAGGAGGGAGAGGGAGAGAGGAAGAGAGAGGAAAGAGAAAGGAAGGGAAAGAGAGATGTGAGAGAGAGGGAGAGAGAGAGAGAAAAGAGGACAGAGGAAGAGAGAGAGGAAGAGAGAGGGAGAGAGAGGGAGAGAAGACAGAGAGGGAGAGAGGAAGAGAAAAGGAGACAGAGAGAGGAGAGATAGAGAAGAACGAGAAAGGAGAGACAGAATGTGAATGAGAATTGGGTGCCATAAACCCTCTGATGGGGAAAGCAAAGGGCATTGTGGGAGAATCCTCTCAGCACCTGGGACAGCACCCAGTGCTGATCAGGAACATGTTAACAACCAGGAAAATGGTAAAGGCGTGGACAGCCCACCTGGAGTCCAAACAGATGTTCTAACTCCCTTGGGTGTGTCTGGGAATCAGGTAGGAGATCCTCAGAGGAGGAATATGCATGCATTGTTCTCTTTATAATAACCATATTAACAGCCAGCAATGTTCTGGCACTTACTATGGATTAAGTCCTTGTTATGAATGACTTCATGCCATCCTTCCAAATTCAATGACAGGTAGCTGGGCGCAGTGGCTCACGCTTTGTAATCCCAGCACTTTGGGAGGCTGAGGCAGGTGGATCACCTGAAGCCTGGAGTTCAAAACCAGCCTGGCCAACATGGTGAAACCCCGTCTCTACTAAAAATACAAAAATCAGCCAGGTGTGGCGGCGAGCGCCTGTAATCCCAGCTACTCATGAGGCTGAGGCAGGAGAATCGCTTGAACCCAGGAGGCAGAGGTTGCAGTGAGCTGAGATTGCATCACTGCGCTCCAGCCTGGGCATCGGAGAGAGACTCTCAAACAGGAGCTGGCGAACTGTGGCGCACTGCTTATTTTTATAAATAAAGTTTTATGGGAACACAGCTGTGCTCACTTGTTTTCACATCATCTGTGGCTGCTTCCCAGCTCCTCTGGCAGAGGAGGTGCAACAGCCACTGTGTGGATCACAAAGCTGAAATTATTTACTATCTGGCTGTTTGTAGAAAAAGTTTGCTGATCTCTGTCCTGGAAGTCAATGATATTAGGATTTCAGTTTACAGAAAAGGAGAAAAAGACAGGGAAAAACAGTGTTGTTTTTTTTTCAAGGTTGAGAAAATGAACATCTGAACCAATTGCCCATGTTATTAAATGTAAACATTTATTATTATTATTTTTGAGATGGGGTCTTGCTCTGTCACCCAGCCTGGGGTGCAGTGGCACAATCACAGCTCATCATAGCCTTGACCTCCTGGGCTCAAGCAGACCTCCCACCTCAGCCTCCCAAGTAGCTGAGGGTGCAGATGCGTGCCACCAAACCTGCTAATTTTTGTATTTTTTGTAGAGATAAGGTTTTGCCGTGTTGTCCAGGCCGCTCTCAAACTCCTGGGCTCATACTATTCTCCACTTTGGCCTCCCAAAGTGCTGGGATTACAGGCATGAGCCACCATGCCCAGTCTAAAATTTTTCTTTATTTTTAGTTTGGTAAACTATGCATAAAGTAAAATGTACCATCTTAACCATTTTAAGTGTACAATTCAGTGATGTTAAGTATATTCACATTGTTGTGCAACCATCACCACCGTCCACCTTCAGGTCTTTTTTTTATTTTGCAAAACAAACTCTGTATCTATTAAAAAACAGCTTCCCGGCCGGGTGCGGTGGCTCATGCCTGTAATCCCAGCACTTTGGGTGGCCGAGGCAGGTGGATCACCTGAGGTCAGGAGTTTGAGACCAACCTGGCCAACATGGTGAAACCCCGTCTCTACTAAAAATACAAAAATTAGCCGGGTGTGGTGACACGTGCCTGTAGCCCCAGCTACTCGGGAGGCTGAGGCAGGAGAATCGCTTGAACCTAGGAGGCAGAGGTTGCAGTGAGCTGAGATCGCCCACTGCTCTCCAGCCTGGGTGACACAGTGAGACTGTCTCTCAAAAAACAAAACAAAACAAACAAACAAACAAAAACAAATCCTGTGACTTCCCAATCTCATCTCCAGCCCCCTGCAGCCACCACTCTGTTTTCTGTCTCTATGAATTTGACTCCTCCAAGTGCCTCTTATACAGCATTTGGCATTGTGTAACTGGTTTAATACGTTTGAGATGGTGAGAGCTTAAGGTCTACAGGCCTAAGGTTTTTTTTTTTTTGACAGAATTTCACTCTGTCGCCAGGCTGGAATGCAGTAGGGCAATCTCGGCTCACTGCAACCTCCACCTCCCGAGTTCAAGTGATGCTCCTGCTTCGGCCTCCTGAGTAGCTGGGACTACAGGTGAGTGCCACCACATCCAGCTAATTTTTGTATTTTTAGTAGAGACAGGGTTTCACCATGTTGGCCAGGCTGGTATCAATCTCCTGACCTCGTGATCCATCTGTCTCGGCCTCCCAAAGTGCTGGGATTACAGGCGTGAGCCACCGTGCCCGGCCATTGACTAAGGTCTTAAAATAGCTCTTCCTGCCTGTATAATCTCCATTATGGCAGGGCTCATATAAGAAGATGACAGTTCATCTGATGAGGAAGAAAACTTACTCCTAGTTAGATTGGGTTGAATTCTTCCCTGTTTCCAGCGGTGTCTGCTCCTGGCACCTCAGGCACAGTCAGGGGTAGGAGGTGGTGATCAGATACACTCGCTGTGAGCAGTGCAAGGGGAAGCAGGTGCCCAGAGGTGCATCCCGGTTTGGTGGGGGTGACAAACATGGACAGGTAAGTGCAGGAGTGTGTGCAATACTCAATCTAAGAAAGGTAGTTCAGGCAGAGTTCAGGGAAGATATCTCTGTGCAGGGCCAGACATGGGGATGAGATTCTGATAATTTGGGAATGAATCAGGCCCCCAGCCCCTCCTCCCTCAGACTCAGCAGTCCAGGCACCCGGCCCTCCTCCCTCGGACCCAGAAGTCCATGCTCCCAGCCCCTCCTCCCTTGGACCCAGGAGTCCAGGCCCCCAGCCCCTCCTCCCTCAGACCCAGGAGTCCAGGCCCCCAGCCGCCTTCTCCTGCAGGACCCCAGGAGCTTGGGTACCCACAGGCTACTAGATCCTTGTTTCTGTGCATGGAAATTCTCAAATTATCTCCAAAAGTCTATGAAGAAGGTAAACACACATTTCCAGATGAGGGAATAGGCTGATATAGTTGAAAGACACACAGAGGGTCACAGTCTGGAATTGACAGTGGTGGGATTCGAACCTATTTCACTCCAGAACTGCGTAGCGCCTTATACGCTGCGGCAAGTGTGACGTCATTCGAACAAACCATAGGCCCCGCCCCCGGACTAGCCACGCCCACAGGCTCCTGAAACCACCAATCCCAGCTGTGACAGCGCTCAGGACCGATGCTCATAGGTCCCGTCCCTAGGATCCCCGCCCCCTCCGCCCGCGCCCCGCCCCTCGCAGCCCAGTTCCGGACGCGGGCCCAGCCGCGCC
The DNA here is from genome assembly GCF_000001405.40 of Homo sapiens. Taxonomy (NCBI): domain Eukaryota; kingdom Metazoa; phylum Chordata; class Mammalia; order Primates; family Hominidae; genus Homo; species Homo sapiens. The sequence goes on along the minus strand of NT_187693.1, from coordinate 1,045,631 downwards.
TGCGCCTCCGCTCGCCTGTGGCTGCGTCGCGCGCTCTTCCTCGGAGCTACCCAGGCGGCTGGTGTGCAGCAAGCTCCGCGCCGACCCCTGACGCCTGACGCCTGTCCCCGGCCCGGCATGAGCCGCTACCTGCTGCCGCTGTCGGCGCTGGGCACGGTAGCAGGCGCCGCCGTGCTGCTCAAGTGAGTACATTCTAGCCCCGCGTGCGCGGTCAAGGCGGGCCCCCAGCGCAGGGGCCGGGAAGGCGGCGGAGACCCCCGCCCCTCGCACCCGGGTCCAGGCCCCGTAGCTCCCGACCCGCAGTGCCCGCCCGGAGTGGGGCAAACCTGCGCTCTGGCCGGCCAGGTCACCGGCCCAAGGTCACTCGGAGGGAAGGGCGAGCCTGGGCCCTTGTAAATGTTGCTTTCCTTCCAGACTTTTAAACTCTTTATTTTGTTGTTTTGTATTATTTATTTGTTCGTTTATTTTTAAAGGCAGAATCTGGCTCTGTCGCCCAGGCTGGAGTGCAGTGGCGCGATCTTGGCTCACTGCAGCCTTGACCTCCTGGGCTCAGGTGATCCTCCCACCTTGGCGTCCCCAGGAGCTGAGATCACACGTGCGCCACCACGCCCGGCTAATTTTTGTATTTTTCGCAGAGACGGGGTTTTGCCATGTTGGCCAGGCTGGTCTCAAACACCTGCCCTCAGGTGATCCGCCTGCCTCGGCCTCCAAAGTGCTGGGATTACAGACGTGAGCCACCTCGCCCAGCCTACTTAATTTAAACTTTCTTAAAAATTAGCCTCTGTGGCTGGTGGCCACTGTATTGCATGGTGCCCTTCTCTCCTGTGGGTGCAGTGCTGTTTACCTGCTCAGCCTCCTGTTGCTGGACACTATCTTGTTGCCAGCGTTAGCCTCTGTGGGACATGGGTGTGGTGGGCAGAGTCGTGACTCCGTAGAGGGGTCCACGTCCTAATCCTCGGAAGGTGTGACGACATTACCTCACGTGTCAGAGGTTCTCGCTGATGTGTTAAGTGAAGCATCTTTTTTTTTTTTGAGACAGAGTTTCGCTGTTGTTGCCCAGGCTGGAGTGCAATGGCACGACCTCGGCTCACCACAACCTCCACCTCCCGGGTTCAAGCGATTGTCCGGCCTCAGCCTCCTGAGTAGCTGGGATTACAGGCATGTGCCACCACGCCTGTCTAATTTTGTATTTTTAGTAGAGACGAGGTTTCTCCATGTTGGTCAGGCTGGTCTTGAGCTCCCGACCAAAGGGGATCTGGCCACCTTGGCCTCCCAAAGTGCTGGGGTTACAGGCGTGAGCCACCGTGCCCGGCCAAGTGAAGGATCTTATGATTATCATGTAGTCTTTTTTTTTTTTTGGAGACAGGGTCTCTCTGTCACCCAGGCTGGAGTGCAGTCATGCTGTCACAGCTCACTGCAGCCTCACCCTCCCTGGGCTCAGGTGGTCCTCCCACTTCAGCCTCCCGAGTAGCTGACTCTACAGGCGTGCACCACCAAGCCCTGCTAATTTTTGTATTTTTAGTAGAGATGGGGTGTCAGCATGTTGGCCATGGCTGGTCTCGAACTCCTGACCTCAAGTGATCCTCCTGTCTTGGCCTCCCAAAGTGCTGGGATTACAGGTGTGAGGCACTGTGCCGGTCCTGCCTTGTAGTCTTATAGGGTCCTTATAAGAGGGAGCAGGAGGCTCAGTCAGAGGGGAGATGGAAGATAGAAGGAGAGGTTGTTGGGTGTGGTGGCTCACGCCTGTAATCGCAGCACTTTGGGAGGCCAAGGCAGGCGGATCACAAGGTCAGGAGTTCGAGACCAGCCTGACCAACGTGGTAAAACTCTGTCTCTACTAAAAATACAAAAGAAATTAGCCAGGTGTGGTGGCATGTGCCTGTAATCCCAGCCACTCAGGAGGCTAAGGCAGGAGAATCGCTTGAACCTGTGAGGCGAAGGTTACAGTGAGCTGAGATTGAGCCACTGCACTCCAGCCTGGGCGACAGAGCGAGACTCTGTCTCAAAAATAAATAAGTAAATAAATAAATAAATAAAGGAGAGGTTCCAGTGAGGATGCAGGTTGAAGATGGAGGCGGGGCCAAGAGTGGAGGAATGTGGCGGTCTGTAGGAGCTGGAAGTGGATTCTTCCCTAGAGCCTCCAGAAGGAACCTGACTCTACCAATACCTTGATTTATTCCAGTGAGACATGTTTTGGACTCTTGACCTGCCGAACTGGAGGAGGATGCACTTATGTGGTTTTAAGCCACTAAGTCTGTGGTAATGCGTACAGCAGCCTTGGGAATCTCGTGCAGCGGGCATTTTAAATTTAAATTTAAATTTTTTTGAGACAGAGTCTCGCTCTGTTGCCCAGGCTGGCACCATTTCGACTCACTGCAACCTCCGCCTTCCAGGTTCAAGCAATTCTCGTGCCTCAGCCCCCTGAGTAGCTGAGATTACAGGTGTGCACCACCACGCCTGTGAAGGGGTGGCCTGCCCCTCCACACCTGTGGGTATTTCTAGTTGGGTGGGACGAGAGACTGAGAAAAGAAATAAGACACAAAGTATAGAGAAACAACAGTGGGCCCAGGGGACCGGCGCTCAGCATACCAAGGACCTGCACCGGCACCGGCCTCTGAGTTCCCTCAGTTTTTACTGATTATTATCTTCATTATTTCAGCAAAAAGGAATGTAGTAGGAGAGCAGGGTGATAATGAGGTCAGCAAAAACCATGTGAGCAAAAGAATCTATGACATAATTAAGTTCAAGGGAAGGTACTATGCCTGGACGTGCACGTAGGCCAGATTGATGTTTCTCTCCACCCAAACATCTCAGCGGAGTAAAGAATAACAAGGCAGCATTGCTGTAAACATGTCTCGCCTCCCGCCATAGGGCGGCTTTTCTCCTGTCTCAGAATTGAACAAATGTACAATCAGGTTTTATACCGAGACATTCAGTTCCCAGGGTCAGGCAGGAGACAGTGGCCTTCCTCTCTCTCAACTGCAAGAGGCTTTCCTCTTTTACCAATCCACCTCAGCACAGACCCTTTACGGGTGTTGGGCTGGGGGACGGTCAGGTCTTTCTCATCCCACGAGGCCATATTTCAGACTATCCCACGGGGAGAAACCTTGGACAATACTCTGTGTTCAAGGGCAGAGGTCCCTGCAGCTTTCTGCAGTGCATCGTGCCCCTGGTTTATTGAGACTAGAGACTGGCGATGACTTTTACCAAGTATACTGCTTGGAAACATTGTGTTAACAAGGCACTTCCTGCACAGCCCTAGATCCCTTAAACCTTGATTTCATACAACACAGGTTTTTGTGAGCTCCAGATTGGGTCAAAGTGGCTGGGTCAAAGCTACAAATTAACAACATCTCAGCAAAGCAATTGTTCAAAGTACAGGTCTTTTTCAAAATGGAGTCTCTTATGTCTTTCCTTTCTATATAGACACAGTAACAGTCTAATCTCTCTTTTCCCTACACATCTGGCTAATTTTTGTATTTTAAGTAGAGACGGGGTCTCGCCATGTTTGCCAGGCTGGACTCGAACTCCTGACCTCAAGTGATCCGCCCCCGCCCCCCCCCACCCCCAAAACTTTGGCCTCCCAAAGTGCTGGGATTACAGGTGCAAGCCCCCTCACCTGGCCGGGAATCTCATGCAGTGAGCATTTATAAAATAATGACTGTCACTTGCTGAAGGCGTTCCACACGCCAGACACTGGGTGGAGCCACTTATGGAGAACATGACAGAGGTCCCTTGGTGTGATGTGATGATGTCTGTGTTTCAGTTGGGGTATGTGAGTGAGCTCAGACAAGGTTGCCTGAGATCATTCAGTCAGGGGCACGTGGGGTGAGAGTGGGCCCACAGGACTGACCGTGCCGCTTCTCACCCTCAGGGACTATGTCACCGGTGGGGCTTGCCCCAGCAAGGCCACCATCCCTGGGAAGACGGTCATCGTGACGGGTGCCAACACAGGCATCGGGAAGCAGACCGCCTTGGAACTGGCCAGGAGAGGTAAAATCTCCCCTGCTTTGGCTCTCAGAGAGATATCTGTACATCCATGCTCACTGCAGCATTATTCACAGTCCGGAGGTGGAAGGAACCCAGGCACCCATCCACAGATGAACAGGGAAACAGAATGTGGCTTCTATAGACAGGGGCATATGATTCAGCCTTAAAAAGGAAGGGCATTCTGGCCGGGCGCGGTGGTGCACGCCTGTAATCAGTACTTTGGGAGGCCAAAGCTGGCGGATCACGAGGTCAGGAGTTCGAGACCAGCCTAACCAACATGGTGAAACCCCCTCTCTACTAAAAATACAAAAATTAGCCAGGAGTTGTGGTGGGCACCTGTAGTCCCAGCTGCTTGGGAGGCTGAAGCAGGAGAATCGCTTGAACCTGAGAGGCAGGGGTTGCAGTGAGCAGAGATGGCGCCACGGCACTCCAGCCTGGGTGACAGAGTGAGACTCAAAAACAAAACAAAACAAAGCAAAACAAAAAAAAGGGCATTGAAACAGATGAACCTTGAGGACATTCCATGAAGTGAAATAAGCCAGTCGACAGAAGAGCAAATACGGTATGATTCCACTTACAGGAGCTACCTACAGTTAAATTCATAGAGAAGTTGGAATGGTGCTTGCCAGGGGTCAGGAGGGGAGGGGAGAATGGGGAGTTACTGTTTAATGGAAACGGAAGTTTAGTTTGGCAAGATGAAACAATTTGAGAGATGGATGGTTGTAATGGTTGCACAACATTAGGAATTATTATTATTGTTTTTTTTTTTTTGAGATGGAGTTTTGCTCTTGTCGCCCAGGCTGGAGTGCAGTGGCATGATCTTGGCTCACTGCAACCTTCGCCTCCCGGGTTCAAGCAATTCTCCTGCCTCAGCCACCCGAGTAGCTGGGATTACAGGCATGCAACACCACACCCAGCTAAGTTTGTAATGTGTTGGCCAGGCTGGTCTTGAACTCCTGACCTCAGGTGATCCACCTGCCTTGGTCTCCCAAAGTGCTGGGATTACAGGTGTGAGCCACCATGCCCGGCCCAGCCATAAATGTTTTTAATACCAATGAACTGGACACTTAAAAATGGCTAAGAGGGCGGGTCTCGGTGGCTCACATCTATAATTCCAGCACTTTTGGAGGCTGAGGCAGGAGGATCACTTGAGGCCAGGGGTTCCAGACCAGCCTGGACACCATAGCAACACCCCCATCTCTACCAGAGTTAGCCAGGCATGCTGGCACAGGTGGTACCTATAGTCCCAGGTCACTTGAGCCTAGGAGTTCAAGGCTGAATGAGCTGTGATGGCGCCAGCACTCCAGCCGCGGCAGCAGAGTGAGACTGACTCAAAAAAAAAAAAATAATAATAAACAAAAAGAAAAGGGGGTTAAGATGATAAATTTTAAGTGATTTGTATTTTACCACAACAAAAAAAATTGGAGGCTGGGCATTGTGGCTTATTTGTAATCCCAGTACTTTGGGAGGCCGCGGGGTGGATCACCTGAGGTCAGAAGTTCAAGACTAGCTTGGCTAACATGGTGAAACCGCTGTCTCTACTAAAAATAAAAAAATAAAAAATTAGCTAGTTGTGGTAGGTGCCTGTAATCCCAGCTACTCGGGAGGCTGAGGCAGGAGAATTGCTTGAACCCAGGAGGTGGAGGTTGCAGTGAGCCGAGATTGCGCCACCGCACTCCAGCCTGGGTGACAGAGTGAGACTCCATCTAAAAAAAAAAAAAAAAGGAGAGGATGGGGAATCCTCTTGCCTTGGCCTCCCAAAGTGCTGGAATTACAGGTGTGAGCCACCGTGCCCGACCAATTCAGTGATGTTTAGTATAGTCACAGAATGATGCAACCATCTTTAAAATCAATCTTAGAACATCTGTTACCCTAGAAAGAAACCTGCTCACTGTAACTATCAAGCTGTAATTCCCTCTCCCCACCCCCTGCCCTAGAAAACCAAGAATCTATTTTCTTTCTCTATGGATTTGCCTATTCTGGGCGTTTCATAGGTGTGAAATCATATACATAGAATTCATGTAAATGGGATTGTACGCTGTGTGGTCTTTCGTGTCTGGTTTCTTTCCCCGAGCACAGTGTTTCTGACGGTCATCCTTGCTGTAGCATGAGCCAGTGCTTCACTCCTTTTCACGGCCGTCTAATATTCCATCTCTATGGATGGACCACATTTTGTTGTCCCTTCATCCACAGATGGGCATTTGGTTGTTTCTACCTTTTGGCTTTTGTGAAGAATGCCGCAGTGAACATTGGTGGATGTGTTTTTGTGTAGACGTATGTTTTCATGTCTCTGGGGTCAGTACCCAGGAGTGGATTATTAATTTAAATCTTTTTCCATCCTGGGTTTTCAGGAGGCAACATCATCCTGGCCTGCCGAGACATGGAGAAGTGTGAGGCGGCAGCAAAGGACATCCGCGGGGAGACCCTCAATCACCATGTCAACGCCCGGCACCTGGACTTGGCTTCCCTCAAGTCTATCCGAGAGTTTGCAGCAAAGATCATTGAAGGTAGGAGAACGCTGGCCATGTGGGATGAGGACTGGGATAGGCGGCTCCCAGGGCCAGGCTCTGAGAAGTGAATGAAGCAAGCAAACTTTAGAGCAGAGTTTTGGCAAACTATGAGTTAGGGGCCAAGTCCAGTTGCTGCCTTTTTTTGTACAGCCTGCAAGCAACGACTTTATTTATTTATTACTACTGTTATTTTGAGAGGGAGTCTCACTCTGTCGGCCAGGCTGAGTGCAATGGCGCGATCTCGGCTCACTGTAACCTCTGCCTCCTGGGTTCAAGCGCGGACCTCAGCCTCCTGAGTAGCTGGGATTAAGATGCCTGCTACCATACCCTGCTAATTTTTGTATTTTTAGTAGAGACGGGGTTTCACCACGTTGGCCAGGCTGGTCTGGAACTCCTGACCTCAGGTGATTCTCCTGCCTCAGCCTCCCAGAGTGCTGGGATTACAGGCGTGGGCCACTGCGCCCGGCTGACTTTGTTTTGTTTGTTTGTTTTGAGACAGATGGGGTCTCGCTCTGTTGCCCAGGCTGGAGTGCAGTGGTGTGATCTTGCCTCACTGCAACCTCCGTCTCCCGATTTCAAATGATTCTCCTGCTTCAGCCTCCTGAGTAGCTGGGATTACAGGCACCCGCCACCGTGCCTGGCTAATTTTTTGTGTTTTAGGTAGAGACAGGGTTTCACCATGTTGGTCAGGCTGGTCTCGAACTCCTGACCTCAGGTGATCTGCTTCCCTTGGCCTCCCAAAGTGCTGGGATTACAGGTGTGAGCCACCGTGCCCTACCTGAATAATTAGTTTGTTTGAGACAGGATCCATCTCTGTCACCCAGGCTAGAGTGCAGTGGTGCAGTCATGGCTCACTGCAGTCTCAACCTGCTGGGCTCAAGGGATCCTCCCACTTCAGCCTCCCAAGTAGCTGGGAGTACAGGCATACGCCACCACACACAGCTAATTATTGTTTTATTGTTTTGTTTTGTTTTTAGAGCTGGGGTTTCACCATGTTGCTCAGGCTGGTCTCCAACTCCTGGGCTCAAGTGATCCACCCAGGTCAGCTTCCCACAGTGCTGGGATTACAGGCGTGAGCCACCGCACCTGACCTTATTAAGCATTTATTGATCAAGTGCCTTCCCCACCATGGTTAAAGAAATATGTGTTTGTTATGGGACATTTATAAAATACTGCAATGTAAAGAAGACAGAACTGGCTGGGCACAGTGGCTCACGCCTGTTAATCCCAGCACTTTGGGAGGCTGAGGCAGGTGGATCCCTTGAGGTCAGGAGTTCGAGACCAGCCTGGCCAACATGGTGAAACCCTGTCTCTACTAAAAATACAAAAATTAGCCAGGCGTGGTGGTGCACACCTGTAATCTCAGCTACTCAGGGTGCTGAGGCAGGAGAATTGCTTGAACCCAGGAGGCGGAGGTTGCAGTGAGCTGAGATTGTGCCAGTGCACTCCAGCCTGGGTGACAGAGTGAGACTCTGTCTCAATAAAAAAGAAGACAGAACTAAACAACTTTGATCTGCACCAGCCCCAGGAGAATCACTTTTATGGATCTTTCTAGTCTTGTTTATAATAGGTTTGTGTGTGTATTTATATATTTTTATGTAAAACTGGGACCATCCTCTAGCTTTTCTATTCTTGTTCATCTTTAAATAGACTCAAGAATACACTAAAATTATTTATTGTTTAGTTGACATGTATACTTGTATATATTATGTACAGCATGATGTACATTGTATACATTGTAGAATGGCTAAATCAAGCTAATTAACATATGCATTACCTCAAATACTTACCTGTTTTTGTGGTGACCACATTTAAAATCTCTTCTCTTAGGATTGCTTGAGCTCAGGAGTTAGAGACCAGCCTAGGAAGCATAGTGAGACCTTGTGTGTACCAAAGATTAAAAAAAAAAAAAAATTAGCCGGGCATCCTGGCATGTGCCTACAGTCCCAGCTACTCAGGAGGCTGAGGCAAGAGGATCACTTGAGCCCGAGAGTTCAAGGCTGCAGTGAGCCGTATTTGTGCCACTGCACTCTAACCTGGATGACAGAGCAAGACCTTTTTTTTGAGATGGAGTCTTGCTCTGTCACCCAGGCTGGAGTGCAATGATGCGATCTTGGCTCACTGCAGCCTCCGCCTCCTGGGTTCAAGCGATTCTCCTGCCTCAGCCTCCCAAGACTATAGGCGGGTGCCACCATGCCCGGCTAATTTTTGTATTTTTAGTAGAGACGGGGTTTCACTATGTTGGCCAGGCTGGTCTCGAATTCCTGACCTTGTGATCCGCCTGCCTCAGCCTCCCAAAGTGCTGGGATTACAGGCATGAGCCACCATGCCCAGCTGCTTTGTTTCTTTTCTAGTCTGGCACTGAAAGGGCCAAAGCTTTCTTCTTCAGAGTCAATGTGCCCCGCTCAGTAAACGGGTACTCAGGAAATGAACAAGGAATGGGGGAGTTGTGGGACCTCATTTATTTAGCAGACGTGATCTCAGACCTGACCAGGTGCTGGAGGTGTGAGATGAACCAGAGCTGTCCTTGTGCCACTCACAGCCCTAGGGAGGCAGGTGCAGGTGCACATTCGTTGGTTCATTCATTCATTCATACTGAGCCCCTGCTGTGCCCTTGGGGATCAAGAAAGAGCCGGCACTGTTGTCGGGTAGGTGAGAGGCACTACGGTGAGATCACAAAGAACAGTGAGAGGGCAATGCCTCAGAGTCTCAGAGGTGGATGAACATTTATTAAGCACCTGCTGTGTACCAGGTACAGCACTGTCACCTTCATGCACACTGTCCCAGGCAATCCCACCCAGGGCGCCTCTGATCCTGTCTCTGGCTTGTGGACACAGGTGTCCGGAGCACTGAGGTCCCTGAGACAGTGAGGACCCCGGCTGGACACACCTGGGCAGGTGATGCCTCCTCTCTTAGCCACACGTTCCTCTTCCGGGAAATGGAATAATTCCTTCTATTTTCTGGGATTCTCTAGAGGGGTTTTTTTTTTTTTCTGAGACGGTATCTTGCTTTGTCGCCCAGGCTGGAGGACAGTGGCACATCTCGGCTCACTCCAAGCTCCGCCTCCCGGGTTCATGCCATTCTCCTGCCTCAGCCTCCCGAGTGGCGGGGGACTACAGGCGCCTGCCACCACGCCCGGCTAATTTTTTATATTTTTTACTAGAGACGGGGTTTCACCGTGTTAGCCAGGATGGTCTCGATCTCCTGACCTCATGATCCAGCCACCTCGGCCTCCCAAAGTGCTGGGATTACAGGCATGAGCCACCACGCCCAGCCTCTCTAGAGGATTAAGTAAAGCTGTGTCTGTGACTTTTTTAGCAAATCAAGTACCAGCTTCTTGGTGTTTTCCTAAGATCAACAGCCAGGAATAAAGACAGCAGTGGATTTAAAAATAGTGAAGATCGTCCATTTTATGTGGTGTGTATTCTACCACACTGGGGCAGGCCAGGTGCAGCGGTTCACGCCTGTCATCCCGGCACTTTGGGAGACAGAAGTTTTGGGAAGATCAGTTTGTGAGATGACACTCTGACAAAGCTGGAAGCTGTGGCTCTTCCCAGCTCCCGACTAGAAAGAACACAAAGCAAAGAGCCCCAGGAAGCAGGTACCCACAGCCTTGTTTATCAGGGAGTTTGAGATCAGCCTGGGCAACATAGCAAGACCTCATCTCTACAAAAAATACAAAACAATCAGGCAGGCGTGCAGGCTCACGCCTGTAATCCCAGCACTTTGGGAGGCTGAGGCGGGCGGATCACAAGGTCAGGAGATCGAGACCATCCTGGCCAACACGGTGAAACCCCGTGTCTACTAAGAAACACAAAAAAATTAGCCGGGCGTGGTGGCGGGCACCTGTAACCCAGCTACTTGGGAGGCTGAGGCAGGAGAATGGCGTGAACCCGGGAGGTGGAGCTTGCAGTGAGCCGAGATGGCGCCACTGCACTCCAGCCTGGGTGACAGAGTGAGACTCCATCTCAAAAAAAAAATAAAAAACAATGAGGCAGGCGTGATGGTGTGCACTTGTAGTCCCAACTACTTGGGAGGTGGAGGTGGGAGGATTGCTTGAGCCTGGGAGGTTGAGGCTGCAGTGAGGGATTTTTTTTTTTTTTTTTTAAGACGGAGTTTTGCTCTTGTTGCCCAGGCTGGTGCAATGACGGGATCTTGGCTCACGGCATCCTCCACCTCCTGGGTTCAAGTGATTCTCCTGCCTCAGCCTCCCGAGTAGCTGGGATTACAGGCATGCGCCACCACGCCCGGCTAATTTTGTATTTTTAGTAGAGACGGGGTTTCTTCCTGTTGGTCAGGCTGCAACCTCCATCTCCTGGTTTCAAATAATTCTCCTGCCTCAGCCTCCTGAGTAGCTGGGATTACAGGCACCTGCCACCATGCCCGGCTACTTTTTTGTTTTAGGTAGAGACAGGGTTTCACCATGTTGGTCAGGCTGGTTGACCTCAGGTGATCTGCCCGCCTCGGCCTCCCAAAGTGCTGGGATTACAGATGTGAGCCACCACGCCCGGCCTGCAGTGAGCTTTGATTGTACCACTGCACTCGGGGTGAGACCCTGTGTCCAAAAAAAAAAAAAAAAAAAAAAAGTTGAGGCAGTTCCCAGATAAACAAAACAACAGGCCAGGCACTGTGGCCCACGCCTGCAATCCCAGCACTTTGGGAGGCCGAGGTGGGCGAATTGCCTAAGCTCAGAAATTCGAGACCAGCCTAAGCAACATAGCCAAACCCCATTTCTACAAAAAATTTTAAAAGTAGCTGCTTGTGGTGTCGGGCGCCTGTGGTTCAGCTATGTGGAAGGCTGAGGTGGGAGGATCGTTTGAGCCCTGGCGGCGGAGGTTGCTGTGAGCTGAGATCGCGCCACTGCACTCCAGCCTGGGCCACTGAGTGAGCTTCCCTCTCATAAAAAGAAAAAAAAAAAAACAGGCTGGGCGCGGTGGCTCACACCTGTAATCCCTGCACTTTGGGAGGCAGAGGCGGGTGGATCACGAGGTGAAGAATTCAAGACCAGCCTGACCAAGATGGTGAAACCCCGTCTCTACTAAAAATGCAAAAATTAGCAGGGTGCGGTGGCGGGCACCTGTAATCCCAGTACTCGGGAGGCTGAGGCAGCAGAATCGCCTGAACCCAGGCGGTAGAGGTTGCAGTGGGCCATGGGCCAAGATCACACCACTGCACTCCAGCCTGGGTGGCAGAGTGAGACTTCATCTCAAAAAAAAAAAGAAAAAAAACCAAAACAAAACACCAGAAGCTGGCGGCACTCCTGGGCGCCCAGCTGTGAGTGGAGTCTCCCTGTCCCGCCTTTGGGCCTTACCCGTGCTGCGCCTGCTGCCTGCATCCCCCTTCCCTGGGTCTCCGCACGTGGGCCCTGCCTCATTTTCCCGGTCCCAGTTTCTGCGTCACCTCCTGAGAGGGGCCTCCTGTCAGCTTCCACGCAGCTCTGTCACGGGTAGATTCTCTCACGAGTGGAAGTGGCTCTCAGCTGCACTGGAATGTCCGGTCCACACGGACGGGGCCTCGGCTGTGCTGTCCACCCTGTATTTCCAGTGCCCAGTAATAGGTGCTTAGAAAATACTTACTGAATGAGTAAGTATACAGTTGTACCAGGCAGGTGATGTTATTATCCTTTTTTTTTTTTTTTTTTTACAAGGAGTAAACTGAGTCACAGAGAAGTGATGTGACTTGGCCAGGATCATGCAGCTGGTCGGGGTGGAGCCAGGCTTTGAACCTGTCTGTCCTGCTCCAGAGCTGGTATTCATGACGGGTGTGCTGCAACCCCCTCCTTCTCACACAGAGAACCAGATGGTGTCTGTGTGTTACGCGCTGGACACCTAATTCACGATCCCCGCCGAAAACCACTTCGGGAGCATTATGAATTCCATTGTGTCCTCCACCCCCAAGGATAGGTTGGGATCCTGAACCCCCATCCCTCAGCATGTGACTTCATTTAGAGGTGGGTGTTTACAGAGGTCCTGAAGTGAAAATGAGGTCATTAGGGTGGGCCCTAATCCAGTGACTGGTGTCCTTATGAAAAGGGGAGATTTGCGCACAGAAACAGACGTGCTAGCTGGGCATGGTGGCGCATGCCTGTGGCCCCAGCTACTTGGGAGGCTGAGCAAGAAGACTGCTTGAGCCTGGGAGGTTGAGGCTGCAGTGAGCAGTGATTGCGCCACTGTACTCCAGCCCAGGTGTCAGAGGGAGACCCTGTCTCAAAGAAATATAAAAAATAGGCCAAGTAGACTGAGTGTGGTGGCTCACGCCTGCAGTCCCAGCACTTTGGGAGGCTGAGGTAGGTGGATCACGAGGTCAGGAGTGTGAGACTAGCCTGGCCAACATGGTGAAGCCCCGTCTCTACTAAAGATACAAAAAATTAACCCGGTGTGGTGGTGGATGCCTGTAGTCCAGCTACTTGGGAGGCTGAGGCAGGAGAATTGTTTGAACCTGGGAGGCAGAGGTTGCAGTGAGCCAAGATCGCACCATTGCACTCCAGCCTGGGTGACAAGAGTGAAACTCCATCTCCCCCCCCCAAAAAAAAAAAAATAGGCTGGGGGCAGTGAAATTGCAGCACTCTGGGAGGCCAAAGCAGGAGGATTGCTTGAGTTCAAGAGTTTGAGACCAGCCTGGGCAACATAGTGAGACCATGTCTGAAAAATCTAAAATTAAAAAAGGAAAAATGAAAAAAAAAAAAGAGACAGCTCCAAAGGGAAGAGGAAGGGAAGAGGGAGAGAGGAGATGGTCACCTGTGAGCCAAGGAGAGAGACCAGAGCGGATCCTCCCTGAGGGCCCTGAGAGGGAACCAGCCCTGCCCACACCTTGATCTGGGACTTCCAGCCTCTGGGACTGTGATTTTTTTTTTTTTTTTTGAGATGGAGTTTTGCTTTTATTGCCCAGGATGGAGTGTAATGATGCGATCTCGGCTCACTGCACCCTCTGCCTCCTGGTTTCAAGCGATTTTCCCGCCTCAGCCTCCTGAGTAGCTGGGATTACAGGTGCATGCCACCACGCCTGGCTAATTTTGTATTTTTAGTAAAGACGCGGTTTCTCCATGTTGGCCAGGCTGGTCTCAAACTCCTGACCTCAGGTGATCTGCCCACCTCGGCCTCCCAAAGTGCTGGGATTACAGGCGTGAGCCACTGTGCCCGGCCAGGTCTGTGAGGTTTTAAACCACCTGTCTGTGGCACTTTGTTACGGAACCCGAGCTGAGTGGTACAGGGAGGAAGGCCCTGTGGTTCAGCGCATTTTACAGCTGAGGAAACTGAGGCTGCAGTCTCCATCTGTGTGTCCTTTGGTTGCTTGTATGAGTGAGGTGGCAGGTTTGGGAATGAAACCACGCCTGCGGTGCCGGGGCTCCCACCGGTAACCTCCCGTTTTTGGCCTCGGGGCTCCGGCAGGAAGGAGTCCCAAGGCTTAGATGGAGGTGCGGAGGGCGTGTGAGTGTCCTGGAGCTGCTGTAACAATGTACTGCAAACCCAGTGGCTTACACCCTCAGACGTGCATTCCCTCACGGTTCCGGAAGCCGGCAGTCTGAATCGCGGTGTCCCTGTGGCTGTGACCTGTGAGACGGGCCATAATCCTCCCAGCCTCTTCCACTTCCAGCGGGGGCGGCCCACCCTCACCTTGGAGCTGTGCCTCTCCGGTCTTTGCCTCTGTCCACACATGGCCTTCTCCCCATGTGTCTCTGTCTCTGTTTTCCCTTCCTATAAGGACACCAGTCATTGGATTAGGGCTCACCCTAATGACCGCATCCTGACATGGCCACTTCGGCACAGACCCTGTTTCCGGCACAGGCCACATTCACAGGTTGTGGGAGCACAGGAGTGTTTCTGCTGGTGCATCAGGCTGGGGTCTGTCCTCACCGGGATGTCTCCTCCTCCACCCCTCTCTTCCAGAGGAGGAGCGAGTGGACATTCTAATCAACAACGCGGGTGTGATGCGGTGCCCCCACTGGACCACCGAGGACGGCTTCGAGATGCAGTTTGGCGTTAACCACCTGGGTGAGGCCTGGGCAGGGGCTGCACCATGGGTTCAAGCGATCCTCCCCCGTCGTCCTCCCAAAGTGCTGGGATTTTAGGTGTGAGTCAAAAGTGACCTTTTCATCATCCTTAATCCAGGTCACTTTCTCTTGACAAACTTGCTGCTGGACAAGCTGAAAGCCTCAGCCCCTTCGCGGATCATCAACCTCTCGTCCCTGGCCCATGTTGCTGGGCACATAGACTTTGACGACTTGAACTGGCAGACGAGGAAGTATAACACCAAAGCCGCCTACTGCCAGAGCAAGCTCGCCATCGTCCTCTTCACCAAGGAGCTGAGCCGGCGGCTGCAAGGTACGGGGGCGCTAGGCTCGGCCTCCCTCTTGCTTTACTCTGAGCCTAGAGCGGCCTTTCCATGATCCTAGGCTGATGGGAGGCCAAACGGTGGATCCAGAACAGAGTCAGCAAAAGTAGAGCATGTGGACCACGCTGCCCGCTTCTGGTGCCTGAAGCAGACATCACTAATCGATCGTTCTTCTGAGGATTGTCTGTTCATCCCAGGTGGTCTAGTCTGCCTGGATCAGATGTCCTTCCCTGCTGCTGTTGGGCAGGCAGCTCAGCCTTTTGGCTCCAGCCAGTGAGTCTCAACCAGGGGCAGTTTTGACCCGCAGTTGTCAATGCCTGGAAACACAGTGATCACAGCTGGCTTGGGGAGAGATTGCTCTGGGCATCTGGAGGGTAAAGGCCCAGATGCTCTCAATGTCCTACAGCGCACGGGATGGCCCCTCACTCCTCCCAACCCACAGCATCCACAGTGCTGAGATTGAGAAATCTGTGCTAGGCCTTTGCTTCTGAAAGACGGTCTGTGGACCAGCGGTGCCAGCCCCACTGGGAGCTGGTCAGAGTTACAGTATCTTAGGTCCCACCGCCACGCACCGATGCAGGCTCCCGGGGTAAGCTCAGCGTTCTGGGTTTATGAAGCCCTCCAGGAAAGCTCGGCTCCCAGCAGCCATGTGGCAGAGCCGCTCCGCAAGATAAGACCACTTCACTAAGATTCCAGAGCAAGAGGGACGATGGGGTTTGAGTGCAGGAAGCAGCCTGGTGCCCGGAAGCCCCACAGCTGGGTGTGGGCTGCCACAGCCTCCCAGGTGAGGCTGGACCCCTCCCTCAGTCTTCTCTTTCTTTCTTCCCCAGGCTCTGGTGTGACTGTCAACGCCCTGCACCCCGGCGTGGCCAGGACAGAGCTGGGCAGACACACGGGCATCCATGGCTCCACCTTCTCCAGCACCACACTCGGTGAGTCCCCTCCCAGCCTGGGGTCTCCACGTGGAGCCCTCCACCCCTGCTTTCTCAGCCCAGGGCCCAGGACCCTCCCTCAGAGACCGTCCCTGAGGCCTCATGCCTGCTCCTCGCCTACGTCTTCTGAGGCACAGAGCACAGGTCCCTTTCCTCCGTTGACCTGGCCTGCCAGCCTCTAACAGCCCCGGGAAGCAGGCAGAGCCCTGCTGGCGGATGAGAAAACCGTGTCTCAGAGGAAGAGGCCGTGGAGCTGACGCCTGGAGTCAGGCTGTACTCAGGGTAACTCCAGCTTCACCCCAAACCAGCTGCACCTCCTGGGGAAGAGCTGTTACCCCTCTGAGCCTGTTTCTTCATCTGCAGAGTGCAGGCCTTAATAGGACTCACCTCACAGTCACTGGGGGGGTTATACGAGACCTTCCTTGAAAGGGCCAGCACAGGACCCCGCCCAGAGAATAGGTGGAACAAACAGTTGGAGCTTTACTTACTTATTTTTGAGATGAAGTCTTGCTCTGTCGCCCAGGCTGGAGTACAATGGCATGATCTCCACTCACTGCAACTTCCACCTCCCAGGTTCAAGCGATTCTCCTGTCTCCAAGTAGCTGGGATTACAGGTGCACACCACCACACCCAGCTAGAGGTGGGGTTTCACCATATTGGTCAGGCTAGTCTCAAACTCCTGACCTCAGGTGATCCAACTGCCTCCCAAAGTGCTGGGATTACAGGTGTGAGCCACCACCCCCAGGCAGTTCATGCTTTATGACTAGTGTTTATAATCCTGAAAAACATGGAGTGGGTGATTGGTTGGCATCAAGAATCTTAACTTGGCGAGGCTAATAGCCACGCCTGTAATCCCAGCACTTTGGGAGGCTGTGGTGGGCGGATTACCTCAGGTCAGGAGTTCGAGACCAGCCTGGCCACCATGGTGAAACCCCGTCTCTACTAAAAATACAAAAATTAGCCAGGTGTGGTGGTGTGCACCTGTAGTCCCAGCTACTCAGGAGGCTGAGGCAGGAGAATCGCTTGAACCCGGGAGGCAGAGGTTGCAGTGAGCTGAGATCACACCACTGCACTCCAGCCTGGGTGACAGAGCAAGACACCAGGTCTCAATAAATAAATAAATAAATGTCTTTTTTTTTTTGAGACGGAGTTTTGCTCGTCACCCAGGCTGGAGTGCAGTGGCACAATCTTGGCTCACTCCAACCTCTGCCTCCTCGGTTCAAGTGATTCTCCTGTCTCAGCCTCCCAAAGTAGCTGAGATTGCAGGCGCCCACCACCACACCCAGCTAAGTTTTTATTTTTAGTTGAGACAGGGTTTCACACGTTGGCCAGGCTGGTCTTGAACTCCTGACCTCAGGTGATCCACCTGCCTCAGCCTCCCAAAGTGCTGGGATTACAGGCGTGAGTCACCACGCCCAGCCCTTTTTTTTTTTTTTTTTTGAGACGAAGTCTTGCTATTGTCACCCAGGCTGGAGTGCAATGGTGTGATCTTAGCTCACTGCAACCTCCGCCTCCCAGGTTCAAGGGATTCTCCTGCCCCAGCCTCCCGAGCAGCTGGGATTACAGGCACCCGCCACCACACCCAGTTAATTTTTGTATTTTTAGTAGAAATGGGGTTTCACCATGTTGGCCAGGCTGGTCTGGAACTCCCGACCCCAGGTAATCCGCCCGCCTCGGCCTCCCAAAGTGCTGGGATTACAGGCCTGAGCCACCTCGCCTGGCCAAAAAAAGATCCTTAACCTGAGGCTGGTGCCAGGTGCATTTAATAAGATGTTATTAAAGGAGAAATGGGGTAGGGTGAGGACTGGGGCTGACCAAGAGGAAGAGAGCTTCCATTTTCCTGGACAAAGCCAGGAAGGCTCCTTGGGGGAGGCAGCTTTTGGTCTGATCCCTGGTCTGGTGGGATTTGCCTGGGCAGTGCCAGGGAAGGGAACTGCAGATGGAGGCAGCCAAGGGGAAAGGGCTAGAGGAGGGCTCTGTGGGACTCCAGGGACCCGGAGCTCCCTGACCGGGGAGCGGGGCTTCCTTCCTTCTCTCTGAGCGAGTGTGGACTAAATGCCCTGTGGGCTGATTGCAGGGCCCATCTTCTGGCTGCTGGTCAAGAGCCCCGAGCTGGCCGCCCAGCCCAGCACATACCTGGCCGTGGCGGAGGAACTGGCGGATGTTTCCGGAAAGTACTTCGATGGACTCAAACAGAAGGCCCCGGCCCCCGAGGCTGAGGATGAGGAGGTGGCCCGGAGGCTTTGGGCTGAAAGTGCCCGCCTGGTGGGCTTAGAGGCTCCCTCTGTGAGGGAGCAGCCCCTCCCCAGATAACCTCTGGAGCAGATTTGAAAGCCAGGATGGCGCCTCCAGACCGAGGACAGCTGTCCGCCATGCCCGCAGCTTCCTGGCACTACCTGAGCCGGGAGACCCAGGACTGGCGGCCGCCATGCCCGCAGTAGGTTCTAGGGGGCGGTGCTGGCCGCAGTGGACTGGCCTGCAGGTGAGCACTGCCCTGGGCTCTGGCTGGTTCCGTCTGCTCTGCTGCCAGCAGGGGAGAGGGGCCATCTGATGCTTCCCCTGGGAATCTAAACTGGGAATGGCCGAGGAGGAAGGGGCTCCGTGCACTTGCAGGCCACGTCAGGAGAGCCAGCGGTGCCTGTCGGGGAGGGTTCCAAGGTGCTCCGTGAAGAGCATGGGCAAGTTGTCTGACACTTGGTGGATTCTTGGGTCCCTGTGGGACCTTGTGCATGCATGGTCCTCTCTGAGCCTTGGTTTCTTCAGCAGTGAGATGCTCAGAATAACTGCTGTCTCCCATGATGGTGTGGTACAGCGAGCTGTTGTCTGGCTATGGCATGGCTGTGCCGGGGGTGTTTGCTGAGGGCTTCCTGTGCCAGAGCCCAGCCAGAGAGCAGGTGCAGGTGTCATCCTGAGTTCAGGCTCTGCACGGCATGGAGTGGGAACCCCACCAGCTGCTGCTACAGGACCTGGGATTGCCTGGGACTCCCACCTTCCTATCAATTCTCATGGTAGTCCAAACTGCAGACTCTCAAACTTGCTCATTTAAAAGAAAAAAAAAAGAAGAAAATGTACCCGAGTCGTAGATTTTATTTTTCCTCTGTGCATGGGTGAATGCCCATGAGCTGAACAAAGGCAACTCATGGCTTTATTCCTTTTAGGAAACAAGGCATCAGTTTATCACCAGGGCAACAGGCCATGCAAAAGTTCAGACTTGGCCGGGCGCGGTGGATCACGAGGTCAGGAGATCGAGACCATCCTGGCTAACACAATGAAACCCTGTTTCTACTAAAAAAATACAAAAAATTAGCTGGGCATGGTGGTGGGCGCCTGTAGTCCCAGCTACTCGGGAGGCTGAGGCAGGAGAATGGTGTGAAGCTGGGAGGCGGAGATTGCAGTGAGCCGAGATCATGCCACTGCCCTCCAGCCTGGGTGACAGAGCAAGATTCCGTCTCAAAAAAAAAAAAAAGTTCCGACTTTTTAGAGATGAAAGCCCCTTTCACCTGTTTCACAGGAAATAACCGTTTAAGTCCGGGCATCTTACAAGACTGCTGTGTTAGAAACTGGATAGAGATCAGGGTGAGATGAAGGGGCTCTTAGCTTAGGTGCAGAACCGAAGGAGGCACCGAAAAGCTCAGTAATCGAGATAGAAAACATGTTTTCATATTTGAGATACTGGGGAGGCCAGGGATGCTACTCAATATCCCACAGTACACAGAACAGCCACCTAGTCTCGCTCTGTTGCCCAGGCTGGAGTGCAATGGCATGATCTCAGCTCACTGCAACCTGTGTCTCCCATGTTCAAGCGATTCTCATGCCTCAGCCTCCCGAGTAGCTGGGATTACAGGCGCCCACCACCACACCTGGCTAATTAAAGACGGTATCACCATGTTGGCCAGGCTTATCTTGAACTCCTGACCTCAGGTGATCCACCCGTCTTGGCCTCCCAAAGTGCTGGGATTATAGGTGTGAGCCAGTGCACCCAGCCCTTTTTGCTTTTTTAGAGACGAGGTCTTACTGTGTTGCCAAGGCTGGAGTGCAGTGCCGTCACAGCTCACTACAACCTCGACCTGTGATTCTCCTGCCTCAGCCTCCTGAGTATCTGGGACTACAGGTGCATGCCACCACACTTGGCTAATTATTTGTAGAGGTGGCAACATAACATTTGCTATGTTGCCCAGGCTGGTCTCAAACTCCTGGGCTCAAGTGACCCTTCCGCCATGGCCTCCCAAATTGTTGGGATTACAGGCATGAGCCACCGTACCTGGCCTTAGTTTTCTTTCCGATGCCACACCAAATGGCTAGAGGGTGTGTTTGGGATGACCTGAGTCTGGTAGGCAACTTCCAGTGGACCCCACGGTGCGACCACCTCCCTTTGAGTGTGGGGGAGATGTAGCGACTGGCTTCTAGCAGTAGGATAGGGCAGAAGTGACAGTAGGTTAGTCTTGTGGTTAGGTTACAAAACTGACCTCTGTGATGGTAGCGTCCCTCGTCAGCCCTCTTGTCTTGCCCTCTCGCTGGCTGGTGGTGATGGAGCCGGCTGCCATGGTGAGCGGCCCTGTGGAGAAGCCAGGGAGGAATGGAGACAATCTGGAGAAACAGAATCACACCAACAACCACGTGCGTGAGCTTGCTGTGTGCTCTTGCTTGGGAGCAAGTTACAGGTTCAGCCCAAGAGGAGCGGACCACTCCAGGGTGTAAATACCAGGAGGGGGAATTGGAAGACTACCCTAAGCATGCCGACCGGAGACTGTGTGTGTGTAGTAGGTATTTCTTACTGGGAGATCACGGAAAAGCAAGTTTGAGAAACACTCCCATCAGATGGGTGGGCCGAGGATAACCTCAAAGCCTTTGGTTCTCCGAATAGGTGCGTAGGACTCACCCAGGCACTCTTTCCTTTTTTAAATTGTGGTAAAAACTACATAACAGTGGCCAGGCGTGATGGTGCACGCCTGTAATCCCAGCTATTAGGGAGGCTGAGGCAGAAGAACTGCTTGAACCAAGGGGGCACCGCTCCTGGCTGTAACATGTTTTCAATATCCCCCCTCTTCGGTGGCACAGGGGCTGGCCCCATATACATGTGCGATGGCAACTGACAGGGTCCCTGATAAACCGGAGTGCTCCAGAAACACCCCATTGCGTGGGACGGAGGATGTTAGGTGGCCCTCCTAGCGTTTGAGTTTGATAAATGAGCAAAGGAAGTGGTTTTTACTAGAAAGCCAGCTTTCCTTTTTTTTTTTTTTTTTTTTCCAGCCAGCAAACCCCAAACAGGAACCTATGGTTGGTGATGGATGTGCGTTCAGAAAGCAGGGAGGGAGGGGGAGTCAGAGGTGAGGGGGTCATCAGCCATAGCTGTCCGCTGCATCACCCCCTCGCTATCTCCAGGAAGCGTTCTGGGCTTTTCCTGTTGTGCAGTGTGGAAGTGCTCTATCTTCATTCATATCAAGGAAAGTCAAAGGACAAACTAAAGCCGGCAGCGTCTTTCTGGCTTCCTAGTCAGGCTGTTCGGTAGCGGAGTGTCACCCTGATTTCCAGCCCCGCAGCACACACAGTGAGAGCCTGCCTGGCGTGATTCAGAGGCAACGTATTTCCCAAGGTGGCTGTGAAGGAACCAGGGGGATAAACACAGCCCGTGAACCGCACGCCAGAGGACAGGTCCGGCTGCCTGCCGCGGAGTCGTCACGGCGTGTCGCGTCTGAGCGCTTCTCCAAAGCACCCAAGTGGCACCCGGGGTGACAGTTACATCATCTTGAGTACAGTTCTCTCAAGGAAAAAGCAAGCCCAGCATCTTCTGCCATGGCAACCCTGGCTTGGAGCCTCCATAAGAGAGAAGGCCCTAAGAATAATACCATTTTCTTGCTCTAAGTTGCTCTTACGGGAAAGAAGTGATAATATTCTTCCTAAACGCCATCATTCGTGCATCCTTCCCACCTATATGTGTCACCGGATCATTCTCCGCCTGGGCGGGGCCGTCCTGTGCACTGCAGAATGCTGAGCAGTGTCCTTGGCTTCGACCGACCACATGCCAGGAGCACCCCAATTTCTGCCATCGGGTGATTGACTTCACTGTTGCATTTGATTTTTTATGTATCTTTTAAAAGGACCCAATAGGGCCAGGCACAGTGGCTCACACTTGTAATCCCAGCACTTTGGGAGGCTGAGGTCGGTGGATTGCTTGAGCCCAGGAGGAGTTCAAGACCAGCCTGGGCAACATAGTGAAACCCCAACTCTACAAAAAACAAATGTTTTATTTTTATTTATTTTAGATGGAGTTTCACTCTTGTTGCCCAGGCTGGAGTGCAGTGGCGCAATCTCGGCTCACTGCAACTTCTGCCTCCCGGGTTCAAGCGATTCTCCTGCCTCAGCCTCCTGAGTATCTGGGATTACAGGCATGCGCCACCACACCCAGCTAATTTTGTATTTTTAGTAGAGATGGCGTTTCTCCATGTTGGTCAGGCTGGTCTCAAACTCCCGACCTCAGGTGATCTGCCTGCCTCGGCCTCCCAGAGTGTTGGGATTACAGGCGTGAGCCACCACGCCCAGCCGGGTTTATAGTTTTATAACCCTTATGACAAATCTCATAGTATTCTGCAGGGATAAGCATGAAACCACTCGTTCAATAAGTGCAAACAAAAACGCCAACAATTCTTAAGACATTTCTAATCTTATTTTACCAATAATTTTAAAGCCAGCTTATGTATTAAAGATTTATAACTACTTTTATTAACACGTTTAAAATTCTATGCAGCTTAAAGCATTTATAATGGATAAAACTGCCAATACTGAGTGCCTGACATAATATTTGAAAGGTGGCAGGCATTCAACCATGGTCACTGAATGAGAGATGTAGGGAAGATGATGGCAGGGAGGTTTTTAGATATCAACACCCTGATAGTTCTCATTTTAACCACCTGTAAGTGCACATACAAGTCAACGGCACTGGCCGGGCGCGGTGGCTCATGCCTGTATTCCCAGCACTTTGGGAGGCCAAATCACAAGGTCAGGAGATCGAGACCATCCTGGCTAACACGGTGAAACCCCGTCTCTACTAAAAATACAAAAAATCAACTAGGCATGGTGGCACGCACCTGTAGTCCCAGCTACTCAGGAGGCTGAGGCAGGAGAATCGCTTGAACCTGGGAGGCGGAGGTTGCGGTGAGCCAAGATCGCGCCACTGCACTCCAGCCTCGGCGACAGAGTGAGACTCCGTCTCAAAAAACCAAAAAACAAAAAACAGTCAATGGCATTAAATATAAATACATTTACAGTGTTGTGTAACCATCACCACTATGGATCCCCCAGACTTTGTCATCATCTTCAACCTAAGCGCTCCCTATTAAATAGTAACTCCCCACTTTTCCCAGGCCTTGGCAACCACCATTCTAATCCCTGTCTCTATGAATTTGACTCCTCTCGATACCTCAGATAAGCGGCACAATGCAGTATTTATCTGTCAAGTCCGGAATATTTCCTTTAGCATAATGTCTTCAAGGTCCATCACGTTGTAGCATGTATCTGAATTTATTCTTTTATAATATTTTTTATTTTTTGGAGACAGAATCTCGCTCTGTCACCCAGGCTGGAGTGCAATGGCGCGATCTCGGCTCACCGCAACTTCCGCGTCCCGGGTTCAAGCCATTCTCCTGTCTCAGCCTCCGGAGTAGCTGGGACTACAGGTGCCTGCCGCCATGCCCGGCTATTTTTTTTTTGTATTTTTTGGGGGTTTTACTGTGTTGCCCAGGCTGGTCTTGAACTGCTGAGCTCAGGCAATCTGCCTGCCTCAGCCTCCTAAAGTACTAGGATTACAGGCATGGGCCACCACGCCCGGCCTTATTTTTATTTTTGAGACAGTCTCACTCTGCCGCCCAGGCTGGAGTGCAGTGGTGCGATCTCGGCTTACCGCAATCTCTGCCTCCCAGGTTCAAGCGATTCTCATGCCTCCGTCTCCCAAGTAGCTGGGATTACAGGCACCTGCCACCATGCCCGGCTAATTTAACGCCCAGCTAATTTTTGTATTTTTAGTAGAGATGGGGTTTCACCATGTTAACCAGGCTGGTCTCGGACTCCTGACCTCAGGTGATCCGCCCGCCTCGGCCTCCCAAAGTGCTGGGATTACAGGCGTGAGCCACTGTGCCTGGCTGATTTTTATTCTTTTAGTTAAGGCTGGTTGATATTACCTTGTGTGTATATACCACATGTTGTTTATCCATTGTTGTTGATGGACATGTGGGTGGTTTCACCTTTTGGCTATTGTGAATAAAGCTGCTATGAACACTGTGTACAAATATGTTAGAGACCCTGTTTTCAGTTCTTTTAGGTGTGTACCCCGAAGTGGAATTGCTGGATTTTATGGCAATCCCACGTTTAACTTCTGGAGGAGCTGCTGGAACTGTTTTCCACAGCAGGGGCGCCATGTTACGTCCCTGCCAGCAATGCACGCGCAGTTCAATTTCTCTGCATACTCACCAATATCTGCTGTTTTCCATTAAAAAAAATTATAGCCGGTCGGGTGCAGTGGCTCATGCCTGTAATCCCAGCACTTTGGGAGACCGAGGCAGGTGGATCAACTGAGGTCAGGAGTTCAAGACCAGCCTGGCCAACACAGTGAAACCCCATCTCTACTAAAAATACAAAAATTAGCCTGGTGTGGTACATACCTATAATCCCAGCCACTTGGGAGGCTGAGGCAGGAGAATCGCTTGAACCTGGGAGGTGGAGGTTGTAGTGGGCCGAGATGGCGCCACTGCACTCCAACCTGGGCAAAAAGAACGAGACTTTGTCTCAAAAGAAAAAAAAAAAATACAGCCATTCCAGAAGGTGTGAAGTCATATCTCACTGTGGTTTTGATGCGTATTTTCCTAGTGACATCAGGGAGTTTATGGGAGCACGGGAACACAGACCAGGCCCCAGCAGGCGGACAAACGGTGCAACGCCAGGCTGGCCAGAGGAGATAAGCGCGGCTCCTTGGAGCTTGTGTGCAAGTCACTGTACTGAGGAGCCGGCTACGGCTCGATGAGTCTCAATTAGGAAAGGCCGGGGCTGGTGGAGGAAGGGAGGAGAGCATTCTTCATCCTCATCACATCCTGAGCCTGTGCCCCAGGCTCCCACCACTTCCCTCCCTGGCCACAGAGCTCAGGACAGGGCTGAGGAACCATGTCTCCATCCCCGACCGCCCTCTTCTGTCTTGGTGAGTCCTGAGGGTCAGATCTGGGAAATGCTGAAGGACAGGCATGGACTGCCAGACAAAGGATTTTTAAGAAATTTGCATTGGTGATGAATTTCAGGACAAAAAGGAACCTGTAAGAGCCCCTTCATTTGTTGGGTGGGGAAACGGGGGGCCAGCGAGCTGGCATTTTGCATGAGTTATTCCAGTGTATTCATGGCTGGGTCAGGAAATGAACAGAGTATCCTAGCATTGGTCACAACTTTGTTCTACTACACTGCAGTTGCCCCTTTTTTAAAAAATGTGGGCCAGGCACAGTGGCTCACGCCTGTAATCTCAACCTTGGGAGGCCGAGGTGGGTGGATCACCTGAGGTCAGGAGTTCAAGACCAGCCTGGTCAACATGGTGAAACCCCATCTCTACAAAAATTAGCCGGGCGTGATGGCGGGTGCTTGTAATCCCAGCTACGTGGGAGGCTGAGGTGGGAGAATTGCTTGAAACTGGGAGGCAGAAGTTGCAGTGAGCTGAGGTCAGGCATTGCACTCCAGCCTGGGCAACAGAGAGAGCCTCCATCTCAAAAAAAAAAAAAAAAAAAAAAAAAAAGGCTGAGTGCCATGGCTTACACACTTTGGGAGGCCGAGGCGGGTGGGCCATCTGAGGTCGGGAGTTTGAGACCAGCCTGACCAACATGGAGAAACCCCATCTCTACTAAAAATACAAAATTAGCCGGGTGTGGTGGCACATGCCTGTAATCCCAGCTACTCTGGAGGCTAAGGCAGGAGAATCGCTTGAACCTGGGAGGTGGAGGTTGCGGTGAGCCAAGATCACACCATTGCACTCTGGCCTGGGCAACAAGAGCGAAACTCCGTCTCAAAAAAAAAAAAAAAAAAATTGTGGAATTGATATCTGGACTAGGTATGGATTTAATTTGTCAGTATCCCCTACAGTAGTGGAGTAAATAGTCTCCTGATGGATGGGTGGCAGGTCGAATGCATTTCTGCTGCCTGATCTTCACTTGTGCTGGGCATGTCGAATGCATTATTTCCTGATTTCTTCAGAATTTGACCACTAAAGGGACAGCATCTCCAAAAGGCTAAGCAGGAAGAAGATGGTTGCATTACTGGAGATGAGAGGGTTAACTGTGAATATAAACAACCTCTCATTCATTATCCATCCATGGATGTATTCTTTTTTTCTTTTTGTTTGTTTTTTGAGATGGAGTCTCGCTCAGTCGGTCGCTCAGGCTGGAATGCAATGGCATGATCTCAGCTCACTGCAAACTCTGCCTCCCGGGTCCAAGTGATTCTCCTGCCTCAGCCTCCCGAATAGTTGGGATTACAGGCATCTGCCACCAGGTCTGGCTAATTATTGTATTTTTAGTAGGGGCGGGGTTTCACCATGTTGGCCAGGCTGGTCTCAAGCTCCTTACTTCAGGTTCCACCCGCCTCGGCCTCCCAAAGTGCTGGGATTACAGGCGTGAGCCACCGCACCCAGCCTGTTTTAACTTTTATTTATTTAATTTTATTTGAGATAGGGCCTCACTTCTGTCACCCAGGCAGGAGGGCAGTGGCATGATCATGGCTCACTGCAGCCTCAACCTCCCAGGCTCAACCAGTGCCTCCCCATCAGCCTCCTGAGTATCTGGAACTACAGTTGTACACCATCATGCCTGGCTTGTTTTTGTAATTTTTTTAGTTACGGGGGTCCGCTATGTTGCCCAGGCTGGTCTTGAACTCCTGGGCTCAAGCGATCCACCCACCTCGGCCTCCCAAAGTGTTGGGGTTACAGGTGTGGCCTGTACAGGTTACTGCATCTGGCTTGTTGCTTCAGTAGCTTTTGGGATACAAGTGGTTCTTGGTTACATGGATGAATTATATTCTGGTGAATTCTGAGATTTTAGTGCACCTGTCACCTGACTAGTGTACCTTGTACCTAATGTGTAGTTTTTCATCCCTGCCCCACTTCTGCCCTTCCCTTCTGAGTCTCTGAAGTCCATTACATCACTCTGCATGCCTTTGCATACCCACAGCTTAGCTCTCACTTATAAGTGAGAATATACAGATTTTTGTTTTCCACTCCTGTATTACTTTACTTAGAATAATGCCTTCCAGCTCCATCCAAGTTGCTGCAAAAGACTTTTTTTTTTTTTTTTTAAAGACGGAATCTCGCTCTCTCACCAAGGCTGGAGTGCAGTGGTGTGATCTCGGCTTACTGCAAACTCCACCTCCCGGGTTTAAGTGATTCTCCTGCCTCAGCCTCCCGAGTAGCTGGGACTACAGGCACCCGCCACCATGCCCGGCTAATTTTTGTATTTTTAGTAGAGATGGGGTTTCACCATGTTGGGCAGGATGGTCTTGATCTCTTGACCTCGTGATCCACCCACCTCGGCCTCCCAGAGTGCTGGCATTACAGATGTGAGCCACTGTGCCTGGCCAAAAGACATTATTTCACTCCTTTTAATGGCTGAGTAGTATTCCACGCTCATTTATTTTTATTTATTTTTATTTTTTGACATGGAGTCTCACTCTGTTGCCCAGACTGGAGCGCAGTGGCATGACGTTGGCTCACTGCAACCTCCACCTCCCAGGTTCAAGCGATTCTCCTGCCTCAGCCTCCCAAGTAGCTGGGATTACAGGCTCCTGCCACTACGCCCCGCTAATTTTTGTATTTTTAGTAGAGACAGGGTTTCACCATGTTGGTCAGGCTGCTCTCGAACTCCTGACTTCAGGTGATCCGCCCACCTTGGCCTCCCAAAATGGGATTACAGGTGTGAGCCAGCGCGCCCGGCCGGTGAGAACATTTAAAATCTACTATCGGTGATATGCAAGTGTACAATATGTTGTTATTAACTACAGTCACCATGATGTGCAGTAGATCTCCAAGACATACTCCTCTTGTCCAACTGAAACTGTCCTCCTCTGACCAACATCTCCCCAAACCTTACCCCACCGCCCCGGTAACCACCACTGTGCTCTCTACTCCTGTAAGTTCCCAAGTCCACACTCTTTACCACTAATTGGTGCTGCTAGGGTTTGAATCTACTCCTGCCAGCTGTAGGACTGTGGATAAGATACTGTCTCACTAGCCTGATGTATAAGAGGGGACTGATAATGGTGGGTAACCCGTACGATTATGGCGACTTGGAGTCCATGCACAGAAGGCGCTCAGCACGGCGCCTGGAAGACTCCCAGCCATGGTACAGCGTCGCATGGAAACCTACAAAGAGGCTGAGGTGGGCTGTGATGCGGCAGGAGGAGGGGGACAGAGAAGCGGCCGGAGCTTGCGTTGGGGTGCAGAGGGAGCCTGGGGTGGACAAAGGGTGGTGGCTATGGGGGCGCTGGTGACAAGTTGTCACTCTCTGAGCTCAGAGTCAAGACATGAGCTGGGTTCACCCACTTCTTGCTATGTGAGCTACACAAGGTTGCTTGGCCTCTGCCCAGTTTCCTTATGTTTACAGTGGGAATGACAACTATCCCGCCTTTGTGTGTGTGTGTGTGTGTGTGTGTGTGTAAGAATGAGGGTTACCAGATAAAACACTGGATGCCTGGTTAAATTGGAATTTCAGATAATTAGTACTTTTTTTTTCCTCCTCCTCTTCGTTTTCTGAGACAGGGTCTTGCTCTGTTGTCAGTCTGGAGTGCAATGGGGCAATATCATTTTTTTTTTTCCTCGAGATGGAGTCTTGCTCTGTTGCCCAGGCTGGAGTGTAGTGGCGTGATCTTGGCTCACTGCAACCTCCGCCTCCCGGGTTCAAGTGATTCTCCTGACTCAGCCTCCCCAGTAGCTAGGATTACAGGCACGTGCCACCATGCCCAGCTAATTTCTGGTATTTTTAGTAGAGATGGTGTTTCACCATGTTGACCAGGCTGGTCTTGAACTCCTGACCTTGTGATCCGCCCACCCTGGCCTCCCAAAGTGCTGGGATTATAGGCATGAGCCACCGTGCCCGGCCAGTGGTGCAATCTTACCTCACAGCAGACTTGACCTCCTGGGCTCAAGCAATTCCAGGAGGGGATCGCTTATGTACATGTATTTGTATACATATGTATACACACACACACACACACACACACACATGCATACATATATACATATACATACATATACACGTGTGTATGTACACACGTGTATATGTACATACACATGTATGTATAGATGTAGGTTTACATATATGCACTATATGTGTATATACATATAGTAATCAGATCAGGGTAAGTAGCACACCCATCTTCTCAAACATGCATCCTTTCTGTGTTGGGAACTTTCCCCATCCTCCTTCAGGCTATTTGAAACGATTATTATATATATTATATCCTATCATGTAATCATGGAATACTGATTCAAGCAAATGTTGTAAATACCGGGAAACCCATGGCCAGCACATGCTGAGACGTCCTGACTTACACGCTGAGGCTCCATCCTGCTCCATCCTTGGAGCCCAATGCATCCCATTAGTGTGGGGTTTTATCGCATATATTACATAGACAATAAAATACAATAATATACAATATGCAATAGTATTTACAATACTTGTCTATACAATTGCATACTATTGTAATGTACTTGGATATTATTTAATATTGGGAGACTGAAGGGAGGAAACGAAGGGACAGCAATGTCTCAGGTCCCATTCCTCACATCCACTGAGGAAGTCAATGGGCAATGTCTAACACGAACGAGCCCACCGTGTCTAACACAACACAAACGAGCCCACCGTGTCTAACACAACACGAACGAGCCCACCGTGTCTAACACAACACGAACGAGCCCACCGCGTCTAACACGAACGAGCCCACCGCGTCTAACACGAACGAGCCCACCGTGTCTAACACAACACGAACGAGTCCACCGTGTCTAACACAACACGAACGAGCCCACCGTGTCTAACACAACACGAACGAGTCCACCGTGTCTAACACAACACGAACGAGTCCACCGTGTCTAACACGAACGAGTCCACCGTGTCTAACACGAACGAGTCCACCGTGTCTAACACGAACGAGTCCACCGTGTCTAACACAACACGAAGGAGTCCACCGCGTCTAACACGAACGAACCCACCGCGTCTAACACGAACGAACCCACCGTGTCTAACACGAACGAACCCACCGTGTCTAACACGAACGAGTCCACCGTGTCTAACACAACACGAACGAGTCCACCGTGTCTAACACAACACGAACGAGTCCACCGTGTCTAACACGAACGAGTCCACCGCGTCTAACACGAACGAGTCCACCGTGTCTAACACAACACGAACGAGTCCACCGTGTCTAACACGAACGAGCCCACCGTGTCTAACACGAACGAGCCCACCGTGTCTAACACGAACGAGTCCACCGTGTCTAACACGAACGAGCCCACCGTGTCTAACACGAACAAGTCCACAGAGAGCAGTACGCCACCATGCCTTGCCCTCCTCTCCCACCACCCCCAGCCATGGATCTGCTTTCTTCTCCATCTCCTATAGATTTACCTATTCTGGATATTTCATGTAAATGACCTCATAAACTATGTGGCTTTTTCTGACCGGTTTCTCTCACTTAAATTACATTCCTGTGTGTCTTTTGAAGAAATTATTAGGACAGAGTAAAGCATATGCATGCAAATGTCTTATCACCGCGCCCAGCAGGCAGGAATGTCCATAAAAGCGAGTCCTGGCATCTGGTCCCTTTCTTCTTTCCTCAGGGCTGTGTCTGGGGCGTGTGCCAGCGCAGAGTGGTGAGTCCTTCCCCAGACCCCTTCCCTCCTGCGGGATCCGCCAGCGCGGGAGCAGCGGGGTCCAGGCGGGGTCTGCGGGGAGGCTGACCCAGCCCTGCTCCTCTTCCAGGACCGCTCCCCAAGCCCTCCCTCCAGGCTCTGCCCAGCTCCCTGGTGCCCCTGGAGAAGCCAGTGACCCTCCGGTGCCAGGGACCTCCGGGCGTGGACCTGTACCGCCTGGAGAAGCTGAGTTCCAGCAGGTACCAGGATCAGGCAGTCCTCTTCATCCCGGCCATGAAGAGAAGTCTGGCTGGACGCTACCGCTGCTCCTACCAGAACGGAAGCCTCTGGTCCCTGCCCAGCGACCAGCTGGAGCTCGTTGCCACGGGTAAAGGAAGGGGGATCGGAGCCTGGGACTGCGTGGTCCTCCGTTCAGGACACAAATACGGGGGACATTGAGGGCAGGGATTAGGGTGAGGCAAACGAGGCACTGGCCTAGCGGGTGGTGGTGCCACGACATTTATGGATCAATGTGAATAATATTTTGTTTTTTGGACACAGGGTCTTGCTGCGTCACCCAGGGTGGAGAGCAGTGGCGCGATCTTGGCTCACTGCAGCCTCCACCTCCAGGGCTCAAGCGATTCTCCCGCCTCAGCCCTCCAAGTAGCTAGGATTACAGGTGTGCACCACCACGCCCAGCTCATTTTTTATGTTTTTATAGAGATGGGGTCTCTTGACAGTTTTCACAAAAGGCATTAAAATACAAAAGAGAGAGAGATAGGGTCTCGCTATGTTGCTCAGGCTGGTCTCGAACTCCTGTGGGCTCAAGCTATCCTTCCACCTTGGCTTCCCAAAGTGTTGGGATTTCAGGCGTGAGCCACTGCATCTGGCTGTGAATAACATTTTCATGCAATTTTTAAAAAAATCAAAATAAATTGCAAAAACATCCACAATGAAAAAAACCAGAATTTCAAATAAAGGCAGAATCAGCCAGTGCCTGTGTCAAGTCATACCAGAGTCTGTGCCAAAACGAAAAACAGGCAACCCTTTATCTGTGTTTTAATGCACTTAAAAAAATTAGCGATGGGGTCTTGCTACACTGCCCAGGCCGGAGTGCAGTGGCTGTTCATAGGAGCAGTCATAGCTCACTGCAGCCTGGAGCTCCTTGCCTTGAGCAATCCTCCTGCCTCAGCCTCATGAGTAGCAGGGACTACGGTCACGGGCCACCGTGCTTGGCTCGGGATTCTTTTTAAAACTTTGTTTTGGAGTAATTTTTAGACTGACAGAAAAGTTCCAAAGATAATATTAATGGAAATATTTCACCCAGGATCCCCTCATGTTAACATCTTACATTTGTTACAACCAAAAAATAAACGTAGCACTGGTCCCAGTGGTTTACACCTGTAATCCCAGCACTTTGGGAGGCTGAGGCGGGAGGATTGCTTGAGCTCAGGAGTTCAAGACCAGCCTGGGCAACATAGTGAGACCTCATCTTTAAACAAAATTAAAAATTAGTGGGGCATGGTGGCATACACCTATAGTCCCAGCTACTCAGGAGGCTGAGGCAGGAGGATCGCTTGAGCCAGGGAGGCCGAGGCTGCAGGGAGCTGTGATCACGCCACTGCACTCCAGCCTGGGTGACAGAGTGAGACCCTGTATCAAAAAACAAACAAAAAACTAACCATAGACACAACTATATTATATCAAGTAAACTCCAGGCTATTTGAATTTCACCAGTCTTTCCACTAATATCCTATTTCTGTTCCCAGACCCCGTCCAGGGCCCCACAGTGCATTTAGTATTTATGTCTCCTTAGACTCTTGATTGGTGCAAATATTCTAATTTCTTTTCTTATTTATTTATTTTTTTTAAGAGAAGAGGTTGGGCCGGGCGCGGCGGCTCACGCCTGTAATCCCAGTACTTTGGGAGGCTGAGGTGGGTGGATCACTTAAGGTCAGGAGTTTGAGACCAGCCTGGCCAACATGGTGAAACCCCGTCTCTACTAAAAAAAATAATAATAATTAGCTGGGCGCGGTGGCGCACTCCTGTAATCCCAGCTACTCCGGAGGCTGAGGCAGGAGAATCGCTTAAACCTGGGAGGCGGTGAGCCGAGATTGCACCACTGCAGTCCAGCCTGGGCGACAGAGCAAGACTCCGTCTTGGGAAAAAAAAAAAAAGAGAAGAGGTCTTACTATGTTGCCCAGGCTTTAGTACACTCGCTGTATTCACAGGCATGATCATAGCTCACTTTAGCCTCAAATCCCTGGGCTCAAGTGGTCCTCCCTAGTAGCTGGGACTATAGGTGCACCCAGTTAGTGCACTTTTAAATGGTTATTTTCTAGAAGTAGGTTTTGGAAATAGCACTGATGCGCTTGCATCCACAAAAGCCTAGAATGTAAAATTCTAATAAATCTTTCAGGGGAATAAAGTATTCAAACAGAATAATGTGAGTTTTAACGACCTACTCTTCAAATTTTCAATAATTTTTTCAAATATGTTAATTGTTTGGGAATAATTAAATTTTACATCCCAGGAGAGTGCCTCACTCACGCCACCCTAATTCCTGGCCAGCTGCACTGTGGTCTATTCCGCGTTATAAATCCTGCCTCCCTCCCCTCTTCCCTGCCTCACTCCCCTCCACAGCATCACTGGCCTCCTCTCTGCTACTAGAATGGACCAGCCTGGCTGCCTCATTACTTCTTTCAGGGTCAGACTCAAATACTCTCTTCTCGCTAAGTATATCCCCCACCACCCTAGTCAAAGTGGCCCTCCTCACTATCTGGTATGTGAAGTATACCTTTTTTTATCTTGGTGGTGGTTGTCTATTTTTAATTCCTGGTCGGGCACGGTGGCTCACGCCTGTAATGCCAGCACTTTGGGAGGCCGAGGTGGACGGATCACCTGAGGTCAGGAGTTCGAGATCAGCCTGGCTAACATGGTGAAACCCTGTCTCTACTAAACATACAAAATTAACTGGGCATGGTGGTGCATGCCTGTAGTCCCAGCTACTCGGGAGGCTGAGGCAGGAGAATCGCTTGAACCCAGGAGGTGGAGGTTGCAGTGAGCTGGGATCATGCCACTGCACTCCAGCCTGGGCAACAGAGTGAGATTCTGTTTCCCAAAAAAAAAAAAAAAAAAAAAAAAAAAAAAAATATATATATATATATATATATATATATATATATATATATATATATATATATATATATATGCCATTGCACTCCAGCCTGGGTGACAGAGCGAGACTCCGTCTCAAAACAAAACAAAACAAAACAAAACAAATGAAACAACAAAAAAAGAATACAGACAGACACATAATAGTTGCTTAAGTGAAAATTAAGAGAAAATATTGCTGAGTGAATGTTACAGTTATCAGGCAGCTTATATATTTCCTTCCTTCCTTCCTCCCTCCCTCCCTTCCTTCCTCTTTCTTTCTTTTTCTTCTTGTTGAGTGAATGCCATAATTATTAGGCAGCTTATATTTTTATCTTCCTTACTTCCTTTCTTTTGCTTTCTCTCTCTGTCTTTTTTTGAGACAAGGTCTCACTCTGTCACCCAGGCTAGTGTACAGTGATCATAGCTCACTGCAGCCTCGCCTTCCTGGGCTCAAGCGATCCTCCCACCTTGGCCTCCCAAAGTGCTGGGATGACCGGTGTGAGCCGCCGCACCCAGCCTCAACCTTTGTTTTTCTGACTCCTGTGTGCAGGCATGCATCACCACACCGGTCTATGACAACAACCTCACATCAGAGTAGTGTAGGTTCGTGTTTAGGAGCGGAGACCCTGGAATCAAACTCTGTGAGTGCAGATTTCAACTCTGCCACTTATGATCTTGGACAAGTTTTTTATTTATTTTTAAATTAAAATATGTCCAGCTTTGTTGAGGTATAATTGAAAAACAAAAATGGAATATATCCAAGGTGTACAAGTTGATGTTTTGATATACGAATCCACTGTGAGACAGTTACTACTAGCAAGCTAATTAACATACATCACCTGACACAGTTAACTTTTTTGTGTGTGAGAATACTTATAATCTACCCTCTTAGCAAATTTCAGCTGTACACTGCAGTATTGTTACCTAGAGTTGGACAAATTATTTAATGCCATGTGCCTTAGTTTCATTTATAAAATAGGGACATTAAGAGTGAGGACTCCATAGGTCTCTGAGGATTCACTGAACTGATATACATCATAAGTTTGGAAGGCACCCGGAAGCTAGCACTGTCAGCCACATTTACAACGTAACAATTGTATGTGGCAATACAAGCTTACAGCACAGTATAAGCTTAAGCTATTTACTTACTCCAGCGCTTGCTAGGCAACAGGCACTCTGCAAATTACTGTGTACTGTCTCATTCAGTCATCCCCATTTTAACAGAACAAGGCAGTGAGGCTCAGATACAGAGGGAGATTTGTCTCCAGGGCCACCAGGCCCCTGAAGGCAGAACTAGGATTTGCACCCAAGCACTAGGACGTGAGCACAGCCTCCTTCCTCAACCACTGGGTGACTCGACCTCTCTGTGAGCTTGGGTGGGGGAGTGCGCTCTCTGGGAGGGATACAGCCAAAAAGCTCCCCAGCTCTTAGGCAGGTGTGGGGACCTCCCCAGTCTCAGCTGAGATGCTGGCTCCTGCCTTCAACATCAGACTTTCTTTTTCTCCCAGGAGTTTTTGCCAAACCCTCGCTCTCAGCCCAGCCCGGCCCGGCGGTGTCGTCAGGAGGGGACGTAACCCTACAGTGTCAGACTCGGTATGGCTTTGACCAATTTGCTCTGTACAAGGAAGGGGACCCTGCGCCCTACAAGAATCCCGAGAGATGGTACAGGGCTAGTTTTCCCATCATCACGGTGACCGCCGCCCACAGCGGAACCTACCGATGCTACAGCTTCTCCAGCAGGGACCCATACCTGTGGTCAGCCCCCAGCGACCCCCTGGAGCTTGTGGTCACAGGTAGGGGTAGTGCAGACCAAACCTTTCTTCCTCAGCCTTTATAGGTCCTGATGGCCATTCCAAGGGAGGGGCCATAAGTGGGAAGGAAGTGGGAGGGCAGGAAGCCCTGGGCTGCAGGGGCGGGGCCGTAGGTGGGAAGGAAGTGGGAGGGCAGGAAGCCCTGGGCTGCAGGGGCGGGGCCGTAGGTGGGAAGGAAGTGGGAGGGCAGGAAGCCCTGGGCTGTAGGGGCGCGGCCATAGGTGGGAAAGAAGTGGGAGGGCAGGAAGCCCTGGGCTGCAGGGGCGGCGCCAGAGGTGGGAAGGAAGTGGGAGGGCAGGAAGCCCTGGGCTGCAGGGGCGGGGCCGTAGGTGGGAAGGAAGTGGGAGGGCAGGAAGCCCTGGGCTGCAGGGGCGGGGCCGTAGGTGGGAAGGAAGTGGGAGGGCAGGAAGCCCTGGGCTGCAGGGGCGGGGCCGTAGGTGGGAAGGAAGTGGGAGGGCAGGAAGCCCTGGGCTGCAGGGGCGGGGCCGTAGGTGGGAAGGAAGTGGGAGGGCAGGAAGCCCTGGGCTGCAGGGGCGGGGCCGTAGGTGGGAAGGAAGTGGGAGGGCAGGAAGCCCTGGGCTGCAGGGGCGGGGCCAGAGGTGGGAAGGAAGTGGGAGGGCAGGAAGCCCTGGGCTACAGGCAGCTGGGAGAATGGAGGTTTCTTTTTTTTTTTTTTGACGAAGTCTCACTCTGTCACCCAGGCTGGAGTGCAGTGGCGCGATCTCAGCTCACTGCAACCTCCGCCTTCCGGGTTCAAGCGATTCTGCTGCCTCAGCCTCTCGAGTAGCTGGAATTACAGGTGCCTGCCACCATGCCCGGCCAATTTTTGTATTTTTAGTAGAGACGGGGTTTCACTATGTTGGTCAGGCTGGTCTTGAACTGACCTCATGATCTGCCCGCCTCGGCCTCCCAAAGTGCTGGGATTACAGGCGTGAGCCACCGCGTCGGACTTGACTACCATTCTTAAAGGGGGTTTCTTTCAAAAAAGAGCAGCATACCTCATAATGTGGTTATATACATGCAATGGAATATTATGCAGCCTTAAAAAAGAAGGAAATTCTGACACATACTACAACATGGATATACCTTGAGGACATTATGCTAAGTCAGTCACAAAAGGACAACTACTGTATGATTCTAGTCAAAGGAGGTATCTAATGTCAACACTGTAGAAACACAAAGTACAATGGTGGTTGTTAAGGGCCAGAAAGAGGAGAGAGAAGGAATTAGTGTTTAATGGGCACAGAATTTCAGTTTTGCAAGAAAAATAAGTTCTAGAGGTCAACATATTGTACCACAATGTGAACATACCCAACGCCACTGATCAGTACATTTAACAATGTCATATTAAATCAAACAAAATACATCATTTAGTTTTTGGTAGAAAAATCTGTTTTGCCCCCAGGGTCACAGTGAGGGGTAGGACACAGGAATCCAGAAGAAATAGAACTGAGGTTGAAAAAGGTGGACGGGAGCTGCATGCATTTCCTTGTTAATAGCCCAGAATGTGCCAGGTGTGCTTTACAAATGCTGCTGCTTTTTTTTTTTTTTTTTTTTTTGGGGGGAGTCTCACTTTGTCACCCAGGCTGGAGTGCAGTGGAGTGATCTCAGTTCACTGCAACCTCCACCTCCTGGGTTTAAGCGATTCTCCTGCCTCAGCCTCCTGAGTAGATGGGATTACAGGCACCTGCCATCATGCCCAGCTAATTTTTGTATTTTTCGTAGAGACAGGGTTTCACCATGTTGGCCAGGCTGGTCTTGAACTCTTGACCTCAGGTGATCTGCCTGCCTCGGCCTCTCAAAGTGCTGGGATTACAGGTGTGAGCCACCACGCCTGGCTAAGCCTTTTTTTTTCAGATGGAGTCTTACTGCGTCACCCAGGCTGGAGTGCAGTGGTGCGATCTCAGATCACTGCAACCTCTGCCTCCTAGGTTCAAGTGATTCTCCTGCCTCAGCCTCCCGAGCAGCTGGGATTACAGGTGCACACCACCACGCCTGGCTAATTTTTGTATTTTTAGTGGAGACGGGGTTTCACCATACTGGCCAGGCTGGGCTTGAACTCCTGACCTCAAGTGATCTGCCCTCCTCAGCCTCCCAAAGTGCTGGGATTACAGGCATGAGGCACTGCACCCAGCTCAAATGCTTATTAACATCCACAACAGTCCAGTGATGTAAGCTACTTTAGGCTCATTTTTCCGGTGAGGAAACTCAGTCACGGAGATGTTTCGTTATTTGTTCAGGACCCACAGCGACAGAGCACAGATTTATCTCATTTTCTGATTTCCCAGGAACCTCTGTGACCCCCAGCCGGTTACCAACAGAACCACCTTCCCCGGTAGCAGGTAGGTTCTGCAGGGTCCATTCTGGTGCACAGCGTATGAGGTACACGGACCCCTTCTCTCTCTCCTCTCTGCCTAGACTTCTCGATTTAATTCAGTTGGTTCTTTCACAGATTTGCTTTGTTTTAAAAATCCTTTATTTCTGCCTGTAAACAGGGTGGGTGTCCTAAGTAGTTAGATGTTAAGATGCTGCCCCCAATCCTACTCTAGGTGGATGGTTTATCACATATAACATGCAGAAGAATAATCGGAGTGGCTTGCTATACTGTGGAGTCCAGCTGGTTGAATATGGGTGACAAAAACAAACAAACTAACCAACCAACCAACCAACCAACCAACCAACAAACCTGTAGAGTCCGGGACTCTGTTTCTGAGTCACTGAATGCATTGATCAGCGGTTCTCAAACTTCCATGAGCATAAGAATCACCTGGAGGCTTAAAGAATAGATTTCTGAGCCCCCAGGGCTTCTGCTTCAGTAGGTCTGGGGTGAATCCAGTCATTTTCATTCCTAGTAAGTTCCCAGGTGATGCTGATGCTATGGCTCCAGAATGCTGCTTTGAGAACCACTGCGGTAAGTTTTGTGTGAGGCGTGTTATCCCCTCCACTTTCACAAACATCTCAGCTGAATACGGTGTACCAGACTACGGCCTGCACTTTAAGAATATCATACGCTAGGCTGGAGGCTGGGCGTGTCTAACATTCCCTGTGTCTCAGAGTGAAGCACCAAGGCAGGAGAAACATGCTGGAAAGAGCCGAGGTTGATAAGGATGAGATTTGCGGGGTTGAGGGCAGAGTGAGGGCTATTATGCCTAGTGGGCAGGGACATGGAAGATGGTCACATACTGTGTGCGTGCATATGTGTGTGTGCGTGCATGTGCGTGTGTGCGTGCATATGTGTGTGTGCGTGCATATGTGTGTGCATGCGTGCATATGTGTGTGTGTGCATGCGTGCATATGTGTGCGTGTGCTTCTGACTGAATTTTTGAACTTTCTCTTTTGAAATGGTTCTAGAGTCACAGGAAGTCTACAATGATAGAACAGAAGAATCCCATGTGCTCTTTTTCCAGTTTCCTCTAATGGTTACATCTTACGTAATTAGAGTACAACATAAAAACCAGGAATTTGACATTGGCATAAAGTAGGTGTCTAGTTCTATGCCAATTTGTCACAGTTGTAGATTCGCGTCACCATCACCGCAGTCACTGTACAGAACTCTTCCGTCTCACAAGGGCCTCCCTTGGGCTACCCTTTTATATTCACACCTACACCCTTCTCCTTCCCTTGCCATCCCTAACTCCTGGTATCCATTAATTTGTTCTCCATCTCTATAATCTTCCATTTCTAGAATCTGATGTAAATGGGATCATCCAGTATGCAACCGTTTGAGATATCCTTTTGTCACTCAGTGCAATGCCCCTGAGGCCCATCCAAGCTGCTGTATGTATCAATGATGTGTTCCTTTTGATTGCTGAGCAATATTTCATGCTATATTAGGCCGATTTTGTGCTGCTATAAATATCTGAGACTGGATCATTGATAAGAAAAGAGGTTTAATTGGTTCATGGTTCTGAAGGCCGTATAGGAAGCAGAAGGCTGGCTTCTGCTTTTGGGGAGGCCTCAGGAAGCTTACAGTCATGGCAGAAGGCAAAGAGGGGGTAGCTGTCTCATGTGGTGGGAGCAGGAGCAAGAGAGAGAGAGAGTTGGGACTGGGGGACATGCCACACTTTGCAATAGCCAGATCTTGTGAGAATTCACTTACTATTGCAAGGAAAGCACCAAGCAATGAGGGATCCACCCCTATGATCCAAACACCTCCCACCAGGCCCCCACCTCCAACATTGGGGATCATAATCCAGTATGAGATTTGGTGGGAACACATATTCAAACTGTATCACATGGCATGCAAATACCACACGCTGTGTTGAAATCAAAATCAAAACAAGGTGTATTAAATAGGGAATCCTTTCCCCATTGCTTGTTTTTGTCAGGTTTGTTGAAGATCAGATGGTTGTAGATGTGTGGTCTTATTTCTGAGATCTCTATTCTGTTCCATTGGTCTATGTGTCTGTTTTTGTACCAGTACCATGCTGTTTTGGTTACTATCACCTTGTAATATAGTCTGAAGTCTGAGCCTGAGGCCTCCAGCTTTGTTCTTTTTGCTTAGTATTGTCTTGGCTATATGGGCCCTTTTTTGGTTCCATATGAATTTTATAGTTTTTTCTAATTGTGTGAGGAATGTCAATGATAGTTCAATGGGAATAGCAATGAATCTATAAATTACTTTGGGCAGTATGGCCATTTTCACGATATTGATTCATCCTATCCATGAGCATGGAATGTTTTTCCATTTGTTTGTGTCCGCTCTGATTTTCTTGAGCAGTGAATTGTAGTTCTCCTTGAAGATGTCCTTCACTTTCCTTGTTAGCTGTATTCCTAGGTATTTTATTCTCTTTGTAGCAATTGTGAATGGGAGTTCCTTCATGATTTGGCTCTCTGCCTGTCTATTGTTGGTGTATAGGAA
This sequence comes from Homo sapiens, assembly GCF_000001405.40. Taxonomy (NCBI): domain Eukaryota; kingdom Metazoa; phylum Chordata; class Mammalia; order Primates; family Hominidae; genus Homo; species Homo sapiens. Next base: position 1,005,180 of record NT_187693.1, on the reverse strand, counting down.
TGCTTGTGATTTTTGCACATTGATTTTGTATCCTGAGACTTTGCTGAAGTTGCTTATCAGCTTAAGAAACTTTTGGGCTGAGATGATGGGGTTTTCTAGATATAGGATCATGTCATCTGCAAACAGAGATAGTTTGATTTCCTCTCTTCCTATTTGAGTATCCTTTATTTCTTTCTCTTGCCTGATTATCCTGGCCAGAACTTCCAATACTATGTTGAATAGGAGTGGTGAAAGAGGGCATCCTTGTCTTGTGCTGGTTTTCAAGGGAAATGCCCATTTAGTATGAAATTGGCTGTGGGTTAATAAATGGTGCTGGGAGAATTGGCTAGCCATATGCAGAAAATAGAAACTGGACCCGTTCCTTACACCTTGTACAAAAATTAACTCAAGATGGATGAAAGACTTGGATGCAAAACCCGAAAACTATAAAAACCCTAGAAGAAAATCTAGGTAATACCATTCAGGACACAGGCATGGGCAAAGATTTCATGACAAAAACGTCAAAAGCAATTGTAACAAAAGCAAAAACTGACAAATGGGATCTAACTAAACTAAAGAGCTTCTGCTCAGCAAAAGAAAGTATCATCAGAGTGAACAGACAACCTACAGAATGGGAGAAAATGTTTGCAATCTATCAATTCACAAAAGTCTAATATCCAGAATCTACAAGGAAGTTAAACAAATTTACAAGAAAAAAAAAACCATTAAAAAGTGGGTAAAGGACATGAACAGTCACTTCTCAAAAGAAGACGTTTATGCAGCCAGTAAACATACAAAAAAAAGCTCAACATCACCAATCATTAGAGAAATGCAAATCAAAACCACATTTAGACACCATCTCACACCAGTCAAAATGGCGATTATTAAAAAGTCAAGAAACGCCGGGCACGGTGGCTCACGCCGGTAATCCCAGCACTTTGGGAGGCCGAGGCAGGCAGATCACAAGGTCAGGAGATCGAGACCATCCTGGCTAACACGGTGAAACCCCGTCTCTATTAAAAATACAAAAAATTAGCCGGGCGTGGTGGCGGGCGCCTGTAGTCCCAGCTATTCGGGAGGCTGAGGCAGGAGAATGGCGTGAACCCGGGAGGCGGAGGTTGCAGTGAGCCAAGATTGTGCCACTGCACTCCAGCCTGGGCGACAGAGCAAGACTCCATCTCAAAAAAAAAAAAAAAAAACCAACAAAAGTCAAGAAACAACAGGTGCTGGCGAGGCTGTGGAGAAATAGGAATGCTTTTACACTGTTGGGAATGTAAATTAGTTCATTGTGGAAGACAGTGTGGTGATTCCTCAAAGACCCAGAACCAGAAATCCTTTTTCCTTTTTTTTTTTTTTGAGATGTAGTATTGCTCAATAGCCCATGCTGGAGTGCAGTGGTGCGATCTCGGCTCACTGCAACCTCCACCTCCCAGGTTCAAGCAATTATCCTGTCTCAGCCTCCTAAGTAACTGGGACTACAGGCGCCTGCCACCATGCCTGGCTTTTTTTTTTTTTTTTCTTTTAGTAGAGATGGGGTTTTACCTTGTTGGTCATGCTGGTCTCAAACTTCTGACCTCAGGTGATCCACCTGCCTCGGCCTCCCAAAGTGCTGGGATTACAGGCGTGAGCCACCGCACCAGGGCCACCTTTTTTTTTTTTTTTTTTTTTTAAACAGAGTCTCACTCTGTCACCCAGGCTGGATTGCAGGGGCATGATCTCGGCTCACTGCAGCCTCTGCCTCCAGGGTTCAAGTGATTCTCCTGCCTCAGCCTCCCGAGTAGCTGGGACTGCAGGTGCATGCCACAACGCCTGGCTAATTTTTGGATTTTTGCTAGAGACGGGAGTTTCACCATGTTGGCCAGGGTGGTCTTGAGCTCCTGACCTCAGGTGATCTGCCCACCTCGGCCTCCCAAAGTGCTGGGATTACATGTGTGAGCCACTGCGCCTGGCCAGAAATACCATTTGACCCAGCAATCCCATTACTGGTTATATACCCAAAGGAATATAAATCATTGTATTATAAAGATACATGCACACATATGTTCATTGCAGCACTATTCACAATAGCAAAGACAAGGAATCAACCCAAATGCCCATCAATGATAGAAAGGATAAAGCAAATACAGTACATATACACCATGGAATACTATGCAGCCATAAAAAGGAATGAGATCATGTCCTTTGCAGGGACATGGATGGAGCTGGAAAACATTATCCTCAGCAAACTAACACAGGAACTGAAAACCAAACACTGCATGTTCTCACTTGTAAGTGGCAGCTGAACAATGAGATCACATGGACACAGGGAGGGGAACACCACACACTGGGGCCTGTAGGGGGAATTGGGGGAGGGAGAGGATCAGGATAAATAGCTGATGCGTGTGGGGCTTAATACCTAGGTGATGGGTTGATGGGTGCAGCAAACCACCATGGCACACGTTTACCTATGTAACAAACCTGCACGTCCTGCACATGGATTCTGGAACTGAAATTTTAATTGAAAAAAAAAAAAAAGGTTTATTAATGCATCTCACACGAAGAGAAATAACAAAGACCAAATAATACCCACACTCTCATTATGCCACCGAGAGCTGAGCATAAACTAGTTTTTTCCAAGCTGGTTCCACCATAAAAAGACTCCCAGGATAGTACCCACTGCAACAAGAGCTTCGTATTTATCAGCTGAGGCAGTTCAGGAATATTTTGGTGGCCTCAGGAGGCCCCTGGTTAAGAAAATGGCCTGGCCGGGCGCGGTGGCTCACGCCTGTATTCCCAGCACTTTGGGAGGCTGAGGCGGGTGGATCACAAGGTCAGGAGATCGAGACCATCCTGGCTAACACGGTGAAACCCCATCTCTACTGAAAATACAAAAAAATTAGCCAGGCGTGGTGGCGGGTGCCTGTAGTCCCAGCTACTCGGGAGGCTGAGGCAGGATAATGGTGTGAACCCGGGAGGCAGAGCTTGCAGTGAGCCGAGATTGCACCACTGCACTCCAGCCTGGACGACAGAGTAAGACTCTGTCTCAAAAAAAAAAAAAAAAAGAAAAAAAGAAAATGGCCTAAGTTGGAAGGTGGAGATCCCGTGTTCTGAGGCTAACACGAGCTCATTCTTCCTCTAGGCTCACGAAGACATGGATCCACATCTTATTATTCAAACTGAGATATAATTCACATACCATAAAATTCACCATGCCAACTAGGATGACTATGATTTTTAAAACAAAACAAACGGACAAGAAGTATTGGTGAGGATTTGGAAGAACCTTCTTATATTGCTGGTGGGAATATAAAATGGTGCAGCTGCTTTGAAAAACAGTCTGTGGCCAGGCGCAGCCTGTAATCCCAGCACTTTGAGAGGCCAAGGAGGGTGGATCACGAGGTCAGGAGATCGAGACCATCCTGGCCAACATGGTGAAACCCCGCCTCTACTAAAGTACAAAAAAAAAAGTTGGCCAGGCGTGATGGCAGGTGCCTGTAATCCCAGCTACTCGGGAGGCTGAGGGAGGAGAATCGCTTGAACCCAGGAGGTGGAGGTTGCAGTGAGCTGAGATCGCGCCACTGCACTCCAGCCTGGGCAACAGAATGAGACTCTGTCTCAAAAAAAAAAAAAAAAGAAAAAAAAGAAAGAAGTCTGGTAGTTCTTCAAAAAGTAAAACACAGAGTTACTGTATGACCCAGTGATTCCACCACCCCTGGGTGTGTACCCAAGAGAACAGAAAACTTATGTTCACACAAAAACCTGTACGTCAATGTTCACAGCAGCAATATTCATAACAGCAAAACGTGGAAAAAAAACCAAGTGTCTATCAATTGCTGAACGGATCTGCTTCTTACTAAGCCGGTCATGGAAGATAAGTCTTACACCTTTCGAATTTGTCTGTCTTCAGTGTCTGTGCAGTGTGTCAGAGAAAGGGGTTTCAGGGAGCCTAGATATCTCAAAAGGGGAATGGAGATATCTAGAGGATATAGGGAACCACGGGGAAGACCTAACATTGTTTTGCTTTCTTAGAATTCTCAGAAGCCACCGCTGAACTGACCGTCTCATTCACAAACGAAGTCTTCACAACTGGTGAGTAACCAGGCATTTCATGCTCAGCAGAAAGGAGTGTGAGGACGGAGCTCTCTCTTCCATTATCTAAGCCTGTAGGCTTTTAATCACTTCACCGAACTGTCCGTCTCTTACCAAGAAAGTCCTTGGTGTGAGGCTAGAGCATGGGTGCAGAGTGGAGCTCTGGGGTTCAGAAGGAGGAGCGTTTTGGGTGATGGGGCCATTTCAAAGATGGCGGAGCCAAGGCTGTGGCGGGACGACCGCCATCCCTACGCACTGCTCCCAGGATGAAGTCCTAGGCTTTGGACTCGGCTGTGATCCAGGTATTTAATCTCGCTCCTCACTGTGTCCAGGTAGAGCCCATGCTCGGACGCACACAGACTGTAGGCACCTGGACACAGCACATCTTCTAACCGCTCCAGGCCTCTGCAGATACGCTTTCCTCAGTCTCTTTCCCCTTGCCTGTCCTGGAAAATCTCCATTTCCTTCCAGACTAAACACCTTCACAGATTCCCTGATAATAGGTTAGATACTTCCACTGGGCCCACATGACTCTGGCTTTCATGAGGCACCTGATCCCACGTAGTTCTATTTTTTATTTTTTTGAGGTGGAGTCTTGCTCTGTCGCCCAGGCTGGAGTGCAGTGGTGCGATCTCGGCTCACTGTAACCTCTGCTGCCCGGGTTCAAGCGATTCTCCTGCCTCAGCCTCCCGAGTAGCTGGGATTATAGGTGCATGCCACCACACCTGGCTAATTTTTGTATTTTAGTAGAGACGGGGTTTCAGCATCTTGGGAAGGCTGGTCTTGAACTCCTGACCTCATGATCCACCTGTCTCGGCCTCCCAAAGTGCTGGGATTGGAGGCATGAGCCACCGCGCCCGGCATATCCCAGGGAGTTCTGTGATGGAAGCCTTCCCTATCTTCAGTTCGGAACCTCCCAATCACCCTCAGGATGCAGTTCCAATTCCTCAGCTTGCTATTCTGTGAGCTTAGATATCCAGCCCCTGTTGATCCCTCCAATTTTGTCTGCATACCTTCCACGCATTCCCATGCTGTTCTCAGCCACACACAGTCACTTGAAGCTCTCCTGGAGGCTTCCTAACCTCTCCTGACTCTGCACCCAACCCACTCACTCTGCCTTTTCTTCCATTTCCCCATGGCATCAATTCCTCAAGAAAGCCTTGACCGTCCAGGCTGGATCGATGGTTTCCTCTGCTCTCGCTCAGTGTCTTGTGGGCTGCCTATTACAGCAATTTTTACAGTATATTAAAATTATCGCTTTGTCTGTAATCCCAGCACTTTGGGAGGCCAAGGTGAGTGGATCACCTGAGGTCAGGAGACCAGCCTGGCCAACATGCTGAAACCCCGTCTCTACTGAAAATACAAAAATTAGCCGGGCGTGGTGGTGGGCACCTGTAATTCCAGCTACTTGGGAGGCTGAGGCAGGAGAATCGCTTGAACTCACGAGTTGGAGGTTGCAGTGACCTGAGATCACACCACAGCACTCCAGCCTGGGCAACAGAGTGAGACTCCGTATTAAAAAAAAAAAAAAATCGCTTTACTTTTTGGTCTCCTGCAATAGTCTGGGAACCGCAGATGGACAATGTCTTATGGTTTTTTTGTTTTTTGTTGTTGTTTTTGAGACGGAGTCTCACTCTGCTCACTCTGTGATCTGTGATTTCGGCTCACTCTGCGATCTCAGCTCACTGCAATCTCCGGCTCCTGAGTAGCTGGGACTACAGGTGTGTGCCACCATGCCCAGCTATTTTTTGTATTTTTAGTAAAGACGGGGTTTCACCATGTTGGCCAGGATGGTCTCGATCTCTTGACCTCAGGTGATCCGCCCACCTTGGCCTCCCAAAGTGCTGGGATTACAGGCATTCAGCCAGTGTCATGCCTGGCCTGACAATGTCTTATTAATATTTGGGTTCCCATGGCCCAGCACATGGCTGAGTACCTGGCGAGTCTCAGGAGATACTTGAGGAATAAGAGAGCTGGAGGCCGGGTGCAGTGGCTCACGCCTGTAATCCCAGCACTTTGGGAGGCCTAGGCGGGCGGATCACAAGGTCAGGAGTTCAAAACCAACCTGGCCAATATGGTGAAATCCCATCTCTACTAAAAATACAAAACTTAGCTGGGCGTGGTGGCGGACGCCTGTAGTCCCAGCTACTCGGGAGGCTGAGGCAGGAGAATCGCTTGAGCCCAGGAGGCGGAGGTTGAAGTGAGCCGACATCGGGCCACTGCACTCCAGCCTGGGAGACAGAGCCAGACTCTGTCTCAAAAAAAAAAAAAAAAAAGCTGGCACGTATGAGGTGCTCATATGTCAAGCACGGTGCTTTATATTTCTACCATTATTATTATCTTGACTTTCACATCAACCTATAAGGGATCTTGTTAATTTTATTGGACACATGGGGAACTGGCTCACAGATGCTGAGTCACTTGCCAGATAACTGACATCTAATAGGTGATAGAGTTGGGGTTCAAATCTGGAGGACAGCCTGACTCTACAGTTCTTGCTTTTTTTTTTTTGGACAGGGTCTCGCTCTGTTTCCCAGGCTAGAGTGCAGTGGTACAATCCTGGCTCACTGCAGCCTCAACCTCCCAGGGCTCAGGTGATCTTCCTGCCTCAGCCTCCACTGAGTAGCTGGGATTACTGGCACGTGCCACCACGCCTGGCTAATTTTTGTATTTTTTTGTAGAGATAGGGTTTTTCTATGTTGCTCAGGTTGGTCTTGAACTCCTGGACTCAAGCCAGCCTCCTACCTCAGCCTCCCAAAGTGCTGGGATTATAGGCATGAGGCACCGTGCCCGGCCCATGCTTTTCTTAAATGCTGTGGAATTGTGCCTCCCCATGTGTGTGTGTGTTCGGAGTAGGCACAGTGACAGGGGGCGGGAATATGGTTTCATTTCACACTTAGCCTTTGTTTGGTTCCCAGAGACTTCTAGGAGTATCACCGCCAGTCCAAAGGAGTCAGACTCTCCAGCTGGTGAGTAAGTCATCCTCTCCAGACCCCCTTCCTTCTCACCCGTCTCTTCACCAAAGCCAACTCCTTTGTCTACGCAGGGGCTGCAGCTCTCAGATCTTGGGTTCCAGTGTGTAGAGTAAAGGCAGAATATCAGCGTATGGGGTTCAGAATTGGGCATTAAGATCAGGTGGGAAGGTTGAGATTTTAAAAAGGGTCAGAGAAAGAGAGATTCCATCTCTTCCCCACCCCTTATAACTGTCCTCTCTTTTGCAATGCATCAGATAACGAGGCAGCATCTGTGTCTGGGGAGGAGTTGTCTCAGAGCCCTGTGAGAGCACAGGAGGGAGAGGTGCTACTTAGAGAATTGGGGTCATCTGGCCCTGACCCCTACTCGGGAAGGGAGGGACCCTCCAGGAAAGTGAGCGGCATCCCCTAGCTAGTAGAGAATAATAGGATCTCTGAGAAGCCCAGATGTGGCTTGGAGGGGGTCCTGGAGGTGGGCTCTTTCACCTGCTCCTGCCTCTCCTCATTCCTCCAGGTCCTGCCCGCCAGTACTACACCAAGGGCAACCTGGTCCGGATATGCCTCGGGGCTGTGATCCTAATAATCCTGGCGGGGTTTCTGGCAGAGGACTGGCACAGCCGGAGGAAGCGCCTGCGGCACAGGGGCAGGGCTGTGCAGAGGCCGCTTCCGCCCCTCCCGCCCCTCCCGCTGACCCGGAAATCAAACGGGGGTCAGGATGGAGGCCGACAGGATGTTCACAGCCGCGGGTTATGTTCATGACCGCTGAACCCCAGGCACGGTCGTATCCAAGGGAGGGATCATGGCATGGGAGGCGACTCAAAGACTGGCGTGTGTGGAGCGTGGAAGCAGGAGGGCAGAGGCTACAGCTGTGGAAACGAGGCCATGCTGCCTCCTCCTGGTGTTCCATCAGGGAGCCGTTCGGCCAGTGTCTGTCTGTCTGTCTGCCTCTCTGTCTGAGGGCACCCTCCATTTGGGATGGAAGGAATCTGTGGAGACCCCATCCTCCTCCCTGCACACTGTGGATGACATGGTACCCTGGCTGGACCACATACTGGCCTCTTTCTTCAACCTCTCTAATATGGGCTCCAGACGGATCTCTAAGGTTCCCAGCTCTCAGGGTTGACTCTGTTCCATCCTCTGTGCAAAATCCTCCCGTGCTTCCCTTTGGCCCTCTGTGCTCTTGTCTGGTTTTCCCCAGAAACTCTCACCCTCACTCCATCTCCCACTGCGGTCTAACAAATCTCCTTTCGTCTCTCAGAACGGGTCTTGCAGGCAGTTTGGGTATGTCATTCATTTTCCTTAGTGTAAAACTAGCACGTTGCCCGCTTCCCTTCACATTAGAAAACAAGATCAGCCTGTGCAACATGGTGAAACCTCATCTCTACCAACAAAACAAAAAAACACAAAAATTAGCCAGGTGTGGTGGTGCATCCCTATACTCCCAGCAACTCAGGGGGCTGAGGTGGGAGAATGGCTTGAGCCTGGGAGGCAGAGGTTGCAGTGAGCTGAGATCACACCACTGCACTCTAGCTCGGGTGACGAAGCCTGACTTTGTCTCAAAAAATACAGGGATGAATATGTCAATTACCCTGATTTGATCATAGCACGTTGTATACATGTACTGCAATATTGCTGTCCACCCCATAAATATGTACAATTCTGTATACATTTTTAAAATCATAAAAATAAGATAATGCACCGTCTCCACCCCTCTCATATTTACTTTCTGAAGGAAATGTTAGGTCTTCTCAAGGTAAAGTTCTATATTTATTATAGCGTTTAGGCATTTCTTGACCATCTAATGAGTGTAAAACTGTACCACTGGGCCAAGTGCAGTGGATCATGTCTGTAATCCTAGCACTGTGGGAGGCCAAGGCAGGAGGATCGCTTGAGCCCAGGAGTTCAAGACCAGCCTGGGCAACATAGTGAGACCCCATCTCTACTTAAAATAAAGAAGATAAAAATTGTTTTAAAAAAGGAAAAGAATGGCTGGCCACAGTGGCTCACGCCTGTAATCCCGGCACTTTGGGAGGTTGAGGTAGGTGAGTCACTTGGGAAAAGACAGAAGGATGGCACCAAGAAGTTCCAGGACGACGGCTGTGAATCAGGGCTAGTGAGCACACAGCTTGGGTGAAGGGGGAATGGGAAAGTTGCTTAGAGAAGCCTCCAAATGTAAGAATGGGTCAATTCCTCGTCTTAACATAGTGGAAAATCATACTGAGATGCTATCAGAAGACAGAGGAAAAATAATTTTAGAGGTCAAGTAAACTAAGTAGATTTTAAAAAGACCAGTATAGCCTAGGCACAGTGGCTCACACCTGTAATCCCAGCACTTTGGGAGGCTGAGGCGGGATCGCTTGAGCCTAAGAGTTCGAGACCAGCCTGGGCAACATGGTGAAACCTTGTCTCATATACAAAAAATATAAAAAATTAGCTGGGTGTGGTACCACATGCCTACTCTCAGGTACTCAGGAGGCTGAGGTTGGGGATCACCTGAGCCCGGGGAGGTTGAGGCTGCAGTGAGCCATGATTGCACCACTGCTGTCAAACCTGGGTGACAGAGTGAGACCCTGCCTCAAAAGAAAATAAAAATAAAAAACAAATATAAACTTTAGGGGAACAATAACAACAACAAAAATAAAAGAAGCAAGTTATATTACCCGAAAATTCTCGGCTGCGAATATCTGTGGGTATAAACATGTGATACTGGCCGGGCGTGGTGGCTCATGCCTGTAATCCCAGCACTTCGGGAGGCTGAGGTGGGCAGATCACGAGGTCAGGAGATCGAGACCAGCTCAGCCAACATGGTGAAACCCTGTCTCTACTAAAAATACAAAAATTAGCCAGTCGTGGTGGCACACGCCTGTAGTCCCAGCTACTCAGGAGACTGAGGCTGCAGTGAGCTGAGATTGCGCCACTGCACTCCAGCCTGGGTGACAGAGTGAGACTCTGTCTCAAAAAAAAAAAATGTGATACTGAATGTTGATATGCAGACATAGAGATAAACATTGGAAGAGAAAAAACAGTAAGAACAACGCTGTAGAATAACTAAGGCCCCGCCTATTATGATAGGAATCCAGTAAGTCTAAGCTCATTCACATGGTTACATGTTTTTAGAAACCTAATATTAACAAGTTCCTAAAGAAAACAGCTAAAAGTGGGTGTCTCTTAGGCGGAGCAATGGAGGAGATGGTTAGTCAGCCACTGCATTTTGTACACACCCTTTTAGTGCTATTGGAATTTTTTAGGTAGGTGCTGTCAGGCCTCTGAGCCCAAGCTAAGCCATCATATCCCCTGTGACCTGCACGTACACATCCATATGGCTGGTTCCTGCCTTAACTGATGACATTCCACCACAAAAGAAGTGAAAATGGCCTGTTACTGCCTTAACTGATGACATTGTCTTGTGAAATTCCTTCTCCTGGCTCATCCTGGCTCAAAAGCTCCCCTACAGAGCACCTTGTGACCCCCACTCTGCCCGCCAGAGAACAACCCCGCTTTGACTGTAATTTTCCTTTACCTACCCAAATCCTATAAAACGGCCCCACCCCATCCCCCTTCGCTGACTCTCTTGTCGGACTCAGCCCACCTGCACCCAGGTGATTAAAAGCTTTATTGCTCACACAAAGCCTGTTTGGTGGTCTCTTCACATGGACGCACATGAAATTTGGTGCCGTGACTTGGATCGGGGGACCTCCCTTGGGAGATCAATCCCCTGTCTTGCTCTTTGCTCTGTGAAAAAGATCCACCTACGACCTCAGGTCCTCAGACCCACCAGCCCAAGGAACATCTCACCAAGTTTAAATTGGGTAAGCGACCTCTTCTTACTCTCTTCTCCAACCTCTCTCACTGTCCCTCAACCACTTTCTCCTTTCCACTCTTCAATCTCTCCCTTCTCTTAATTTCAATTCCTTTCATTTTCTGGTAGAGACAAAGGAGACACGTTTTATCTGTGGACCCAAAACTCCGGCGCCGGTCACGGACTAGGGAAGGCAGCCTTCCCTTGGCGTTTAATCATTGCAGGGACGCCTCTCTGATTATATACCCACGCTTCAGAGGTGTCAGATCACGCAGGGATGCCTGCCTTGGTCCTTCACCCTTAGTGGCAAGTCCCACTTTTCTGGGGAAGGGGCAAGTTCCCCAACCCCTCCTCTCCATGTCTCTACCCCTTCTCCACCTTTCTGGGGGGCAAGAAACCCCCAACCCCTTCTCCTTCACTCTTAGCGGCAAGTCCCGCTTTTCTAGAGGGGCAAGTACCCCAACCTCGTATCTCTGCACCCTGATCCCTTATTTCCATGCCCCAACCTCTTATCTCTGTGCCCCAACCCCTTATATCCATGCCCCAACCCCTTTCCCGCTTTTCTGGAAGGTAAGAACTCCCGAACCCCTTCCCTCCGTGTCTCTACTCTCTCTTTTCTCTAGGCTTGCCTCCTTCACTATGGGCAACCTTCCACCCTCCATTCCTCCTCCTTCTCTCCCTTGGCCTGTGTTCTCAAAAACTTAAAACCTCTTCAACTCACACCTGACCTAAAACCTAAATGCCTTATTTTCTTCTGCAATGCCGCTTGACCCCAATACAAACTGGACAGCAGTTCCAAATAGCCAGAAAACAGCACTTTCAATTTTTCCATCCTGCAAGATCTAAATAATTCTTGTCGTAAAATGGGCAAACGGTCTGAGGTGCCTGACGTCCAGGCATTCTTTTACACATCAGTCCCTTCCTAGTCTCTGTGCCCAGTGCAACTCGTCCCAAATCTTCCTTCTTTCCCTCCTGCCTGTCCCCTCAGTCTCAACCCCAAGCGTCGCTGAGTCTTTCTAATCTTCCTTTTCTACAGACCCGTCTGACCTCTCCCTCCTCCCCAGGCTGAGCTAGGTCCCAATTCTTCCTCAGCCTCCGCTCCTCCACCGTATTATCTTTTTATCACCTCCCCTCCCCACACCTGGTCCAGCTTACAGTTTCGTTCAGTGACTAGCCCTCTTCCACCTGCCCAGCAATTTACTCTTAGAAAGGTGGCTGGAGCTAAAGGCATAGTCAAGGTTAATGCTCCTTTTTCTTTATCCCAAATCAGATAGTGTTTAGGCTCTTTTTCATCAAATATAAAAATCCAGCCCAATTCATGGCTCGTTCGCCAGCAACCCTGAGAAGCTTTACAGCCCTAGACCCTTAAAAGTCAAAAGGCCGTCTTATTCTTAATACACATTTTATTACCCAATCTGCTCCCGACATTAAATAAAACTCCAAAAATTAAATTCCGGCCCTCAAACCCCACAACAGGATTTAATTAACCTCGCCTTCAAGGTGTACAATAATAGAAAAAAGTTGCAATTCCTTGCCTCCACTGTGAGACAAACCCCAGCCACATCTCCAGCACACAAGAAGGGAACTGAACCGCAGCGGCCAGGCGTTCCTCCAGAACCTCCTCCCCCAGGAGCTTGCTACAAGTGCCAGAAATCTGACCACCAGGCCAAGGAATGCCTGCAGCCCAGGATTCCTCCTAAGCCGTGTCCCATCTGTGCGGGACCCCACTGGAAATCGGACTGTTCAACTCACCTGGCAGCCACTCCCAGAGCCCCTGGAACTCTGGCCCAAGGCTCTCTGACTCCTTCTCGGCTTAGCGGCTGAAGACTGATGCTGCCCAATCGCCTCGGAAGCTCTGTAGACCATCACGGATGCCGAGCTTCGGGTAACACTCACGGTGGAAGGTAAGTCCGTCGCCTTAGTCAATACGGAGGCTACCCACTCCACATTACCTTCTTTTCAAGGGCCTGTTTCTCTTGCCTCCATAACTGTTGTGGGTATTGACGGCCAGGCTTCTAAACCCCTGAAAACTCCCCCACTCTGGTGCCAACTTGGACAACACTCTTTTATGCACTCTTTTTTAGTTATCCCCACCTGCCCAGTTCCCTTATTAGGCCGAGATATTTTAACCAAATTATCTGCTTCCCTGACTATTCCTGGACTACAGCCGCATCTCATTGCCACCCTTCTCCTCAACCCAAAGCCTCCTTCGCGTCTTCCTCTCCTATTCCCCCACCTTAACCCACAAGTATGGGACATCTCTACTCCTTCCCTGGCAACTGATCACATACCCGTTACCATCCCATTAAAACCTAATCACCCTTACCCTGCTCAATGCCAATATCCCATCCCACAGCACACTTTAAAAGGATTAAAGCCTGTTATCACTCGCCTGCTATAGCATGGGCTTCTAAAACCTATAAACTCTCCTTACAATTCCCCCATTTTACCTGTCCAAAAACCGGAAAAGTCTTACAGATTAGTTCAGGATCTGCGCCTTATCAAATTGTTTTGCCTATGCACCCTGTGGTGCCCAACCCCTACACTCTTTTGTCCTCAATACCTTCCTCCACAACTCACTATTCCATGCTTGATCTTAAAGATGCTTTTTTCACTATTCCCCTGCACCCCTCGTCCCAGCCTCTCTTCGCTTTCACTTGGACTGACCCTGACACCCATTAGGCTCAGCAAATTACCTGGGCTGTACTGCTGCAAGGTTTCACAGACAGCCCCCATTACTTCAGTCAAGCCCAAAGTTCATCCTCATCTGTTACCTATCTCGGCATAATTCTCATAAAAACACACGTGCTCTCCCTGCTGATCGTGTCTGACTGATCTCTCAAGCCCCAGCACCTTCTACAAAACAACAACTCCTTTCCTTCCTAGGCATGGTTAGCGCGGTCAGAACTCTTACACAAGAGCCAGGACCACACCCTGTAGCCTTTCTGTCCAAACAACTTGACCTTACTGTTTTAGCCTAGCCCTCATATCTGCGTGCTGTGGCTGCCGCTGCTTTAATACTTTTAGAGGCCCTCAAAATCACAAACTATGCTCAACTCACTCTCTACAGCTCTCATAATTTCCAAAATCTATTTTCTTACTCACACCTGATGCATATACTTTCTGCTCCCTGGCTCCTTCAGCTGTACTCACTCTTTGTTAAGTCCCACAATTACCATTGTTCCTGGCCCGGACTTCAATCTGGCCTCCCACATTATTCCAGATACCACACCTGACCCCCATGACTGCATCTCTCTGATCCACCTGACGTTCACCCCATTTCCCCACATTTCCTTCTTCCCTGTTTCTCACCCTGATCACACTTAGTTTATTGATGGCGGTTCCACCAGGCCTAATCGCCACACACCAGCAAAGGCAGGCTATGCTATGGTACAAGCCACTAGCCAGCCTCTTAGAACCTCTCATTTCCTTTCCATTGTGGAAATCTATCCTCAAAGAAATCACTTCTCAGTGTTGCATCAGCTATTCTACTACTCCTCATGGATTATTCAGGCCCCCTCCCTTCCCTACACATCAAGCTCAAGGATTTGCCCCCGCCCAGGACTGGCAAATTAGCTTTACTCAACATGCCCCGAGTAAGATAACTAAAATACCTCTTAGTCTAGGTAGACACTTTCACTGGGTAAGTACAGTCCTTTCCTACAGGGTCTGAGAAGGCCACCGCAGTCATTTCTTCCCTTCTGTCAGACATAATTCTTCAGTTTAGCCTTGTCATTCCCTTCTGTCAGACAAAATTCCTCAGTTCAGCCTTCCCACCTCTATACAGTCTGCTAACAGACCAGCCTTTATTAGTCAAATCAGCCAAGCATTTTTTCAGGCTCTTAGTATTCAGTGACAGACTAATGGTCTATTAAAAACACACCTCACCAAGCTCAGCCACCAACTTAAAAAGGACTGGACAATACTTTTACCATTTTCGCTTCCAGAATTCAGGCCTGTCCTTGGAATGCTACAAGATACAGCCCATTTAAGCTCCTGTGTAGACACTCCTTTTTATTAGGCCCCAGTCTCATTCCAGACACCAGACCAACTTAGATTGTGCCCCAAAAAACTTGTCATCCCTACTATCTTCTGTCTAGTCATACTCCTATTCACCGTTCTCAACTACTCACACATGCCCTGCTCTTGTTTACACTGCCAGTTTACACTGTTTCTCCAAGCCAGCACAGCTGGTATCTCCTGGTACTATCCCCATACCGCCACTGTTAACTCTTAAAATAAATAAATAATCTTTGCTGGCAAGGCTATGCTGAACCTCCTTAGGCACTTTCTAATTAGATGTCCTGAGTCGTCCCAATTCTTAGACCTTTAATACCTGTTTTTCTCCTTTCCTTATTCCCTTTAGTTTTTCAATTCATACAAAACTGTATCCAGGCCATCACCAATAATTCTAAATGACAAATGTTTCTTTTAACAATCCCACAATGTCACCCCTTACCACAAAATCTTCCTTCAGCTTAATCGCTCCCACTTTAGGTTCCCACGCCGCCCCTAATCCTGCTCAAAGCAGCCTTGAGAAACATCACCCATTATCTCTCCATACCACCCCCAAAAATTTTTGCTGTCCCAACACTTTACCCCTATTTCATTTTATTTTTCTTATTAATATAAGAAGACAGGAATGTCAGGCCTCTGAGCCCAAGCTAAGCCATCATATCCCCTGTGACCTGCACGTACACATCCAGATGGCCGGTTCGTGCCTTAACTGATGACATTCCACCACAAAAGAAGCGAAAATGGCCTGTTCCTGCCTTAACTGATGACATTGTCTTGTGAAATTCCTTCTCCTGGCTCATCCTGGCTCAAAAGCTCCCCTACTGAGCACCTTATGACCCCGACTCTGCCCGCCAGAGAACAACCCCCCTTTGACTGTAATTTTCCTTTACCTACCCACATCCTATAAAACGGCCCCACCCCTATCCCCCTTCGCTGACTCTCTTGTCAGACTCAGCCCACCTGCACCCAGGTGATTAAAAGCTTTATTGCTCACACAAAGCCTGTTTGGTGGTCTCTTCACACGGACGTGCATGAAAGGTGCGTGTATATTTTTGTAACACAATAAATAATAACAGTATACACTTTTTCTTTTAGAAGTATGCTGTTAAACAGAATTAAGAACAGGAAGTCTCAAAATTGTTTCTTTCAGGAGAGAAGACTTATTAATGGGGGAGAGTTCTGAACCACTTGCTTTGCATACTGCCACTTAGTTAAAAAATCGCATTTTAACTTAAAAATATCCAAAAATAACACAGTTTTATAATAAATTATTACGAATATCACAAAATAATAAAAATACAAGTAATGCAGAGTGGAAATGCAAAGCTATGAGTGCTAGACGGCTAACAAGTCATAACAAACAACACCAAAATTAAAGAACAAGATAGTTGTGACTTACCTTGGTCAATCACTTTCCATAGTAGTCATTCAATCCAGGATCTCATCTCTGAAAATGAAGGAAAAAAGCAACAGAAAATAGTGTAGAGGTCTCTGGTGTTCCAAGAATAGGCGCTGCAGAGAGATGTGGGTGCCTGGGCTGTGCCCAGTCACTGAAATGGCACACCTGATGCTACCTGTTCACTTCGGGCTGAGCAGGAGAGAGAAAAGACGTTCCCCTCAGCCACTTCCCGTCTTCTGATTTCACTTCTTGCCTGCCTCCGACTGCAAATCCTGGTTTGACGTCACTTCCTGTCTTCTGATTTTACTTCCTGTATGACCTCACTTCCTGTCTTCTACAACCACTTCCTGTCTTCTTACTTCACTTCCTGTCTTCTGACTTTACTTCCTGTATGACTTCACTTCTTGTCTTCTACCACCACTTCCTGTCTTCCGAATTTACCTCCTATCTTGACTTCACTTCTTGTTTTTTTTTTTTTTTTTTGACAGGGTCTCGCTCTGTCTCCTAGGGTGGAGTGCAGTTGTGCCAGCTTGAAACCACCTTTCCAAAATTATGACTGAGACAGTGAAAGAGATTTAACTGACTCCATTTTGCTTCTAACCTCCAAGCTGTCCTTTTTCATTCCTGGGCATAGGCTGAACTTTGGGAGAAACTTATAGTTTAAACAAAGATGATAGCCCTTTTCCAAAGCACACCTCTTTGTTGCCTGGGGACTAGATTGGCCCTGTAGGACGAACATTAGCCACGAGATTAGAAATTATGACTTAGGAGTCATGCAGCTGGAGGCTACAAGATTGTGACCCTCCCTAAACTGCTTCTAAGATCAGCGTTTAACTTGCAGACCCTGTACTTGATGGATCAGCTGGCACCACCCATATCAATAAACTGGCCCATCTTATCTTTTGGCCTCCACTCAGGAACTGAGTGCAAGAAGATAGCTTTGGCTCCCACGATTTCATCCCTGACCAAACAGCACTCCTGGCTCACTGGCTTCCCACCCACCCACCAAGTTATCCTTAAAAACGCTTCCTGAATGCTGGGAGACACTGATTTGAATAATAATAAAACTCTGGTCTCTCGTAGAGCCAGCTCTGCATGAATTATTCTCTATTGCGATTCCCTGTCTTGACGAATCAGCTCTGTCTAGGCAGTGGGCAAGGTGAACACATTGGACTATTACAATCTTGGCTCACTGCAACCTCCACCGCCTGGGTTCAAGTGATTCTCCTGCCTCAGACTCCCAAGTAGCTGAGATCACAGACGTGCACTACCATGCTCAGCTACATTTTTTTTTCTGTCCCCCGGGCTGGAGTGCAATGGTGCGATCTCGGCTCATTGCAACCTCCGCCTTCCGGGTTTAAGCGATTCTCCTGCCTCAGCCTCCAGAGTAGCTGGGATTACAGGCATGCACCACCAAGCCTGGCTACTTTTGGTATTTTTAGTAGAGACAGGGTTTCACCATGTTGGCCAGGCTGGTCTCAAACTCCTGACCTCATGTGATCCACCTGCCTCTGCCTCCCAAAGTGCTGGGATTACAGGTGCGATCCACCATGCCCAGCCCATTCCGTCTTCTGACTTGACTTCCTGCCTGACTTCACTTCCTGAAGGATGTGGTTACCATGGAAGTTGTTTTGGGGCACAGGATGTGGTCTGGGATTGGGGATTGTGAAAAGCAAGACCCTCACCGGGGTCTTTCTTCCAGAGCTGCAGCTGAGCCACAGGATCTTGAACAGGAGAGAGTTCTTCCTATTCTTGTGGAAGAGCTGAGGATTGAGAAAAGCGCGGCTTAGCTCATGGGAGTGACCTTAGCTTTGAGAAGCCTGAAAATGAGGCTTGGAGGTAGAGAGTGGTGTGTGTGTGTGCGCGTTGGGGGAGGGGGTCAGGCTCTCATGACTTCTGGCTCTTTTTTTTGCTCCAGGAACATTTCCCAAGCCCACCATCTGGGCTAACCCAGCCCTCGTGGTTCCTGGGTGCAAACATGGCCGTGGAATTGTGGAATGGTTTTTTTTGTATCCTTAGCAGAGAACCCAGTGAATACTTTGTTCTTGATCATCAATGTGATGAGATCCAGAGCAAGCAAGTGCTAATGCTGCTGTGAGCCTGAGGCCACATTTTCAGAATTCAGTGATGGGCGGAGGCGAGTGGTCACAGGTATAGGGAGAGCAGTACTTGTTCATCTCTGAACGTATAGATTCAGACACACATGAACCCATGTGCCACAGGTTTCCCTGTTTAGGACTTGTAGGTCATGGGGGTGGGCATCTGAGAGTGTGGCTACATGAAATACACACGTTGGAGAAAGATGGTTAATTGTGAGTGCGAGTTTACATTTCATGGGCCCCTGGGGTGTCGATAGTTCCTCAATGGATGTAGATCCGTTACTCAATTTCTTCTCTAAAGATGGGGCTAGATTACAATGGTTCTCAACCTAAGAAAACTTTGCATTTCAGGAAATATTTTCTACTGCCCAGAGACATTTTTGATCACTGTTAACTGTGAGGATGTGAGCTGGTATCTAGGGGGTAGAGGCTAGGGATGGTGCCGAACACCCTGGAAATGTACAGGACGTTTCCCAACGAGTAGTGATCCGATCCCAAATGTCAATAGTGTGGAGAAGGAGAAACCTTTAGTTTCTTCACGCAATGTCCTTTTTAAACTTTGTGCCTCTCTTTTTACCAACCTTCCCCCTTCTTCCCGCTGAAACTGAGAATAAAGATGCTCTGGAGGCCGGGCACGGTAGCTTATGTCTGTAATCCCAGCACTTTGGGAGACCGAGGCAGGCAGATCGCTTGAGGTTAGGGGTTCGAGACCAGCCTGGCCAGCGCGGTGAAACCCTGTCTCTACTAAAAATGCAAAAATTATCCGGGAGCCTGAGGCAGAATTGCTTGAACTTGGGAGGCAGAGGCTGCAGTAAGCCGAGGTCACACCACTGCACTCCAAACCGGGCAATGGAGCGAGACTGTCAAAAAAAAAAAAAAATGCTCAGGGAATGACCCATGCCGCATTGAACAAGGACACCTTGAACCAGGAAACCTCAGAAGCCCACACTGTATGCAGTGGAACTGGAAAGTGATGGAGTGGTTTAAAGGTAGTATCAGAGAACTTGGATCTAGTCGGTGGGAATAAACCAATAGCCCCTGATGAAGAAATGAAAGTAGGAAGAGAGATTAACTTTTTTAGTTTTAAATTTAAATATTAAAACTACTTTTGACCAGGTGTGGTGGCTCATGCCTATAATCCCAGCATTTGGGGAGGCCAAGGTGGGCAGATCACCTGAGCTCAGGAGTTCAAGACCAGTCTGGACAACGTGGCAAAACCCTATCTCTACCAAAAATGCAAAAATTACCTGGGTGCAGTGGTGCACACCTGTGGTCCCAGCTACATGGGAGGCTGAGATGGGAGAACTGCTTAAACTGGGGAGGTGGAGGCTGCAGTGACCCGAGATCGTGCCATTGCATTCCAGCCTGGGTGAAAGAGCAAGATTCTGCCACCAAAAAAAAAAAAAAAAAAAAAAAAAAAAAAGAAAAAAATGTTGCCAGGTGCGGTGACTTATACCTGTAATCCCAGCACTTTGGGAGACCAAGGCTGGTGGATCACCTGAGGTCGGGAGTTCGAGACCAGCCTGACCAACATGGAAAAACCCCGTCTCTGCTAAAAATTCAAAATTAGCCAGGCTTGGTGGCACATGCCTATAATCCCAGCTACTCAGTAGGTCGAGGCAAGAGAATCGCTTGAACCCGGGGAGGCGGAGGTTGCAGTGAGCCAAAATCGTGCCATTGCACTCCAGCCTGGGCAACAAGAAGAAACTGTCTCAAAACAAACAAAAAAAAACATGATTAGTGTTTAATAAAAATTTGTACTGTTCTTTTTCCCCCTTACCGTCCATTTGTTTGCTCATCCAGTAAACACAGACAGCAACAAAGTCTCCCCATGAGAAGCAACTTTGCCAACTAGTGTTGTCTTTATAGTACAGTTCGTTTTGTTTGTGGTTTTACAGCGTAGAGCTTGCACTGCTGCTTTGTTGAATTTGGAATTCTGTATCACAAGGAAATAATGGAGACTCTATAGTGAAAAACTATGCATACCATGAGATTTTGTTTTTTTTTGGAGAAGGAGTCACTCTGTTGCCCAAGCTGGAATGCAGTAGTGCAGTCTTCAGCACAGTGCAACATCCACCTCCTGGGTTTAAGCAATTCTCCTGCCTCAGCCTCCCAAGTAGCTGGGATTACAGGCATGTGCCACCATGCCTGGCTAATTTTTTATATTTTTAGTAGAGACGGGGTTTCACCACGTTGGCCAGGTTGGTCTCCAACTCCTGACTTCGTGATCCACCCACCTCAGCCTCCCGAAGTGCTGGGATTACAGGTGTGAGCCACCGTGCCTGGCCGAGATTCTATTTTAAGTTAGAATTTTTAAAAAGCAAAATCAGAGCAATGACATGGTCATATATGAGCTACACCGAAGCACCTAAAATATTGTAGATTGGTAGGAGAAATCCTCTGGCAAGTAATACTCAGCAGGCAGTGATCCACGCAGGTCAACAAGTAACAAGACAGGCTAGGCACAGTGGTTCACACCTGTAATCCTAGCACTTTGGGAGGCTGAGGCAGGAATATTACTTGCGCCTGGGAGTTTGAGATCAGCCTGGGCAACATAGTGAGACCCTGTCTTCAAAAAAAATCCCACAAAAATTGGCCTGGTTTGGTGGTGTGCACCTGTAGTCCCAGCTACTGAGGAGGCTGAGGCTGGAGGATCGCTTGAACCTGGGAGCTTGAGGCTGCAGTGAGCTATCATCATGCTGCTGTATTCCAGCCTGGGCAACAGAGCAACACTCATGCTTGAGGAAAAAGAAAAAGAAAAAAAAAAAAGCCGGGTACAGTGGCTCATGCCTGTAATCCCAGCACTCTGGGAGGCTGAGGTGGGTGGATCACTTGAGGTCAGGAGTTTGAGACCAGACTGGCCAACATGGTGAAACCTCATCTCTATTAAAAATACAAAAAAATTTAGCCGGGTGTGGTGGGGGATGCTTGTAATCCCAGCTACTCAGGAGGCTGAGACAGGAGAATCGCTTGAACCTGCCAGGTTGTAGTAAGCTGAGATCGTGCCAGTGTACTCCAGCGTGGGCAACAGAGTGAAACTCAGTCTAAAAAAAAAAAAAAAAAAAAAGAAAAGAAAAAAGAAAGGAAATACCAAGGCAAGGCAAAGATTGACAAGGCAATAGAAATCAATGCAATTAAACACTGTCACTTCCCCCACCCCCCAGGTTCTACCCAGTAAGATATCTTTTCTCTAACTTGTCAAAGCCCATTATTAAGTAACAGCTTCATTTGTGAATGCTCTCACCTTTATTTCTCTCAATATACCCGTGATACAGATATTTCATATGTAACAAAGATAAGGATGTGTGCAGGTATAAAACAGAGGCAGAATCATGGCTAAAACATCTAGCCCAGCAATGAACTCATTATCCCTGAGGGGTAGGGGCCGGGGAGGAGAGGAGTCACAGGCAGTTCACCAACACCTGGAAAATCGATGACTTCATGGAGAATGAATGACTCGGGGGGATTCAGATCATGAAGTCATGAGAAGAAGGCCTTTCTGCCCAGGGATGATGTTTCTCAGTATCAATAATCAGTTGTGGGTTTTTTTCTTCTATTTCTTCCAGCAGCTTATTGAGTTCATCATTAAAGTCATCGATTTTCAACCTGGGGTACAATGGGGGAAGAAAAGGTTACTTTGTGCATCAAGGAGATTTGTTTCAAATTCCCAAGTACCTGAAAGTCTGTTAAGGAGGCACAGGGCATGGGTCACCTTTCCTGATTATTCTAGGTGGCAAAGGAGTGTTCCACATTGATTTTTTTTTTTTTTTTTTAAAAGACAGTCTCAGGTGGGGCGTGATGGCTCACGCCTGTAATTCCCAGCACTTTAGGAGGCTGAGGCGGGTGGATCACGAGGTCAGCAGATCAAGACCATCCTGGCTAACACGGTGAAACCCTGTCTCTACTAAAAAAATACAAAAAATTAGCCGGGCGTGGTGGCGGACGCCTGTAGTCCCAGCTACTCAGGAGGCTGAGGCAGGAGAATGGTGTGAACCCGGGAGGCGGAGCTTGCAGTGAGCCGAGATCGTGCCACTGTACTCCAGCCTGGGCGATCTCAAAAAAAAAAAAAAAAAAAAAAAAAAAAAAAAAAAAAAAGACAGTCTCTCTGTTGCCCAAGCTGGAGTGCAGTGGTACCATCTCAGCTCACTGCAACCTGTGCCTCTTGGGTTCAAGCCATCCTATCCTCTGCCTCCCGAGTAGCTGGGACTACAGGCACCTGCCACCATGCTCAGCTAATTTTTGTATTTTTAGTAGAGTTGGGGTTTTACCATGTTGCCTAAACTGTACCTGGCTTGATTTGCTTATTTTTTATTTTTAAATATAAAATGAGGCCAGATGTGGTGGGTCATGCCTGTAATGCCAGCACTTTGGGAGAGTGAGGTGGGCAGATCACTTGAGGTCAGGAGTTTGAGACCAGCCTAGGCAAGATGGTGAAAGTCCATCTCTACTAAAAATATAAAAGTTAGTTGGGTGTGATGGTGCATCCCTATAATCCCAGCTACTCAGGAAGCTGACACAGGAGAATCACTTGAACCTGGGAGGCGGAGGTTACAGTGAGCTGAGATCGGGCCCCTGCACTCCAGCCTGAGCAATAGAGTGAGATTTTTGTCTAAAAAATAAATGAAGTAAATAATAAAATGTAATATTAAAGACTTTCATTTCTCTTTTTAATCCTTTTTTTCATTCCTCTTATTCTCAACCATGTTGATCTGATAGAGAAAAACATAACATCAGGTTAACCTTGTAATGGTATATAGCCATTGTGCAGTTTGAGATGCTTGTTGATTATCATACACAGAAAATGGAATTGCTGAGTACAGCTGGGCTATAGCTCTAATACCTGCTTACCCGCTCTATCACCCACTTTGGCAACTTCTACTCAGTGGACCCCGGAGTACCAGTTAAACAGAGGAGATGCAGGCCAGGCATGGTGGCTCACGCCTGTAATCTTAGCACTTTGGGAGGCTGAGGCAGGCGGGTCACCTGAAGTCAGGAGTTCGAGACCAGCCTGACCAATATGGAGAAACCCTGTCTCTATTAAAAATACAAGATTAGCCAGGTGTGGTGGCACATGCCTGTAGTCCCAGCTACTTGGGAGGCTGAGGGAGGAGAACCTCTTGAACCCGGGAGGCGGAGGTTGCAGTAAGCCGAGATAGCGCCATTGCGCTCCAGGCTGGACAACAAGAGTAAAACTCTGGCCGGGCGGGGAGGTGGGGGGGTCAGCCCCCCGCCCAGCCAGCCGCCCTGTCCGGGAGGTGAGGGGCGCCTCTGCCCGGCCGCCCCTAATGGGAAGTGAGGAGCCCCTCTAACCGGCCAGCCGCCCTGTCCGGGAGGGAGGTGGGGGGGTCAGCCCCCCATTTTGTTCTGTACTAAGAAAAATTCTTCTGCCTTGGGATCCTGTTGATCTGTGACCTTACCCCCAACCCCGTGCTCTCTGAAACATGTGCTGTGTCCACTCAGAGTTAAACGGATTAAGGGCGGTGCAAGATATGCTTTGTTAAACAGATCCTGAAGGCAGCACGCTCGTTAAGAGTCATCACCACTCCCTAATCTCAAGTACCCAGGGACACAAACGCTGCGGAAGGCCGCAGGGTCCTCTGCCTAGGAAAACCAGAGACCTTTGTTCACTTGTTTATCTGCTGACCTTCCCTCCACTATTGTCCTATGACCCTGCCAAATCCCCCTCTGTGAGAAACACCCAAGAATGATCAATAAAAAAAAAAAAAAAAAAAAAGGAAAAAAAAAAAAAAAAAAGAAAAAAGATGCACCCCAAAAAAAAGAGTAAAACTGTCTCCAAAATAAATAATAAATAAACAAACAAACAAACTTAAAGCTTAAAAAAACCCTTAGTGTCCATATGTCTTTTGACTTACAAAGTATCTTAGGCTGAGTTTCATGTTAAATAAACAAGTAATCTATGTTTCTTCTACATAAAGATTATTTTAAGCCAGCAGTAGAGTATATTGCTTGTGAGAATTTCTGAAGTTCCCACATTCCTAGGAAGGGGCTTCTTGGTTCTTTGATGCCATGGTATCAAAATACAACTCAGGCCGGGTGCGGTGGCTCATGCCTGTAATCCCAGCACTTTGGGATGCTGAGGTGGGCAAATCACGGAGGTCAGGAGTTTGAGACCACCCTGGCCAACATGGCAAAACCCTGTCTCTACTAAAAATACAAAAATTACCTAGGTGTGGTGGTGCATGCCTGTAATCCCAGCTACTTGGGAGGCTGAAGCATGAGAATAGCTGGAACCTGGGAGGTGGAGGTTGCAGTTAGCAACCACTGCACCCCAGCCTGGGCAACAGAGTGAGACTCCATCTCAGAAAAAAAAAAAAAAAAAGAAAGAAAAAACAAAACAAAACCCCAAAACCCTGACAAAATGCAACAAACAAAACACAGCCCAGTGACAAATGGCTATCATGAGCAGGTAGACGGCAGCCGTGGCTGGGTGCAATGGTTCATGCTTATAAACCTACCTACTCAGGAACTGAGGCAGGATTGCTTGAGCCCAGGAGCTGGAGCGAGCCTGCAGCGAGCCATCATTGTGCTGCTGGACTCCAGCCTGGGGAACATAGTGAGTTCTTGCCTCAAAGGAAAAAAAAAAAAAAGGTGGCCGGGTGCGGTTGCTCACGCCTGTAATCCCAGCACTTTGGGAGGCCGAGGCGGGCGGATCACCTGAGGTCAGGAGTTTGAGACCAGCCTGACCAACATGGTGAAACCCCGTTTCTCCAAGTGAAATACAGAAATTGGCTGGGTGTGATGGCGGGAACCTGTAATCCAGCTACCAGATCAGTCTCCTACAGCAGGTCCATGTCATTATGCTTCCCCTAAACCTACCACTCTGGAGAAAGCCTGATGGGGAAGTAAATGGATCATACCTGAGTGTCCGGAGGGTGCCACTGGAACATGTCAAGGTTTCAAACAGCATCTTCACTCCACTAGACCCCAAGGGATTCTGACCCAGGTCCAGAGTGACGAGGCTCTGGTTGCAGCTGAGGGCAGAGCAGAGGTCTTCACAACTGAACGGAGGGATGGAACATCCCCACAACCTGGGGAAACACAGAAATCAACACGTTAATGCAGCCAGTGCTGATCGATGCCCTCCGGCAAGCCAAGCCCACCCTCGTGTGTTGGGGATCTGCATGACCAACAGAAGTCTCAGGCCGGGCACGGTGGTTCACGCCTGTAATCCCAGCACTTTGGGAGGCCGAGGTGGATGGATCACCTGAGGTCAAGGAGTTCAAGACCAACCTAACATGGTAAAACCGTGTCTCTACTAAATATACAGAAGTTAGCTGGGCGTGGTGACAGGCACCTGTAATCCCAGCTACTCAGGAGGCTGGGGCAGGAGAATCGCTTGAACCCAGGAGGCGGAGGTTGCAGTGAGCCGAGATCGCGCCATTGCACTCCAGCCTGGGTGACAGAGTGAGACTCCGGTCTCAAAAAACAAACAAAACGTCTCCGCCCTCAGGGCTCATCTGCTAACAGGAAAATATGGAGGCGATGAGGGGTTCTGAAGGGCAAGGGGTACAGGGAATAACTGGGGGTTCTGGCTACAATGGTTGGAGGTGAGGGGGTGAAGAGACCGAGTCATAGAGCTCGGGGGGGAGTTCTCCAGGCAGAGAAATAGCTTGTGCAGAGGCCCTGAAGATACATGTGACTGACACGTAAAATAGAACATCCAGGCAGCGGGCATGAGTGAGACAGGGAGGATTGTCAAGATGAGGTCATAGGTAAGCAGTGGCCAGCTCACAGAAGACCCTGAAGCCATCGTCAATATAGGATTTTACCTGGATTGACATAGGGAAGCACTGAGGCTTTTGAGCAGAGAGGTTAAATAACTTCCATCTTTGAAGTTATTCTTTGAGACAGTCTTGCTCTCTCGCCAGGGCTGGAGTGCTGTGGCATGATCTCGGCTCACTGTAGCCTCTGCCTCCTGGATTCAAGCAGTTCTCGTGCCTCCAAGTAGATGAGATTATAGCTATGTGCCACCATGCCTGCCTGATTTTTGTGGTTTTAGAGAGACAGGGTTTCACCTGTCTCTTTAGTAGAGACAGGCTGGTCTACGAACTCCTGACCTTAGGTGATCCACCTGCCTCGGCCTCCCAAAGTGCTGGAATTACAGGCATGAGCCACTGCACCCTGCCACTTTATTTTTTGAAACACGGTCTCACTCGGTTGCCCAGGCTGGAGTGTGGTAACGCCATCTTGGCTCACTGCAGCCTTGACCTCCTGGGCCAACCAGCAACTCAAACTTTTTGCTCCTCTACACGTGTCAGTGAGTGATTAAAAAGGCGCCTTTGTTTTTTTTGTTTTTTTTTTTTTTTTGAGACAGGATCTCACTGTCACCCAGGCTGGAGTGAGGTGACGTGATCTCAATTCGCTGTAACTTCTTCCTCCCAGGCTCAAGTGATCCTCCCACCTCAGCCTCCTGAGTAACTGGGAGCAGAGGTACACAGCCATGCTCAGCGGATTTTTGTACTTTCAGTAGAGACAGGGCTTCATTGTGTTGGCCAGGCTGTTTTTAAATTCTTGGCCTCAAGCAATCTACCTGCCTTGGACTCCCAAAATGCCAGGATTACAGGCATGAGCCACCTTGCCCATCCCGAGTCAAATTCTTTTAAGATTGCCTCCCAGATAGGATTCCAGGTTCAAGTGCATCTGATTGTAGCTAACTCACAAGGTATTTGTAAGATAGCCAAGTTGAGACCACTCACCTGCTGATAGAGCCAGCATTTTCTGGCACGATATCTAATTCCTACCTCTTTTTTATTTTTTCCTGAGATGGAGTCTTGCTCTTGTAGCCCAGGATGGAGTGTAGTGACAGGATCTCAGCTCACTGCAACCTCTGCCTCCAGGGTTCAAGTGATTCTCCTGCCTCAGCCTCCCAAGTAGCTGGGATTAAAGGCACCTACTGGCTGGGCACGGTGGCTCTCACCTGAGGTCCGGAGGTCGAGACCAGCCTGACCAACATGGAGAAACCCCGTCTATACTAAAAATACAAAATTAGCCAGGCATGGTGGCACATGCCTGTTTATTTGCAGCTATGTGGGAGGCTAAGGCAGGAGAATCACTTGAACCCAGGAGGTGGAGGTTGCAGTGAGCTGAGATCGCGCCATTACACTACAGCCTGGGCAACAAGAGTGAAACTATCTCAAAAAAAAAAAAAAAAAAAAAAGAGGCACCCACTACTATGCTCGGCTAATTTTTATATTTTAGTAGAGATGGAGTTTCAAGTTGGCCAGGCTGGTCTTGAGCTCCTGACCTTAAGTGATCCGCCCGCTTCGGCCTCCCGAAGTGCTGGGATTACAGGTATGAGCCACTGTGCCTGGCCCAATTCCCACCTCTCTGAATGTGGGGTGCTGGGCAGTGGCTTTTGGCTGAATGGCTTGAGGCACTGTATCCTTAAAATTTCACAGGTGTTCTTTGCATGACACAGACTAGAACTTAGACATAGGGCCTGGCGCAGTGGCTCACGCCTGTAATCCCAGCACTTTGGGAGGCCGAGATGGGCGGATCACCTGAGGTCAGGAGTTTGAGATGAACCTTCAACATGGCGAAACCCTGTCTCTACTAAAAATACAAGAATTAGCTGGGCATGGTGGCGGGCGCCTGTAATCCCAGCTACTCGGGAAGCTGAAGCAAGAGAATTGCTTGAACCTGGGAGGCGGAGGTTGCAGTGAGCCAAGATCACGCCACTGCACTCCAGCCTATGTGACAAGAGCAAAACTTCAAGAAAAAAAAAAACAAAAACTTAGACATAGACTAGAACTTATTCCTTTAACCATCCTAGTAAATGCTCGATCGACTCTATAAAGGTCCTCTCAATTATATAACTTGGGAAGTCGGCTTCACTGATTATTTTACACTAGCCACAGATTCAGTAAGGTGTAAGTATAGGAAGTTGAACTTATAAGTTAACTCACCACAGACATCTCAAGTTGCACAGTGGTTTCCTCAAAGCCTCACACAGGAACTTCATTCCCTTAACTCCTATGTGATTCAGCCCCAGATCCAAACACAACAGGCTTGATTTTTCTTGGAGAAGCTTTGTGAGATCGCAGCAGCCATCGCTAGTTATGTCGCAGTTCCAAAGCCTAGAAATCAACCACAGGAAGAAAGCAAACCCGAACCTGTGAGTTCTCACTGCTGTGATGCACCTTTGACTCTTGAGCCGTGGGTTAGACACACTTAGAGACAGTGGTGACATGGAAATGGAATCATGGGGTGGTGTGGTGGACAGAAGAATGGCCTCCCCTAAAGATGTCCAAGTCCCAACTCCTGGCACCTGCGAGCAAAAGGGACCTCGTAGAGGTGACTGAGCATCTTAAGATGGTTTATATCCTGGTTTATTTGGGTAGGTCCAGCAATCACAGGGATCCTCATAAGAGGGAGCTGAGAGTCAAAGCCAGCAGGAGGTGACGTGATAAGGGAGCCAGGGCAACGTTTGAAGATGCTCTGCCGAAGTTGGAGGAAGGGCCACAAGCCAAGGAATGCAGGTGGCCAACAGAAGTTGGAGAAGTAAAAAGGATTCTCAGCTGGCACGGTGGCTCACTTCAACCTCCGCCTCCTGGTTTCACGCGATTCTTGTGCCCCAGCCTTCCGAGTAGCTGGGATTACAGGGGGGTGTGTGTGTGTACACACATGCGCGTGCCACCACACCCAGCTAAGTTTTGTATTTTTAGTAGAGACAGGGTTTCCCCATGTTGGCCAGGCTGGTCTTGAACTCCCGACCTCAGATGATCTGCCCACCCTGGCCTCCCTAACATGCTGGGATTACGATTGTATTTGCTAAATTCAGTTGCTAGAGAGGTAGTGTCTTACAGGCAGAAGACACCAGCTCACACTCCAACATATCTGGTACTAGGATCCTAGATATTAACCAACACAGATTATCAGAGATATTTCACCTTAGCTCTGTTTTCTTTCTTCTGTCTCAATAGAGTTCTAAACTTAATTATAATTTGAACTATAATGCCCATGTATCTCTGGGTCCCAAGTGAAGCATACCACTAGCTGAGGGACACAGGACCTGGAAGGGCCTTGGAAATAGATGGCAGATTGGAGTCCATGACGATGGAGAAGTGAAAACACACCCCCAAATCTTGAAACTTTATGAATGTATAGAAACTTTTTTTTTTTTTTTTTTGAGACAGTCTCGCTCTGACACCCAGGCTGGAGTACAGTGGCACAATCTCAGCTCACTGCAACTTCCGCCTCCCAGGTTCAAGCAATTCTCTGCCTCACCCTCCCAAGTAAGCTGGGATTACAGGCTCCGACACCACGCCTGGCTAATTTTTGTATTTTTAGTAAAGACAGGGTTTCACCATGTTGGCCAGGCTGGTCTTGAACTCCTGACCTCATGATCCACCTGCCTCGGCCTCTCAAAGACCCTACCCGGCCTTCTAGAAACTTCCATGACTGTAATGGAGGAAAACCCACATAAGACTAAAGGGAAGTTGACAACTTAGCAAAATAGGGGCATGGATCAAAAAGTTGAATTGAGGGGGCCGGCACGGTGGCTCACACCTGTAATCCCAGCACTTTGGGAGGCTGAGGTGGGTGGATCACCTGAGGTCAGGAATTCGAGACCAGCTTGACCAACATGGTGAAAACTCGTCTCTACTAAAAATAAAGAAGTTAGCTGGGCGTGGTGGCATGCACCTTAATCCCTGGGAGGCTGAGGCAGGAGAATCACACCTGAACTCAGGAGGTGGAGGTTGCAGTGAGCTGAGATGGAGCCACTGCATTCCAGCCTGGGCGACAGAGCAAGACTATCAAAAAAAAAAAACCAAAAAAAAAAAAAAAAGAAAACCCCCCCCCCCCCAAAAAAATACCACACACACCACACACCACACACACACACAACCAAAAAAACTAGACATTCATTTGAAGATACAGTTAGTGAGTCGGTGACATCTCACTGCTTGTGGGACTTCTTTTTTAATGTTTCAGGGCCTAGATATAGTGGGTGTGGGAAGAATCCTTTCCTTCTACTCATCGTCTCCAGCCATGAACTGAATATGTCATTAAATTTAAGTGGGTAGTTTTCAGATGCCAGGTACATATCCTAGATTAGTTACTTCATAGGAAGAGGACAGTTCCTAACTGTTGGAGGTGATGTTAGAGACAAAGAATACCAGAGATATGTATGGCTGGACGCAGTGGCTCATGCCTGTAAATCCTAGCACTTTGGAAGGCTGAGGCGGGCGGATCATGAGGTCAGTTCGAGACCAACCTGGCCAACATGGTGAAATCCCATCTCTACTAAAAATATAAAAATTAGCCCGGCGTGGTGGTGAGTGCCTGTAATCCCAGCTACTCAGGAGGCTGAGGCAGGAGAATCAACCTCCTTGAAGCCGGAGGTTGCAGTGAGCCTAGATCATGCCATTGCCAGCGTGGGCAAGAGTAAAACTCCATCTTAAAAAAAAAAAAAAAAAATACCAGAGATGTTAACATAAAATCGAATCTCTGAACAGAAACCATCAGTGCAGATACAATTTTTTTTTTTTTTTGAGACAATCTCGTTCTGTCACCCAGGCTGGCACGATCTCGGCTCACTGCAACCTCCCGACTTCAAGCGATTCTCCTGCCTCAGCCTCCCAAGTAGCTGGGATTACAGGACCATACCACCACGCCTAGCTAATTTTTGTATTTTTAGTAGAGACAGGGTTTCACTGCATCAGCCAGGCTGGTCTCAAACTCCTGACCTCAGGTGTTCTGCCCGCCTCCTAAAGTGCTGAGATTACAGGCATGAGCCACCATGCCAGGCCCCAATTCCTTTCTAAAGATTTGTCCTATAATTTTTTTTTTTTGAGAGAGTCTTGCTCTATTGGCCAGACTGGACTTCAGTGGTGCCATCTCAGCTCACTGCAACCTCCACCTCCGAAGTTCAAGTGATTCTCCTGCCTTAGCCTCCTGAGTAACTGGGATTACAGGCATGTCCCACCATGCGTGACTAATTTTTGTATTTTTAGTAGAGAGACAATGTTTCACCATGTTGGGCAGGCTGGTCTTGAACTCCTGCCCTCAAGGGATCTGCCTTGCTTCGGCCTCCCAAGGTGATGGGATTATAGGCGTGAGCCACTATGCCAGGCCACGTGTCCTGTGATTTTAGTATTAAAAGGAGGATCACATTGAGCATGTAGCTTCCAATAGCTTCCATTGGGAGTCTGAGCGTACACTGGCCCAGAAGACTACCTGATTTGCAAATCATTCATTAAAAAATAAGTAAATGAATTCCATTTACAACCAATTGCATGCAATTTATGTTACAGTTATAGTTCTAAGAACACAGATTAAGAGAAAACACAGCATGGGGTGACATGGCTCATGCCTGTAATTCTAGCACTTTGGGAGGCCAAGGCAGGCAGATCTCTTGAGCTCAGGAGTTTGAGACCAGCCTAGGCAACACGGCGAGATCCCATCTCTAAAATACATACATACATAAAGAGGAAAAAAAAAACCCGAAAACCAGCTACATTCCCCAAATCCCTATAGAATATTACTACTACTCTACTACTACTTATACTTTTTTCCTACCATCATCTACCCAGGTCTTACCAGTTGTCATTAGCATCATGCTTGGAACTTTTAGAGGAATTAAGTGTTCTCATAACCACCCTACTCAAACCCGGAGGTGGGGGGCGTGTGCATATACACCCACGCACACAGGCAGCCAGCACGGACTTACACCAAGGTCTGCAGTTTACACTCGGGGTACCTCAAGCCCTCACACAGAAACTTCACCCCTGTATTCCCAATGGGGTTCTTGGCCAAGCACAGGTGTGTCAGCTCCCGGCTGACAACCAACACAGCAGCAAGGTCCTTGCAATTGGCTTCTGTAAGGTGACAGTTTTCCAACCTACAAAAGAATCACAAATGGCAACACGGTTGACAGGTCCAACTTCAACCTTCCCGGCTAGCTCCACAAGTGCCAGCATCCAAAAGCCCCTTCTTGTGAACTCCCCACCTTCTATCATGCACTGGTGATCCTATGAAGGAATAGGAATGAGAGAAGAACAAAATTCACAGGCCATCGGCCTGGATCTAAACATGGGAACAGGTGTTCACATCAGCGAGAGGTTCCATACAGCCAAGTCAGGCATGACCATTGCTCGTCTGTGGCCCCAGATCGAAAGCACAGCTGCTCTGTAAGAGAGGAGAGACTTACGACAACCTCTGCAGAAAGCACTTGGGGTGTCTCAAAGTTGTGTACAGCAACTTAGCACCCTCATCCAGAAGCTCATTGTCGGAGAGGTTTACGCACGTCAGGGACTGGTTGACTTCAAGGGCCAAGGAGAGATCAGCCCACTGCTGAGTGGTAGCGGAACAAGACACCAACCTGTGGGAGAAATAGGACCACGTCATTTTTTTTTTTTTTTTGAGACTGAGTCTCACTCTTGTTGCCCAGGTGGCGCAATCTCGGCTCACAGCAACCTCCGCCTCCTGGGTTCAAGTGATTCTCCTGCCTCAGCCTCCCGAGTAGCTGGGACTGCAGGCATGCACCATGCACCAACATGCCCAGCTAATTTTGTATTTTCAGTAGAGGTGGGGGTCTCTCCATGTTGGTCAGGCTGGTCTCAAACTCCCAATCTCAGGTGATCTGCCCACCTCGGCCTCCCAGAGTGCTGGGATGACAGGCGTGAGCCACCGCGCCCGGCAGAACAAGTCATTCTTGAGAATCTAACCGTGGAATCGTCTTTGGTTTACATCTCACTGGTTGTGTTATACCCCGACTTGAATTATCTGGAGCAGCAGTTGTCAAAGGGTGGTCAGACCAGTGGCACCAACATCGCCCAGGAATCAGCTGGAAATACAGAACTTAGTCAATCTGACTCTAATGTTGGATGCAGACTCCGCTAACCTATGTTTCATTGTTTGGTTTTTTGAAAGGGAGTTATTTATGCTCTGTCGCCCTGGCTGGAGTGTAGTGGCGCGATCTCAGCTCACAGCAACCTCTGCCTCCCAGATTCAAGAGATTCTCCCGCCTCAGCCTCCTGAGTAGCTGGGATTACAGGCAAATGCCATCTTGCCTGGCTAATTTTTGTATTTTTTAGTAGAGATGGGGTTTTACCATGTTGGCCAGGCTGGTCTCAAACTCCTAACTTTGGCCGGGGCAATGGCTCATGCCTGTAATCCCAGCACTTTGGGAGGCCGAGGTGGGCAGATCAGGAGGTCAGGAGTTTGAGACCATCCTGGCCAACATGGTGAAACCCCGGCTCTACTAAACATACAAAAGTTAGATGGGCGTGGCGACACGTGCCTGTAGTCCCAGCTACTCAGGAGGCTGAGGCAAGAGAATCACTTGAACCCAGGAGGCGGAGGTTGCAGTAAGCCGAGATCACTCCACTGCACTCTAGCCTGGGCGACAGAGCAAGACTCCGTCTCAAAACAAAAAACTCCTGACTTCAAGCGATACACCAGCCTAGGCCTCCCAAAGTACTGGGATTACAGGCAGGAGCCACCATACCCAGCCCACTAACCTATGTTTCAAGGTGCCCTGTTCATCCGGAAAATGTGTTAGAATAAATTCATAAGAAATGAGTGGCTGGGCACAGTGGCTCATGCCTGTAATCCCAGGACTTTGGCAGGCCAAGGCAGGTGGATCATGAGGCCAGGAGTTTAAGACCAGCCGGAACAACATGATGAAACCCCATTTCTCCTAAAAATACAAGAATTAGCTGGGCGTGGTGGCACATGGCTGTAATCCCAGCATTTTGGAAGATGGATGTCACTTGAGGTCAGGAGTTCGAGACCAGCCCAGCCAACACGGTGAAACCCCGGCTCTACTAAATATACCAAAAATTAGCTGGGTGTGGTGGATTGCCCGAGGTCAGGAGTTTGAGACCACCCTGGCCACCAGCATGGCGTAACCCTGTCTCTACTAGAAATACAAAATACTAGAAATACAAAAATACAGGTGGGTGCCTGTAATCCCAGCTACTTGGGAGGTTGACGGAGAAGAATCACTTGAACCCGGGAGGCAGAGGTTGCAGTGAACCAAGATTGTGGCACTGCACTCCAGCCTAGGAGACAGAGCAAGACTATATCTTGAGAAAAAAAGAAAGAAATTAGTGACCCAAATCTTTAATTCACCCAATATTCCCCCTCACCCTGCATCCCATTATTCTCAGGCAAAAAGAAAAGAGGGTAATTGCAACGGTTAGTAATGATAGCAGCCACTATTGAATGCATGGGCTTGGTTTCATTCAACCTTCCAATACCTGTAAGATGTACAGCATCCTATTCAACTAAGATCCCATTAAGCAGCCTAAGATTGTATCAGTAGAGCCAGAGCAATCAATTTTTTTTCTGTCCTCGAGATGGAGTTTTGCTCTGTTGCCCAGGCTGGAGTGCAATGGCGTGATCTTGGCTCACTGCTACCTCTGCCTCCTAGGTTCAAGCAATTCTCTTGCATCAGCCTCCATGAGTAGCTGGGATTACAGGCACGCGCCACCATGCCCAGCTAATGTTTTTGTATTTTTAGTAGACGTGGGGTTTCACCATGTTGGCCAGGCTGGTCTTGAACTCCTGACCTTGTGATCCACCTGCCTTGGCCTCCCAAAGTGCTGGGATTACAGGCATGAGCTACCGCACCCAGCCAAGATTTTTTTTTTTTTTTTTGAGACAGTCTCACACTGTTGCCCAGACTGGAGTGCGGTGGTGTGATCTCAGCTCACTGCAACCTCCGCCTCTCAGGTTCAAATGATGCTCCTGCCTCAGCCTCCTGAGTAGCTGGGACTACAGGCGTGCGCCAACATGCCCAGCTAATTTTTGTATTATTAGTAGAGACAGAGTTTCACCATGTTGACCAGGCCGGTCTTGAACTCCTGACCTCAAGTGATCCACCCACCTCGGCCTCCCAGGCGTGAGCCACTGCGCCTGGCCCAGGGCAATAATTTGAGGCCAATGACCACCTACTACACCAGTGTGGCCAAGTGAGGCTTCATGGAACCCCATGATGCATGTAGGTTCTCATCGCCTGGGCAGCCACTGGACAGCTTCCCAAGGGGAGAGCTCTCAAACCAGAGGACTAACAGAAAAGGGGCAACTTGATGTTCCTGAAGGGTTCTTGCTTGAAAAATGTCAATAGCTGGTATTCTGAATCATCATACAGGAGAAGCATGAACCATGAGTGAATGATCTCTGATAGAAGATAAAGATTCTGGGCTGGGCACGGTGGCTCATGCCTCACTTTGGGAGGCCGACGGCGGGGTGGGGTGGGGGTGGGGGGGTAGATCACCTGAGGTCATGAGTTCGAGACCAGCCTGGCCAATGTGGTAAAACTCCATCTCTACTAATAATACAAAAATTAACCAGGTGTGGTGGTGTGCACCTGTAATCCCAGCTACTCAGGAGGCTGAGGCAGGAGAATCACTTGAACCTGGGAGGTGGAGGCTGCAGTGACCTGAGATCATACCAACGCACTCCAGCCTGGGTGACAGAGCGAGACTCCATCTCAAAAAGAAAAAAGAAAAAGAAAAAACCAAAACCAAAACCAAAACATAAGGACTCTGGCTGGGCATGGTGGCTCATGCCTATAATCCCAGCACTTTGGGAGCCTGAGGAGGGCAGGTCACCTGAGGTCATGAGTTCGAGACCAGCCTGGCAATGTGGCGAAACCAGCTCCACTAAATGCACAAAAATTAGCCGGGCGTGGTGGCGGGTGCCTGTAATCCCAGCAACTTGGGAGGCTGAGGCAGCAGAATTACTTGAACCCAGGAGACAGAGGTTGCAGTGAGCCAAGATCGTGCCATTGCACTTTGGCCTGGGCAACAGAGCAAGACTTCATAAAAAAAAAAAAAAAGATGATAAAGATTCTGGGAGTTTCTTTGGATTCAGGGTCCTCACGTATGGTTGTCCAGGGTGTTTACTGTTCAAGGCAAGTAGAAACTCAAGTTCAGCCCATGCTGCATCCTGGGTCATCTGCCCTTAGTACTGTTTCTAGTCAGAATAACGAACTTTTTCTTATTTACACAAAATTGCCACATAAGCTTGTGGTAGCTTATGTTTGTATGATGAAGGATTTTAATGATTAAGAGATATACCCGAGATATCGCAGGTTACATTCTGGATGTCTCAAGACCTCACACAATGCGGGAAACATATCATCCTGGTCATTGCCTTGAAGGGTCAGATACGTTACAGTCTTGTGACCTCGAAGAGCTAGGCAGAGGTTCCGATGAGCATCAGCTGGGGAAATGTTTTTGAACCTAGGGAAAAGAGAACGAAAGTGAAATCTTTAGTGTGTACACCTGTATCGTACTTAAATGGAAACCAGGGGCTCGATATATTTAAACTTTAGGAACTATTTTTTCCATGTTTAAATTTTTGTCCATCTTTACAGATTTTTTTTTTCTTTGAGATGGAGTCTCACTCTGTTGCCCAGGCTGGAGTGCAGTGGCGCGATCTCGGCTCACTGCAAAGCAAACTCTGCCTCCCGGATTCAAGCGACTCCTACCCTCAGCATCCGGAGTAGCTGGGATTATAGGCACCTGCCACGACACCTGGCAAATTTTTGTATTTTTCGTAGAGACAGGGTCTTGCACCATCTTGGCCAGGCTGGTCTTGAACTCCTGACCTCAAGTGATCCCCCCACCTTGGGCCCCCAAAGTGCTGGGACTACAGGCGTGAGCCATTGTGCCCGGCCCTTTTTTTCTTTTTCTTTTTTTTTTTTTTTTTTTTTGAGACGCAGTCTCGCTCTGTCACTCAGACTGGAGTCCAGTGGCAGGATCTTGGTTCACTGCAACCTCCGCCTCCTGGGTTCAAGTAATTCTCCTGCCTCAGCCTCCCAAGTAGCTGATATTACAGGTGCCTGCCACCACGCCTGGATAATTTTTGTATTTTTAGTAGAGGCAGGGTTTTGTCACGTTGGCCAGGCTGGTCTCGAACTCCTGACCTCAAGTGATCTGTCTGCCTCGGCCTCCCGAAGTGTTGGAATTACAAGTGTGAACCACCATGCCCAGCCCCTAGAAATTACTTTATACGATTATCCCACAAAATAAATTTAAGGACAGGACTCTCTCAATTCCCTGTGTCTCGAGCACTTAAGAGTCTAGTACAGGAATCTGAATATTGCTCCGATGTTAACATTGTACCATTTTCATACCCTAAGGATTTGAGTTCATGAATTAGTTTCTACTTACACCACTCTCTGGAGATGACAGGTGTCAGAGGCTATTTGTTCACACAGGATCCTTACTAGGGAGGCACTGAGAAAGCTATCATTGATTGCTAGACCCATCAGATCCTTATTTGATCCAAATATGGAACAAAGGTCCGTCCAGAAAGGAAGCATGTGCTGATCATCCTGGGATCTATAGGGAAGAGAAGAAAGGGTTACACCAAATGTGTGTCCATCACGGCTGAAGTATTTAGGGTTTCTCTGGGCATATACCCCTGACAAATGAGTACAATTGAAAGCTGGACCATGTAATCACTTATTAGCACCACCATCAGACAACTCAACACCCAAGAAGCATCACAGGAGAAAGAACCTATTCTTCTTAGACAAAAATCCAATAGAGGGTAAAAATAAGTTAAAATGCTAAGCACATCATTGATAAAAGATAGAGAATATAGACCGGGCACGGTGACTCACGCCTATAATCCTAGCACTTTGTGAGGCTGAGGCGGGTGGATCACCTGAGGTCGGGAGTTCGAGACCTGCCTGGCCAACATGGTGAAACCCCGTCTCTACTAAAAGTACAAAAATTAGCTGGGCATGGTCGTGGGTGGCTGTAATCCCAGCTACTCATGAGGCTGAGGCAGGAGAATCATTGAACCTGGTGGGGCGGAGGTTGCAGTGAGCCGAGATCGAGCCACTTCACTCCGACCTGGGAAAAAGAGTGAAACTCCGTCTCAAAAAAAAAAAAAAAGATTGGGAATATACATATCTATACATATCAATAAGAAATATTCAGGCAGGGCGTGTGGTAACTCATGCCTGTAATCTCAGTGCTTTGGGAGTTCAAGACCAGCCTGGACAACATAGTGAGATTTTGTCTTTCCAAAAAAAAAAAAAAAAAAAAAAACACAAAAAAAAACCCCCACTTAAGTTAGCTGGACATGATGGTGCACACTTAATACCTGTCATCCCAGGTACTCAGGAACATCACTTGAACCCAGAAGTTTGAGGATGCAGTGAGCTGATTTCACCACTGTACTCCAGCCTGAGCAACACAGCAAGACCCTGTCTTAAAAAAATATATTTGGGCCGGGCATGGTGAATCATGCCTGTAATCCCACTTTGGAGGCTGAGGCAGGTGGATCACCTGAGGTCAGGCGGAGTTCAAGACCAGACTGGCCAACATGCTGAGATCCCGTCTCTAATGAAAATATAAAAATTAGCCGGGCAAGGTGGCAGGCGCCTGTAGTCCCAGCTACTCAGGAGGCTGAGGCAGAAGAATCACTTGAACCCGGGAGGCGGAGGTTGCAGGGAGCCAAGATCGCGCCACTGCGCTCCAGCCTGAGCGACAGAGCAAGACTCCATCTCAAAACAAAAACAAACAAAGAGTCCAACAAGAGGGAATTCCTGACCCTAAGCCACAGTGCATAGGAGGCTCTGGCCTCTTCCTAAGGGGGCATGGGATGAGGCTAAAGATGGAACGACTGGTAGAGTGAAACGGTTCTCACCTCTCAACCTCGGCGTCTGATTCAGACGCAGTGACATTCTCCGGGAGATTCTCCTTTATTACCTGCAGTGACATTTTCTGCAGGTTTCGACAGTGCTTGACGCAGAATGAAGATGGCACAACGTCTACTGCATTTAAGTGCAGGGATATTTCTTTGAACTGAGCCATCACCTCCTTCACCAGCTCCTCCTCCTGAGACTCGTACAGACAGCCGAGGAGCTCCTGCAGGTCTGTCACCGTTGAATGTCCACCCTTACAACTTATGTCGCATCGCAGCAATTCCTGTTTGATGTCCGGTGACATCCGGCAGCCAAAAGTGGCCTCCAACTCCTTGGCTCTCTTCTCGTTAGCGAGGCCAAAGGAGTAGTAGCCTGCTTGGATCAGGTCGGGGTTCCTGAGTCTTTCTACTCCGGAAAGCAGCTTCTGTACGTCCCCAATGTCCCAGGTGTGGCCGTCCCTATCCTCTTCCTCCTCCTTCTCCAGGGTGTAGAACAGGGCAGTGAGAAACTGCTGGAAGCTGAGGTGGATGAAGGAGTAGCAGCCTTTGGAGACTCTGTCCTGGCGGAGGATGTCTCCGTCCAGGAACAGACGGAGGTCGGACTCCTGCACCCCGAGCCTTTCCAGATCCTCTCGGTGAAGCACGGACGTCTGCGCCCACAGGCCCTGCGCGGCCAGGAGGCTCAGCGTCCGCAGCGCGCCCCGCAGCTGTGCGCCCTGCGGGAACCGGCTGCAGAGGAAACGCAGGAACAGCCCCGTGCGGGTGAGGCAGGTGGGGACCGGGTCCTCCCCCTTCTCCATCTGCAGCTTCAGAGTCGTGCACACGATCCAGCACACCGCGGGGGCCGAGCCCAGCTGGAACAGGGCCGCGTTGCTCCTCATTAGCTCAAAGGCACGCATGGCTTGGTCCTCGTCTCCAAAGTGTCTCAGGAAATAGGCCCTCCTGTCCTCCTCCAGGAAGCCCTCCACCCTTATGTAGATCGGCTCCTCCGCCAGGATCCGGAGGTCCCTCAGGGCCCTGGGCCGCGTGGTGACCAGCAGGGCGGCCTTGGGTAACATCACCCTGTTCAGCAAACTCCCCAGGAGGACGGGCACCGGCTTCTTCTTCTCCCAGTCCCCGCAGATGTCCTCGATCAGCGCCCCAGGTGCGGCTCCCAGCTCATCAAAGCCGTCAATCACGAACAAGATTTTCCGTGCTTGGGCTAGGATGTGTGGAATGTCATCCTGCAATTCAGGCCAGTCCCTGAAGACCAGCTCTGCAAAACTGCACGGGCCCAGGCGGCTGAGCTCCCTGCAGCTGAGGTAGAACGCATATTTGAATTTGTGGATGAGGTTGTCCTCTGCCCAGTCTAGCATTAGTTTCTGGGCCAGCGTGGTTTTCCCAAGGCCTGCAGGACCATACAGCACCACCGTGTATGAGAAGGGCCCGGGAAGCACCCTGGGGTTGCTGAATGGGATCAGCATCTTGTATCTCTCAGCCATAACCTGGACCTCTTTGCTATCTCCAGGCCAGCTCTTCCACATCTCCCGGAACTTCGTCTTCAATATATACCTGCACCTATTGTCTTTGTCTTTATCATTGGTGAGGAGGGAAGGGAGAGAGGATGCAATCAGTTACCCATAGGGAAAACCAAAATAACAAAATGCCTTGTGTTGGCCGGGCACAGTGGCTCATGCCTGTAATCCCAGCCCTTTGGGAGGTCGAGGCAGGCAGATCACCTGACATTGGGAGTTCAACACCAGCCTGACCAACATGAAGAAACCTTGTCTCTACTAAAAATAAAAAATTAGCCAGTCATGGTGGCGCATGCCTGTAATCCCAGCTACTCGGGAGGCTGAGGCAGGAGAATTGCTTGAACCTGGGAGGCGGAGGTTGCAGTGAGTCGAGATCACGCCACGGCACTCCAGCCTGGGCAACAAGAGCAAAACTCCGTCTCGATACATACATACATAAATAAATGCTTTGTGTTACATAGGAAAGTTAAGAGGACTTCAAGTTTATAAAGAGAAATCTGATCCCAAGCTCCCTGCAGGAAGATATGGTACAGACCTGGCTTTTTTCCTTTAAAGACTTCTTTACCCAGGCAGATGACATTTCC
Source organism: Homo sapiens (assembly GCF_000001405.40). Lineage (NCBI taxonomy): Eukaryota > Metazoa > Chordata > Mammalia > Primates > Hominidae > Homo > Homo sapiens. The sequence goes on along the minus strand of NT_187693.1, from coordinate 964,115 downwards.
TTTCGTTTCTGTAAACGCTACAAAATACAAACTCATGTGAGATTGACACAAAATCAGGTGTATTTCCTGTGGAGTCCCAATTAGAGAAAAGGAGGCAGGCTGATGGGGCGGGGGGGAGGGGGGGCACGGGATCAGATAAAGCAAATAAGCTACAAATGTGTTTTCCGGCCAGGTGTGGTGGCTCATGCCTATAATCCCAGAACTTTGGGAGGCTGAGGTGGGGTGGATCACTTGAGCTCAGGAGTTCGAGACCAGCCTGGCCAACACAGAAACCCCATCTCTACTAAAAATGCAAAAATTAGCCAGGCGTGGTGGCGCATGCCTGTAATCTCAGCTACTTGGGAGGCCAAGAGGCTCGAGAATTGCTTGAACCTGGGAGATGGAGGTTGTAGTAAGAGATCGCACTACTGCACTCCACCCTGGGCAACAGAGCAAGACTCCATCTCAATAAAATAAATAAATAAGCTTTCCTCCATGGTTCAGGGCATACAAACAAGAGGAAACAGGTCAGCTATAGGTCTGTTTGAGACAGTCTCACTCTGTTGCCCAGGCTGGAGTGCAGTGGCGCAATCTCAGCTCACTGCAACCTCCGCCTCCCGGGTTCAAGCGATTCTCCTGCCTCAGCTTCCCAAGTAACTGGAATTACAGGCATGTGCCACTGCGTCTAGGCTAATTTTTGTATTTTTAGTAGAGATGGGGTTTCGCCATGTTGGCCAGGCCAGTCTAAAACTGCTGACCTCAGATGATCCACCCACCTCAGCCTCCCAAAGTGCTGGGATTGCAGGCATGAACCACTGCACTGGGCCAGGTCTGCTTTTATGGTCCAGGAGATACGGCCCAAGATGTTTGGCCTTCCTGGCCAGATCACACACAGAGCTCACAAACTCCCTGTTTGCCATGAAACGCCTCAGTTTATCAAACACTTCTGCTGAAAGAAGACCGCAAGTTAAACCCCCTGTTGACATTATCAATCAGCCCAAGCCCTATTCTATAAAATCTGCAGGAAGCTTTGGTCTCCTGGCAGTGAGCTACTCATGACAACCTGCCCGCTGGGGTCTCTCTGCCAATGTCTTTTCCTACTTTCTCCAATAAATCTGCCTTCCTTTACCTACGATTGTCTTCATAAATTTCTTTACCCGCGGCTGGGCGCGGTGGCTCACGCCTGTAATCCCAGCACTTTGGGAGGCCAAGGCGGGTGGATCATAAGGTCAGGAGATCGAGACCATCCTGGCTAACACGGTGAAACCCTGTCTCTACTACAAATACAAAAAATTAGCCGGGCGTGTGGCGGGCGCCTGTAGTCCCAGCTACTGGGGAGGCTGAGGCAGAATGGCGTGAACCCGGGAGATGGAGCTTGCAGTGAGCCGAGATTGCGCCACTGCACTCCAGCTTGGGTGACAGAGCAAGACTGTCTCAAAAAAAAAAACAAAACAAAACATTTCTTTACCTGCCATGCCACCAGGCACTATTCACCCACATTTCCTGCTGAAGCATGATGATAGAGCAGGCACCACAGTACCCCAAGTCGCACCGAAATTCTTTGTCAAGATTGTGTGCTAGGCTGGGCACAGTGGCTCACGCCTGTCATCCCAGCACTTTGGGAGGCTGAGGCGGACGGATCACGAGGTTAGGAGATCCAGACCATCCTGACTAACACGGTGAAACCCTGTCTCTACTAAAATACAAAAAATTAGCTGGGCGTGGTGGCACACACCTGTACTCCCAGCTATTTGGGAGGCTGAGGCAGGAGAATCGCTTGAACCTGGGTAGCAGAGGTTGCAGTGGGCCAAGATTGCACCACTGCACTCCAGTCTGGGCAACAGAGTGAGACTCCATCTCAAGAAAAAAAAAGATTGTGTGCCAGGAATGACATTGGCCGTGTCTAGAGAGATGAACAGGGCAAACAATTCCTTCAACCAAGTTACTCACCTCTATTATACAGAGCCATAGCAAGAAATACTTGCTGTATCAAAAGTCAATGTGGGCTAGGTACGGTGGCTCATGCCTGTAATCCCAGCACTTTGGGAGGCCGAAGTGGGTGGATCACCTGAGGTCAGGAGTTCAAGACCAGCCTGCCCAACATGGTGAAACCCTGTCTACTAAAAATAAAACTAACAAATGCAAAAATTAGCCAGATGTGGTGGTGGGCGCCTATGATCCCAGCTACTCGGGAGGCTGAGGCAGAATCACTTGAACCTGGGAGGTGGAGGTTGTGGCGAGCCGAGATCACACCATTGCACTCTAGCCTGGGCGACAAGGGCAAAACTCTTTCTCAAGAAAAAACAAAAATGCTACCAGGAAGATAAGAGGGAATGTGGAGTAAGCAAGGCTGATCTGAAACTGATCACAGGCTAGGTGCGGTGGTTCACAGCTGTAATCCCAGCACTTTAGGAGACCGAGGTAGGTGGATCACTTGAGGTCAGGAGTTCTAGACCAACCTGGCTACCCTGTTGAAACCCCATCTGTACTAAAAACACAAAAGTTAGCCAGGCATAGTGGTGGGCACCTATAGTCCCAGCACCTGGGGAGGCTGTGGCAGGAAGACCCCTTGAACCCAGGAGGCAGAGATTGCAGTGAGCCAAGATGGGGCCACTGCACTCCAGCCTGCATGACAGAGTGAGACTCTATTTCAAAAACAAAAAAAACAGAAAAAACCTATCACAAAGTCAGCTCAGGCAAGTCACCTACCCAAAAGACTCAATTTTCTCTGTAAGTTGTTTATATTAAAGTTGTCTGAGCAATGTACCATAAATACATTTATGCCTGTCAATTTTTTTTTTTTTTTTTTAAGATGGAGTCTCGCACTGTTGCCAGGCTGGAGTGCAGTGGCACAATCTTGGCTCACTGCAACCTCCACCTCCCGGGTTCAAGCGATTCTCCTGCCTCAGCCTCCTGAGTAGCTGGGACTACAGGCGGGTGCCACCACACCCGGCTAATTTTTGTGTTTTTAGTAGAGTTGGGTTTCACCATGTTGGCCAGGATGGTCTCGATCTCTTGATCCACCCGCCTCAGCCTCCCAAAGTGCTGGGAGATTATAGGTGAGAGCCACCACACCTGGCCACCTGTCAACTTTTAAATAATTTAAAGAAGGCCGGGTACGGTGGCTCTCGCCTGTAATCCCAGCACTTCGGGAGACTTGGGGGTGGGTGGAGCAGATCTCTTGAGGTCAGGAGTTTGAGACCACCCTGAATGAGATGGTGAAACCTGTCTCTACTAAAAGTACAAAAAAAAATTAGCTGGGCGTGGTGGCATGCACCTGTAGTCCCAGCTACTCAGGAGGCTGAGACAGGACAATCACTTGAATCTGGGAGGCGGAGGTTGCAGTGAACAGGGATGGTGCCACTATACTCCAGCCTGGGTGACAAGAACAAGACTTCGTCTCAAAAAAAAAAAAAAAAATTAGCTGGGTGTGGTGGCAGGTGCCTATAATCCCAGCTACTCAGGAGGCTGAGTCAGGAGAATCAGGAGAATCGCTTGAACCTGGGAGGTGGAGGTTACAGTGAGCCGAGATCGCGCCATTGCATTCCAACCTGGCCAACAGAGAAACTGTCTCAAAACAAAAACAAAAACAAAAACTCTCTGCGCTGTGCTCCTAACTTTCTACAAACTGAGTTCTAATTCTCTGCAACGTTCGTTCTTCCCTCTATTCTTACGGAAGGGAGGTTGGCATTCTCCAGGAGACAGTGGGCACATTAAGAATAGTGGAGGAAAAGATTGGAGAGAGATGGGGTTCTTCAAAGGAACAGGAGATAGCAGCAAGAACGGGGGGCTTCCTCAGCTGACTCCAACATTGGAGGTCCTGACACCCACCTTGTGCTTCTGTTTTGAAGCGCTCCAGCATTTCGTCCACGTCTAGAGGTGGTCGTTCTTTCCGTGTTATCCCTGGAGAAAAAGGGCGGCATTACAGGCCTGTTGCTGTGCTGGCAGTGGGACTCCAAGATGGCTCAAGTTGGACCCCTGAGTCTCAGTAGTGAAGCCTAGATTAGGTACTAAAAAGGACGTTGATAAGGTACTGGATGTAAAAGTGAAAGTACATTAGGCCATGATCCCAGGTTTATGTGCCTTTCTGGTGAGAATTCCTAAGTAGTTCAGAACACATGGTGTGAAAGACACACACACACACACACACACACACACACACACACAAACTACTCACGCATAAGGCCACTGGAAAGGCTTTGAGGATTAACTGCCTAGTTTTTCTTTTTTTTTGAGATGTAGTTTTGCTCTTGTTGCCCAGGCTGGAATGCAATGGTGTGATGTCGGCTCACTGCAACCTCCGCCTCCTGGGTTCAAGTGATTCTCCTGCCTCGGCCTCCGGAGTAGCTGGGATTACAGGAATGTGCCACCATACCTGGCTAATTTTGTATTTTTAGTACAGACAGGGTTTCTCTACGTTGGTCAGGCTGGTCTCGAACTCCCAACCTCAGGTGATCTGCCTGCCAGGCCTAACCCCCTAGTTTCTGATGAGGTAGATAAATTTAAAATGAACTGGGAAAGAATGTAAGAACAAGGTGGAATCAGCCGGGCATGGTGGCTCATGCCTGTAACCCAACACTTTGGGAGGCCAAGGCAGGCGGATCATGAGGTCAGGAGATCGAGACCATCCCGGCCAACATGGTGAAGCCCCGTCTCTACTAAAACAAAAAATTAGCCGGGCATGGTGGTGTGTTACCTGTAAGTCCCAGCTACTTGCGAGGCTGAGGCAAGGGAATTGCTTGAACCCAGGAGGCGGAGATTGCAGTGAGCCAAGATCGCTCCACTGCACTTCAGCCTGGCAAAAGAGCAAGCGAGACTCCGTATCAAAAAAAAAAAAAAAAAGAGAGAGAACAAGGTGGAATCCTAATAACAATATCTGCAGCTTAACCCTGGATAATGAAGAGGTGAGTCCATGGAACTCCTGAAAAGATGCTGGGGAGGGAACTGGACACGGGCATGTGAAATTCAGGACAAAGGCTGATCTGAGAAGAGCCTTTAGAGTCTTCACCACCAGGTGAGGTGGCTCATGCCTGTAATCCCAGTACTTTGTGAGGCTGAGGCAGACAGTTCATTTGAGGTCAGCAGTTTGAGACCAGCCTGGCCAACATGGTGAAACCCTGTCTCTACTAAAAATACAAAAATTAGCCAGACGTGGTGGTAGGCGCCTGTAATCCCAGCTACTTGGGAGGCTAAGGCAGGAGAATCACTTGAACCTGGGAGGCGGAGGCTGCAGTGAGATTGTACCACTGCACTCCAGCCTGGGTGACAGAGCAAGACTCTGTCTCAAAAAAGGTCTTCATGAGACCAGGCGCAGTGACTCACACCTGTAATCCCAACACTTTGGGAGGCTGAGGCACGTGGATCACGAGGTCAGGAGTTCAAGACCAGCCTGGCCAACATGGTGAAACCCCATCTCTACTAAAATTACAAAAATTAGCTGGGCTTGGTGGCAGACACCTATAATCCCAGCTACTCGGGAGGCTGAGGCAAGAGAATCACTTGAACCGGGAGGCGGAGGTCAGAGGTTGCAGTGAGCTGAGATCATGCCACTGCATTCCATCCTGGGCAACAGAGTGAGACTTTGTCCAAAAAAAAAAAGTCTTCATGGCCAGGTGTGGTGAATCATGTCTGTAATCCCAGCACTTTGGGAGGCCAAGGTGGGAGGATCACTTGAGACCAGGAGTTTGACACCATATCTGGCAACATAGTGAAACTGTCCCTACCAAAAATACAAATATTAGTCAGGTGTGGCAGTGCACACCTGTAGTCCCAGCTACTCAGGAGGCTGAGGTAAGAGGATCTCTGGAGCCTGGAAGGTTGAGGCTGCAATGAGCTATGACTGTGCCACTGCAATCAAGCCGGAGCAACACAGCAAGACCCCATCTCAAAACACAATCTTCAGGGGCCGGGCGCGGTGGCTCACGCCTGTAATCCCAGCACTTTGGGAGGCCGAGGCGGGCGGATCACAAGGTCAGGAGATCGAGACCATCCTGGCTAACACGGTGAAACCCCGTCTCTACTAAAAACACAAAAAAATTAGCCAGGCGTGGTGGTGGGCGCCTGTAGTCCCAGCTACTCGGGAGGCTGAGGCAGGAGAATGGCATGAACCCGGGAGGCGGAGCTTGCAGTGAGCCGAGATCACGCCACTGCACTCCAGCCTGGGCAACAGAGAGAGACTCTATCTCAAAAAAAAAAAAAATAATAATAATCTTCAGGATATAAGTAGCTGGTAAGGGCCAGGTGTCATGGCTCACACCTGTACCCCAGCAGTTTGGGAGGGTGAGGCAGGAGGACTGATTGAGTTTAGTAATTCGAGGCCAGCCTGGGCAACATAGCAAGACCCTGTCTCTACAAAAAGTGAAAAAAATTAGCCAGGCATGGTGGCAAGTGCCTGTGGTCCCAGCTACTCAGGAGGCTGAGGCAGGAGGATCACCAGAGCTTGGGAGGTCAAGGCTGCAGTGAACCATGATTGCACCACTCCAGCCTAAGTGACAGAGTGAAGCCCTGTTTCAAAAAAAAAAAAAAAAAAAAAAAAAAAAAAAAAAAAACAAAACCGGGTGTGGTGGTGGCTCATGCCCATAATCCCAGCATTTTGGGACGCTGAGGTGGGCAGATCACTTGAGGTCAGGAGTTCAAGACCAGCCTGGCCATCATGGTGAAACCCCATCTCTACAAACACCACAAAAAATTAGCCGGGCCTGGTGGCAGGTACCTGTAATCCCAGCTATTCTAGAGGCTGAGGCAGGAGAACTGCTTGAACCCAGGAGGTAGAGGTTGCAGTCAGCCGAGGTCGTACCACTGCACTTCAGCCTAGGTGACAGAGCAAGCCTCCATCTCAAAAAAGAAAAGTCTCTACCTTATCCAGATTCAAAGGCCAAGCTTACCCTTCCCCGCTTTGTATGTATTTATAGATTTCCAACAAACGCGATCGTGTTTCAGCTTCCCAGGTCTTACTGCTACGCACCTGCGAGACCAGCTCCGCCCTGGGAGCAGGGATGCTAAGTCCGGCATTTCTTTGCATTCTTAGTGCTCAGCACATTCTCCTTAAAACAAAGGCCCGAGTCCCCAGATCTCACATGAAGAATAAAAGTTATAAATGAGGTAACTTACCTAATGATAGAGGCTTCCTTTTATTAAAGGATTTCAAAGCTGCTTCTGAAAAAGGAGAAGGGGGGAAAATTTTGCATTTTACCATAAGCTCAAGATTTTATTGCCTTCATAAAAGAAAAGATGACACTTAGAACTGGATCACTTGTTCCTTTCTCTTATCTCCTTCCAGTTCAAAATGCTTGCATCTTTTTTTTTTGAGACAGAGTGTCACTCTGTTGCCCAGGCTGGAGTGGCACAATCTTGGCTCACTGCAACCTCTGCCTCCCAGGTTCAAGCGATTCTCCTGCCTCAGCTTCCTGAGTAGCTGGGACTATAGGCATACACCACCATGCCCAGCTAAGTTTTGTATTTTTAGTAGAGATGGGGTTTCACCATTTTGGCCAGGCTGGTCTCAGACTCCTGACCTTGTGATCCGCCCACCTCGGCCTCCCAAAGTGTTGGGATTACAGGCGTGAGCCACCGCGCTTGGCTGCTTGTATCTTTTAATAGCCAGCATTCTTAGATCTGCAGTTGGGCTCAAGGCACTCAAGCCTTAGCACAATCTTCTTTGTAGTTTTAGCCTTTTTCCGGAAAATCGGCTTAGTCTGCCCACCATAGCCACTCTGCTTCCTGTCATAACACTACTTCCCCTGGGCATACCAAGAATCCTTGCCTTGTGTCACTTTGTGGGGGTGGTGCTTGCCACACTTCTTACAGAAAGTCCGGCGGGTTTCAGGAACATTCACCATGTCTGTGTGAGCGCTATTGGCATGGAAAGAAAATTTGTATCTTTTTCAGAGCCCAGACCTTCGTAAGTTTACAACTCTCTGGGTTTCCTCCTGCCGTTTTCAAACTTGTAACCTCCGGAGGTCAGCTAAAGTTAAAAACCCTTGGCCGGGCATGGTTGCTCACACCTGTAATCCCAGCACTCTGGGAGGCTGAGGTGGGCAGATCACCTGAGGTCGGGAGTTCGAGACCAGTCTGGTCAACATGGTAAAACCCTGTCTCTACTAAAATACAAAAATTAGCGGGCATGGTGGTAGGCGCCTGTAATCCCAGCTACTCTGGAGGCTGAGGCAGGAGAATCACTTAAACCTGGGAGGAGGAGGTCACAGTGAGCCGAGATCGCGCCATTGCACTCTAGCCTGGGAGACAAGAGTGAAACTTCGACTCAAAAGCAAAACCAAAATCCAAACCAAACCAAAAAAAAAAAAAAAAAAACCCTCACCCATTGTTAAAGACAGGAAACATTATGCTAAAAAGTGATCTCTAGCTGAAATAAAACTGGCAATTTTTAAATAAAAAGATAGGAGTTCCTTAAGGTTGAGGAGTATTCCATTGTGTAATTAATACCATGTTTGTTTGTTTTTTTTTTTTGAGATGGAGTCTTGCTGTCACCCAGGCTGGAGCGCAGTGGCACGATCTTGGCTCACTGCAACCTCTGACTCTCTGGTTCAAGCAATCCTCCTGCCTCAGCCTCCCAAGTAGCTGGGACTACAGGAGTGTGCCACCACGCCCGGCTGATTTTTTTATATTTTTAGTAGAGACAGGGTTTCACCACATTGGCCTGACTGGTCTCAAACTCCTGGCCTCAAGTGATCCACCCGCCTTGGCCTCCCAAAGTGCTGTGATTACAGGCGTGAGCCACTGTGCCCGGCCTACCATGTTTCCTTTTTAAGGCTTGGGGTCCCAACAATCTCATAACCCAGGCAGTAGGCAGGGTACCCAACGGGCACATTTTTTATTCATCCACTGATGGTCACTTAGACTGACTCTATATCTTGGTTACTGTAAATAAAGCTGCACTGGCCAGGCACTGTGGCTCATGTTTCTGATCCCAGGACTGTGGGAAGCCAAGGCAGGAGGATCGGTTGAGCCCACAGAAGTTCGAGACCAGCCTGGGCAACATGGTGAAACCCTATCTCTACAAAAATATATATATATACAAGAATGAGCGAGGTGTGGTGGGAGGCCATAGTGGTAGGATTGCTCAAGTCTGGGAGGTCAAGGCTGCAGTGAGCTGTGATTGCCCCATTGTACTCCAGCCTGAGCAAGAAAACGAGACCCCGTTTCAAAAAAAAGTGTAGCTGGGCATGGCGGCTCACACCTGTAATTCCAGCACATTGGGAGGCTGAGGCGGGTTGATCACGTGGTCAGGAGTTCAAGACCAGCCTGGCCAACATAGTGAAACCCCATCTCTATTAAAATACAAAATTTAGCCAGGCACAGTGGCAGGTGCCTGTATAATCCTAGCTATTCAAGAGGCTGATGCAGGAGAAACACTTGAACCCAGGGGGCGGGAGTTGCAATAAGCTGAGATTGTGCTGCTGCACTCCATCCTGGGTGACAGAGTGAGACTTGTCTCAAACAAACAAAAAAAAAAGTTATGGGGTAGAAAGTAGAGTAGTTCTAAATGCACTTGCTGGCTGGGTGCGGTGGCTCACGCCTGTAATCCCAACACTTTGGGAGGCCGAGGCGGGCAGATCATGAGGTCACGACATCGAGACTATCCTGGCTAACATGGTGAAACCCCATCTCTATTTAGAATACAAAAAAAAAAAAAAAAAAAATCAGCCAGGCATGGTGGGACATGCTTGTAATCCCGGCTACTCGGGAGGCTGAGGCAGGAGAATCGCTTGAACCCGGGAGGCGGAGGTTGCAGTGAGCCGAGATCGTGCTGCTAAATTCCAGCCTGGGTGACAGAGTGAGATCCTCTCTCAAGAAGAGTTAAATAACCATAGTTCATGTGCATTTTATTGTATTGTTATTTTTAATTGTCTTTGCCCCCATTATTTTTGATCTAGGATTGGTTAAATCCACAGATATGTTAGGCCAACTGTACGATACCTGAAAGCGATAGAAATAGGTAGAAAATAATTTACAAGAAAAAAACAAACAACCCCATCAAAAAGTGGGCGAACGACATGAACAGACACTTCTCAAAAGAAGACATTTATGCAGCCAAAAAACACATGAAAAAATGCTCATCATCACTGGCCATCAGAGAAATGCAAATCAAAACCACTATGAGATATCATCTCACACCAGTTAGAATGGCGATCATTAAAAAGTCAGGAAACAACAGGTGCTGGAGAGGATGTGGAGAAATAGGAACACTTTCACACTGTTGGTGGGACTGTAAACTAGTTCAACCATTGTGGAAGTCGGTGTGGGGATTCCTCAGGGATCTAGAACTAGAAATACCATTTGACCCAGCCATCCCATTACTGGGTATATACCCAAATGACTATAAATCATGCTGCTATAAAGACACATGCACACGTATGTTTATTGCAGCATTATTCACAATAGCAAAGACTTGGAACCAACCCAAATGTCCAACAATGATAGACTGGATTAAGAAAATGTGGCACATATATACCATGGAATACAATGCAGCCATAAAAAATGATGAGTTCATGTCCTTTGTAGGGACATGGATGAAATTGGAAACCATCATTCTCAGTAAACTATCACAAGAACAAAAAACCAAACACCGCATATTCTCACTCATAGGTGGGAATTGAACAATGAGATCACATGGACACAGGAAGGGGAACATCACACTCTGGGGACTGTGGTGGGGTGGGGGGAGGGGGGAGGGATAGCATTGGGAGATATACCTAATGCTAGATGACGAGTTAGTGGGTGCAGCGCACCAGCATGGCACATGTATACATATGTAACTAACCTGCACAATGTGCACATGTACCCTAAAACTTAAAGTATAATAAAAAAAATAATAATAATAAAATAAAAAATAAAAAAATAAAAGGACAAAAAAAAAAAAAAAAAGAAGTAGGTAGAAAATAAGGACCAGGACAGACACCAGGGTTTATGAAGATCCAGCACCTGCATTCAGAACAAGCAGTCCCTCTCCAAGCCTCAATGCCATTTCTTTTTTTTTTTGAGACAGAATTTTGCTCTTGTTGCCCAGGCTGGGGTGCAATGGCGTGATCTCGGCTCATAGCAACCCCCGCCTCCTAGATTTAAGTGATTCTCCTGCCTCAGCCTCCCGGAGTAGCTGGGATTACAGGTGTCTGCCACCACGTCCAGCAAATTTTTGTATTTTTAGTAGAGATGCTGTTTCATCACCATGTTGGTCAGGCTGGTCTCAAACTCCTGACCCTCAGGTGGTCCAACCGCCTCAGCCTCCCAAAGGGCTGGGACGACAGGCGTGAGCCAGCGCGCCTGGCCTTCTGAATTTCTAAAGTCCTGGAGAGGACGCCTGCTTCCTCCTAGGACACAGTGTGGACCGATTTCCACTCACCTCTGACTTCATCCTTTGCTCTCTCAGACAGATCCATTCGGTGCATCTTTTCAAAGACCTGGAGGCTCGCCATCTCCACCCAGTAGCTGTCACAATGGGTGGTGAGGATTTCTACCAGTTGCTTCCCATCAGCCTTGTCTACCTCCTTGTGGGGGATCTTCTGGAGCTCGTGTGCCAGGGAGAAGGTCGTGATCAGATACTTGAACTTGCTCAACTCATCCTGGCTGAGCTGCTCCAGGAGAGCCTGCAGGTTGAAGCCCATCTGCGCCGAAGACACCATCTTGTCCCACGTGGGAGCTGTGATGACAATCAAGGGAGGAGTGGAGAGGGATGGTGATTAGCACTCCTGTCTCAAATGCCAGTTCCTGCTGTGCCACGAACAAGGACACTCACCATCTACCCTGCTTCTTCAAGAACAAACTCCCAGCCTGGGCAACATAGTGAGACCCCCATCTCCATGAAAAATAAGTTAGCAGTGGGTGGTGGTACATGCCTGTAGTCCCAGCTACTCAGGAGGCTGCAGTGGGAGGATTGCTTGAGCCTGGGAGACTGAAACTGCAGTGAGCCTTGATTGTGCCACTGCACTCCCATCTGGGCAACAGAGCAAGACCTCAACTCATTTTACTTTTATTTACTTATTTTTGAGATAGTTTCACTCTGCAGCCCAGGCTGGAGTACAGTAGTACGATCTCAGCTCACTGCAACCTCTGCCTCCCAGGTTCAAACAGTTCTCCTGCCTCAGCCTCCCGACTAGCTGGGATTATGGGCACCCACCACCACGCTCAGCTACTTTTTGTATTTTTTTTTTTTTTTTTTTTGAGACGGAGTCTCACTTTGTCACCCTGGCTGGAGTGCAGTGCTGCAATCTCGGCTCACTACAACCTCTGCCTCCCGGATTCAAGCAATTCTCCTGCCTCAGCCTCCCAAGTAGCTGGGATTACAGGCATTCACCACTGTGCCCAGCTAATTTTTTTGTATTTTTAGTAGAGATGGGGGGTTTCACCAAGTTGGCCAGGCTGGTCTCGAACTCCTGACCTCGTGATTCACCTGCCTCAGTGCCCAGCTAGTTTTTCTAATTGCAAAATAACCAGCTACTGTCAGGGTTTTCCCTGAGGGGCTGCTCAGGTTCTAAAAGTTAACCTATAAAGCGAAAACACTCTCTCATTATAGCAAAGTAGTAACACAACAATGAAAGGACAAGCATAGATCAGATAAGGAAGTGGGGAGCTACGTGGATCACCCAGGAGACAAGAAACTTCGTGAAAACTGGGCTGAATATGATAATGCAAACACACAGCCGGGCGCGGTGGCTCACGCCTGCAATCCCAGCACTTTGGGAGGCCGAGGCGGGCGGATCGTGAGGTCAGGAGATCGAGACCATCCTGGCTAACACAGTGAAACCCCGTCTCTACTAAAAATACAAAAAATTAGCCGGGCGTGGTGGCAGGTGCCTGTAGTTCCAGCTACTTGGGAGGCTGAGGCAGGAGAATCGCTTGAACCTGGGAGTGGGAGGCAGAGGTTGTGGTGAGCTGACATGGCGCCACTGCACTCCAGCCTGGGGCGACAAGAGTGAAACTGTCTCAAAAAAAAAAAAGGCTTAAAGATAACTTAGTGGTGGAGCCTGGTCTCAGGACACAGGTGTGTGGCTTTTACTTTACTGAAGCTGGCCGGGGGGCCATGGCTCACACCTGGAACCCCAAACACTTTGGGAAGCCAAGGTGGGAGGATTGCTTGGAGTTTGAGACCAGCCTGGGCAACATGGCAAAACCCTGTCTCTACAAAAAAATACAAAAAAAAAAAAAATTGTGCTGGGCATAGTGGCATGCACCTGTAGTCCCAGCTACTGAGGAGGCTGAGGTGGGAGGATCACCTGAGCCAGGGAAGTTAAGGCTGCAGTGAGCTGTGATCGCACCACTGCACTCCAGCCTGGTAAAACAAACAAAAACACAACACTGGGGGTGGTGGCTGACGCTTGCAATCCCCGCACTTTGGGAAGCTCAGGTGGGTGATCACTCCAGTCCAGAAGTTCCAGACCAGCCTGGCAACTTAAGACCCTGTCTCTATTTTAAAAACAACAGGGCCGGGTGCGGTGGCTCACGCCTGTAATCACAGCACTTTGGGAGTCCAAGGTGGGAGGATCACCTGAGGTCTGGAGCTTGAGACCAGCCTGGCCAACATAGTGAAACCCTATATCGACTAAAAATACGAAAATTAGCCAGGTTGGTGACAGGCGGCTGTAGTCCCAGCTACTTAGAAGGCTGAGGCACGAGAATTGCTTGAACCTGGGAGGTGGAAGTTGCAGTGAGCTGAGATAGCGCCACTGTACTCCAGCCTGGGAAACAGAGCTAGACTTTGTCTCAAAAAAAAAAAAAAAAAAATAGCAGTAGCAACAAAAACTTTACAGAAAGGGTATAACACCTCTTTATATGATAGCTGTGAATAGCGTGAGAATGGCAACTGGCATAGGTATTTGCATAAGACTCAGGTCCGGAAGCTGGACTAGAATGATGCTAAGAGGCTCCCTCACCTCAGTGAATAAAAAACAATACCTTCTTGTTAAGAGGACTCATTAGACACAAAACCTTAGCACTGCCCAGGACTCCACACACAGCAACCACAGCATCTGACCTGTTCCAATATATTTTTTTTTTTGGAGCTCTCTATAGCTCTATCCTAAATCCCCCAAGAGAACAGAAATAAAAGCACACACAACTATCCTCTTATGAGCCAACCTTAACTAGAGTCTCTCTAGATCTAAGCATCTGCTACTCTTTCCCCAGTCAGAACCACTGAATTTTATTTTATTTTATTTTTTGAGACAGTTTCTCTCTTGCTGCGCAGGCTGGAGAGCAATGGTATGATCTAGGCTCCCCGCAACCTCCGCTTCCCGGGTTCAAGTGATTCTCCTGCCTCAGCCTCCTGAGTAGCTAGGATTACAAGTATGCGCTACCACGCCCACCTAATTTTATATTTTTAGTAGAGATGGGGTTTCTACATGTTGGTCAGGCTGGTCTCGAACTCCCGACCTCAGGTGATCCTCCCGCCTCGGCCTCCCAAAGCGCTGCGATTACAGGCGTGAGCCACTGAGACAGGCAGAACCACTTAATTTCTAACAGAAGAAAAGATTTAGGCCGGGCGCGGTGGCACCTGCCTATAATCCCAGAATTTTGGGAGTCTGAGGCAGGAAGATCGCTTGAGCCCAGGAGTTAGAGACCAGCTTCGGCAACATATTAAGACCCTACATCTAGTGAGTCTCTGCAAACAGTGGTAATAATAATATTATTAGCCAGAACAGATGTGGTGGCACCCTCCCACGGTCCCAGCTACTTCAAAGGCTGAGGCGTGAGGACTGCTTGAACCTGAGAGGTCAAGGGTTCAGTGAGCCGAGATCCTGCCACAGCGCTCCAGCCTGGGAAACAGAGTAAGACCCTCAAAAAAGAGAAGAAAAAAAAAAAAAAAAAAAAAAAAAAGGCTGGGCGCGGTGGCTCACGCCTGTAATCCCGGCACCTTGGGAGGCCGAGGCGGACTGAGACCAGCCTGGCCAACATGGTGAAACCCCGTCTCTACTAAAAATACAAAAAAATTAGCTGGGCATAGTGGCAGGTGCCTGTAGTCTCAGCTACTCGGGAGGCTGAGGCAGGAGAATGGCCTGAACCCGGGAGGCGGAGCTTGCAGTGAGCCGAGATCGCGCCACCGCACTCCAGCCTGGGCGACAGAGCGAGACTCCGTCTCAGAAAAAAAATATATGAAATAAAAGGAGAAATTTTACCAACTGTGGAATGGAGAAATAAAGAAATGAAGTTGCAGAGCTGCCGGAGAGCTACTCACCTCCCAACACCTGGCCCTACTCGCCGGCGGAGATGAGGGCTGCAGGTTGAGAAAGCTCTAATAAGGCTTCTCTCTCGGCCGCAGCCCTGTGATTGGCCCTCGGGGCGTAATCGTTGCTGAGCACTTCCTGTATCCACCGGAATTACTGAGAGGTCTTTTGGGGGCGGGGGGTGTTGGGGGGCGGTCCTTCACCTGAGCTTCCGGATCTCCACCTGTGGTCCTCCATCTTGACTGCCTGTTAAACTTACCTATGTGGAGCCTCATTTCAAAGCACGAACGCCTAGAGATTCTGCTTGATTGGTTACACTGGGACTGCCCAGACCCTGGAGTTCTTTCGAGAGTCCCAGATAACTGTGATTGCGGCCGAGGCTGAGAATCACCGCTTAGAAGCCTCAGCTGTGATTGGCTACCTTCTCCCATCACCCCAGGTATATTATTAATAAAAATCCAACCGTATTTCAAGTGAAATATCAATGACACGTCAACTATGAGACGCATGAAAAGCACCAAGTTCATCAGTTTCACATTCACAGTATTATTATTATTTTATTTTTAATGGAGTCTTGCTCTGTTCCCCAGGCTGGAGTGCAACGGCACGATCTCGGCTCCCCGCAGCCTCCGCCTGCCGGCTTCAAGTGATTCCCCTGCCTCAGCCTCCCGAGTAGCTGAGATTACAAGCATGCGCCACAACGCCTGGTTAATTTTTGTATTTTTTTCAATAGAGACGGGGTTTTGCCATGCTGGCCAGGCTGGTCTCAAACTCCCGACCTCAGGTGATCTGCCAGCCTCAGCCTCCTAAAGTGCTGGGATTACAGGCGTGAGCCACCTACTAAAAATACAAAAAATTAGCCGGGCGTGGTGGCGGGCGCCTGTAGTCCCAGCTACTCGGGAGGCTGAGGCAGGAGAATGGCGTGAACCCGGGAGGCGGAGCTTGCAGTGAGCAGAGATCGCGCCACTGCACTCCAGCCTGGGCGACAGAGCGAGACTCCGTCTCAGAAAAAAAATATATGAAATAAAAGGAGAAATTTTACCAACTGTGGAATGGAGAAATAAAGAAATGAAGTTGCAGAGCTGCCGGAGAGCTACTCACCTCCCAACACCTGGCCCTACTCGCCGGCGGAGATGAGGGCTGCAGGTTGAGAAAGCTCTATTAAGGCTTCTTTCTCGGCCGCAGCCCTGTGATTGGCCCTCGGGGCGTAATCGTTGCTGAGCACTTCCTGTATCCACCGGAATTACTGAGAGGTCTTTTGGGGGCGGGGGGTGTTGGGGGGCGGTCCTTCACCTGAGCTTCCCGATCTCCACCTGTGGTCCTCCATCTTGACTGCCTGTTAAACTTACCTATGTGGAGCCTCATTTCAAAGCACGAACGCCTAGAGATTCTGCTTGATTGGTTACACTGGGACTGCCCAGACCCTGGAGTTCTTTCGAGAGTCCCAGATAATTGTGATTGCGGCCGAGGCTGAGAATCACCGCTTAGAAGCCTCAGCTGTGATTGGCTACCTTCTCCCATCACCCCAGGTATATTATTAATAAAAATCCAACCGTATTTCAAGTGAAATATCAATGACACGTCAACTATGAGACGCATGAAAAGCACCAAGTTCATCAGTTTCACATTCACAGTATTATTATTATTTTATTTTTAATGGAGTCTTGCTCTGTTCCCCAGGCTGGAGTGCAACGGCACGATCTCGGCTCCCCGCAGCCTCCGCCTGCCGGCTTCAAGTGATTCCCCTGCCTCAGCCTCCCGAGTAGCTGAGATTACAAGCATGCGCCACAACGCCTGGTTAATTTTTGTATTTTTTTCAATAGAGACGGGGTTTTGCCATGCTGGCCAGGCTGGTCTCAAACTCCTGACCTCAGGTGATCTGCCAGCCTCAGCCTCCTAAAGTGCTGGGATTACAGGCGTGAGCCACCGTGCCTGGCTGGCAGTATTAATTTTGTAAACATATAGCCGGGCACAGTGGCTCACGCCTGTAATCCCAGCACTTTGGGAGGCCGAGGCAGGTGGATCACGAGGTCAGGAGATCGAGACCATCCTGGCTAACACGGTGAAACCCCGTCTCTACTAAAAATACAAAAAATTAGCCGGGCGTGGTGGCGGGCACCTGTAGTCCCAGCTACTCGGGAGGCTGAGGCAGGAGAATGGCGTGAACCCGGGAGGCGGAGCTTGCAGTGAGCCGAGATCGCGCCACTGCACTCCAGCCTGGGCGACAGAGCAAGGCTCCATCTCAAAAAAAAAAAAAAAAAAAAAAACACCATATAAATAAGACTAAAAAGTTGGGTTTTGGCCGGGCGCGGTGGCTCACGCCTGTAATTCCAGCACTTTGGGAGGCCAAGGCGGGTGGATCACGAGGTCAGGACTTCAAGACCAGCCTGGCCAAGATGATGAAACCCCGTCTCAACTAAAAATACAAAAAATTAGTCGGGCGTGGTGGCGGGTGCCTGTAATCCCAGCTACTTGGGAGGCTGAAGCAGAGAATTGCTTGAACCCAGGAGGCGGAGGTTGCAGTGAGCCGAGACCGCACCACTGCACTCCACCCTGGGCGACAGAGTGAGACTCCGTCTCAAAAAAAAAAAGAAAAAAGTTGGGTTTTATAGCTTTTTTTCATGTTTCTTTGTTTGTTTTGCTTTTTTTTTTTCTGAGACTGAGTCTGGCACTGTCGCCCGGGCTGGAGTGCAGTGGCGCAATCTTGGCTCACTGCAACCTCCGCCTCCAGAGTTCAAGCGATTCTCCTGCCTCAGCCTCCTGAATAGCTGGGATTACAGGCGCGTGCCACTGTACCCGGCTAATTTTCTTATTTTTAGTAGAGATGGGGTTTCACCATGTTGGACAGGGTGGTCTTGAACTCCCAACCTCAGGTAATCTGCTCACCTCGGCCTCCCAAAGTGCTAGGATTACAGGCATGAGCCACTGCGCCTAGCCTTTTTTTTGTATTTTTAGTAGAGATGGGGTTTCACTATGTTGGCCAGGCTGGTCTCAAACTCTTGACCTCGTGATCCGCCCGCCTCGGCCTCCCAAAGTGCTTGGGTTGCAGGCACGAACCACCGCGCCCAGCCTTTTTCATGTTTTAGAACCAACATATGTATATGTACATCTATATTTCTTTTCGTTTTTTCTTTTTGAGACAGGGTCTCACTCTGTCGCCTAGGCTGGTGTGCAGTGGCACAATCATAGCTTACTGAAGGCTACAGGCATACGCCATCACGCCTGACTAGATTTTTGTATTTTTTATAGAGATGGAGGTCTCACTATGTTGCCCAGGCTGGTCTCAACCCCATGGGCTTAAGCAATCTTCCCACCACGGCCTCCCAAAGTGCTGGGATTTCCGGTGTGAGCCACCATGCTTGACCCTGTGTTTACTTATTAAGTCCTCTAAACATTGCTACACAGTAGTGATTGCCATGATCCTACCCATTTTTCACTTTCCTTGAGAAAATGAAGGCAAGGCATATTTAGAAAACCTGTCTGAGGTCTTGAAGATCACAAACAGCTGTCAGCTTCCGGAAGCCCAGCTCTTCACTGCCGCGCTCAGTTGCCTATCCTAGAAAGAATAAGAAAGTGAGGGGGCCCAGTGTGGTGCCTCACGCCTGTAATCCCAGCACTTTGGGAGGCCGAGGCGGGCGGATCACGAGGTCAGGAGATGGAGACCATCCTGGCTAACACGGTGAAACCCCGTCTCTACTAAAAATACAAAAAATTAGCCGGGCGTGGTGGCGGGCGCCTGTAGTCCCAGCTACTCGGGAGGCTGAGGCAGGAGAATGGCGTGAACCCGGGAGGCGGAGCTTGCAGTGAGCTGAGATCGCGCCACTGCACTCCAGCCTGGGTGACAGAGCAAGACTCTGTCTCAAAAACAAACAAACAAAAAAGAAAGAAAGAAAGAAAAGAAAATGAGGGGCCGGGCGTGGTGATTCATGCCTGTAATCCCAGCACTTTGGGAGGCCGAGGCGGGTGGATCACCTGAGGTCAGGAGTTCGAGATCAGCCTGACCAACATGGTGAAATCCCATCTCTACTAAAAATACACAAAAAATTAGCCAGGCGTAGTGGCAGATGCCTGTAATTCCAGCTATTCTGGAGGCTGAGGCAGGAAAATGGCTGGAACCTGGGAGGCAGAGGTTGCAGTGAGCTGAGATCGTGCCATTGCACTCCAGCCTGGGCAACAAGAGCGAAACTCTGTCTCAAAAAAAAAAAAAAAATTGAGGGATGGAGGGAATAGGAAGGATGAATGAAAATGTGCAGGAGCAGTTTTCAGACTGCACATTTCAATAAATTCTTTTTCATTTTTTCTTTTTTTTTTTTTTGAGATGGAGTTTTGCTCTTGTCGCCCAGGCTGGAGTGCAATGGCGCGATCTCAGCTCACTGCAACCTCTGCCTGCCGGTTTCCTGTGATTCTCCTGCCTCAGACTCCTGTGTAGCTGGGATTACAGGCATGTACCACCACGCCCGGCTAATTTTGTAGTTCTAGTAGAGATGGGGTTTCACCATACCCTTTTGGCCAGGCTGTTCTTGAACTCCTGACCTCAGGTGATCCACCCGCCTCAGCCTCCCAAAGTTCTGGGATTACAGGCATCCACTTCCCCCGACCTTTTTCTACCTTCTTAATATGGACACCCTACCATAATTTGGAGGTACTTTTTTTTTTGTTTCCTTTTTGAGACAGACTCTCGCTCTGTTGCCCAGGCTGGAGTGCAGTGGTGTGGTCTCGGCTCACTGCAACCTCTGCCTCCGGGGCTCAAGCAATTCTCTTGCCTCAGCCTCCTACAGGCACCTGCCACCATGCCAGGCTAATTTTTAGTACAGATAGGTTTTCACCATGCTGGCCAGGCTCTTCTTGAACTCCTGATCTGAGATCCACCTGCCTCGGCTTCCCAAAGTGCTGGGATTACAGGTGTGAACCACCACGCCCAGCCACAGTACCTTTTTTAAAAAATTTGTATTTTCTTTTATTTATTTATTTATTTATTTAGAGATGAAGTCTCTCTGTTGTTGCCCAGGCTGGAGTGCAGTGGCATGATCTTGGCTCACTGCAACCTCTGCCTCCCGGGTTCAAGTGATTCTCCTGCCCTAGCTGGGATTATAGGCTCCCGCCACCATACCAAGCTAATTTTGTATTTTTAGTAGACACGGGGTTTCACCACCTTGGCCGGGCTGGTCTTGGACTCCTGACCTCGGGTGATCCACCTGCTTTGGCCTCCCAAAGTGCTGGAATTACAGGCGTGAGACACTGTGCCTGGCCCACTCCCCCTCTTTTTTAACTAGAGACTGGGTCTCACTTTGTACACCGGGCCGGTCTTGAACTCCTGGGCTCCATGGCCCTCCCGCCTTGGCCTCCCAAAGTACTGAGATTACAGGTGTGAGCCACTATGCCTGGCCCATTATTTTATATTTTAATATAAATATTTACATTTATAAATTTCCATCAGTGCAACAAACACATTTCAACAGCAATTTCACCACCACTCAGTTCTAGCATTTTTAAAAATGCCCTTTGTTATTTCTTCTTTGACCTTGGAATTATATAGAATATTTTTTTAAGACTCAAATGCATGGGATTAAGAAATTATCTTTTGTGCTGGGCATGGTGGCTCACGCCTGTAATCCCAGCACTTTGGGAGGCCGAGGCAAGCGGATCACGAGGTCAGGAGATCGAGACCATCCTGGCTAACACGGTGAAACCCCGTCTCTACTAAAAATTAAAAAAATTAGCTGGGCACGGTGGCGGGTGCCTGTAGTCCCAGCTACTTGGGAGGCTGAGGCAGGAGAATGGCGTGAATCCGGGAGGCGGAGCTTGCAGTGAGCCACCATCACACCACTGCACTCCAGCCTAGGTGACAGAGCAAGACTCCATCTCAAAAAATAAAAATAAAAATAAAAATAAAACTATCTTTTGTTACAATTCTTCTAACTTTTGTTCTATTGAGGAAATTGAGACTGAAATGTTAAGTAGCAACCCCAAGGTCACATAACTCATGGGTGGCTGGGGAGAAGGATGGATTTAAACAGACTTCTGGTTGAGCGCGGTGGCTTAAGGCTGTAATCCCAGCACTTTGGGAGGCTGAGATGGGTGGATCACTTGAGGTCAGGAGCTCGAGACTAGCCTGGCCAACATGGTGAAATCCCGTCTCTACTAAAAATACAAAAGTTAGCTGGGTGTGGCGGCAGGCACCTGTAATCCCAGCTACCCAGGAGGCTGAGGGAGGAGAATTGCTTGAACCCGGGAAGCAGAGGTTGCAGTGAGCTGAGATCTCGCCACTGCACTCCAGCCTGGGTGATAGAGGGAGACAACATCTCAAAAAACAAAACGAAAGAAACAAACAAACAAAAAAAACAAGAAACACCAGACTTCTGTTGGAATAAGTGAGTTTGGTTCGGGTAGATGGAACCTGCAAAGGGGTTTGGAGATCCAAAAGAGGAACTACGTGGTTAGAACAGAGTATCGGATGAACTGATAAGAAACCACAATTCAAAAACAATTCAACAAAATGCCCAGGTCTGTGAAAGCCTGTCTACACCAGGCCTTGGGTCTCTGTGTACATTGCCTGCTTCTGACAAGGCTCTGCAGCCGGGAGTCGGCTCCCAGGGTTGCATGGCTGGGAACAACAGAAGCTCAGGAGCGGACCTAAAACGGAGCAGTTGGGTAAAATGAAGCTGTCTCCATTTACTTTCTACAGACAGACATCCATGAGAGGATGAGGAGGTGTGCTTGCCTCCTGGTCAAGCACTAATTTTTTTTTCCAAGCACTAATTTTAATTTTTTTATTTTTTGTAGAAACAGGGTCTCAGAGTATTTGCTTTGGCAGCACATACACTAAAATTGGAAATGGGGGTCTTGCTATGTTGCCCAGGCTGGACTTGAGCTCCTGGGCTCAAGGGATCCTCCCACCTCAACCTCCTAAAGTGCTATCCACTCTGACCTTGTGATCCACCTGCCTCAGCCTCCCAAAGTGCTGGTGAGGGAAGAGAGAAACCGTCTCATATTGTTTTATATTGTTTTATACTCAGTACTTGTTTTAGAAAAAAAACAAGGAGGCCGGGCACGGTGGCTCACGCCTGTAATCCCAGCACTTTGGGAGGCCAAGGCGGGTGGATCACAAGGTCAGGAGTTTGAGACCAGCCTGGCCAACATGGTGAAACCCCGTCTCTATTAAAAATACAAAAATTAGCCGGGCATGGTGGCGTGCGCCTGTAATCCCAGCTACTCGGAAGGATGAGGCAGCAGAATTGCTTGAATCCAGGAGGCGGAGCTTGCAGTGAGCCGAGATTGTGCCACTGCACTCCAGCCTTAGCGACAGAGCAAGACTCTGTCTCAAAAAAAAAAAAAAAGAAAAAGAAAAAAACAAGGAAGTGAAACCAAAGGCAGGTAGCCCGGCGCCAGGCACCAGACCCAAAACCAGACCCGAAACCAGGCCTGGGCCTGCCTGGCGTAAACCTAGTAGATAAAAATCAACTCATGACTTAGAACCCGATGTTATCCATAGATTCCAGGCATTGTATAGAAGAACACTGTGAAACTCCCTGCCCTATTCTTTCTCTCTGACCAGCAGTGCACGAAACCCCTGTTATGTATCCCCTAGATTGCTCAATCATGACCCTTTCATGCGCAGTCTTTAGTGTTGTGAGCCCTTAAAAGGGACAGAAACTGTGCACTCGAGGAGCTTGGATTTTAAGACAGTAGCTTGCCGATGCTCCCAGCTGAATAAAGCCCTTCCTTCTACAACTCGGTGTCTGAGAGGTTTTTGTCTGTGGCTCGTCCTGCTACACTGGGATTACAGGCGTGAGCCACTGTGCCTGGCCACTAGTTATTATTATTATTATTATTTGAGACAGAGTCTCACTCTGTCCCTTGGGCTGGAGTGCAGTGGCCTGATCTTGACTCACTGCAACCTTTGCCTCCCGGGTTCAAGCGATTCTCCTGCCTCAGCCTCCAGAGTAGCTGGGATTACAGGCATGCACCACTATGCCCAGCTAGCTAACTTTTTGTATTTTTAGTAGAGACAGGGTTTCACCATGTTGGCCAGGCTGGTCTTGAACTCCTGACCTTGTGATTCGCCCACCTCGGCGTCCCAAAGTGCTGGGATTAGAGGCGTGAGCCACTGCACCCGGCAATACTAGTTATTGTTAATGCTATTATTGTTACTGACATGTTCATTTTTACCTAGCCACTTTATTTTCCCACCTCTTTCTCCCTACTTCTCCTAAGTGTCAATGTTAGATAAGTCTGAAATTCTCTTTCCCTGTCCCTCTCTGTCTCTCTCTCCTTCTTTGTCTTTCTTTCACCTGAGACCCATAATCCTGGAGATAGCAAGTGCCTCAGGGAGAAAATCCCAAACCAAGCGATTCTCCTGCCCTAGCCTTCCAAGTAGCTGGGATTACAGGCTCCTGCCACCATACCAAGCTAATTTTGTATTTTTAGTAAAGACACGGTCTCACCACCTTGGCCAGGCTAGTCTCGGACTCCTGACCTCAGGTGATCCACCCACCTGGGCCTCCCAAAGTGCTGGAATTACAGGCGTGAGACACCGTGCCCGGCCCCCTCCCCATCTTTTTTAAATAGAGACTGGGTCTCACTTTGTACACCGGGCCAGTCTTGAACTCTTGGGCTCCATGGCCCTCCAGTGTGGAGGAGAGAAAATGGATTCCCTCCACCCTCCTAGGTTCTTTGGATGGGCTATGAATTACATTGACACAAAACAGTTTGACAGAAGAAAAACCAGATTCAATTATGTATGCACAGGAGTCCCACAAAAATGTGAGACTGGAGGAAGGGCCAGATGATTGAAGCTCATCTAGCTGCCTGAGCTACAGAAAGGAGTATAAGAGTGTAGGGTGCAGTGGCTCACGCCTGTGATCCCAGCAGTTTGGGAGGCCAAGGTGGGTGGATCACCTGAGGTCAGGAGTTTGAGACCAGCCTGGCCAACATGGTGAAACCCCATCTCTGCTAAAAATACAAAAATTAGCTGGTGTGGTGGTGTGTGCCTGTAATCCCAGCTACTCCGGAGGCTGAGGCAGGAGAATCACTTGAACCCGGGAGGAGGAAACTGCAGTGAGCTAAGATCGCACCATTGTACTCCAGCCTGGGCTTCAAAGGGAGACTCCATCTCAAAAAAAAAAAAAAAAAGAAGAAGAAGAAGAAAGGAGTAGGGGTGTCCGTCCCAGTGGCTCACGGTCTGTAATCTCAACACTTTGGGAACCGAAATGGGTGGATCACCTGACGTCGGGAGTTTGAGACTAGCCTGGACAACAGGGTGAAACCCAGTCTCCACTAAAAATACAAAAATTAGCCAGGTGTGGTGGTGTGCCCTGTAATCCCAGCTACTTGGGAGGCTGAGACAGGAGGATTACTTGAACCCGGGAGGTGGAGGTTGCAGTGGGCCAAGATCACGCCACTGCACTGCAGCCTGGGAGATAGAGGGAGACCCTGTCTCAAAATAAAATAAATAAATAAATAAATAAATACATACATACATAAATGAAAAGGCGTAGAGACTTGGAGCTTCTGGGGGTGGTGGAGGCAAATTAAGGTATGATAAAAGGGGGAAAAGTTGCTGGGTTCACGCCTGTAATTCCAGCACTTTGGGAGGCCAAGGCAGGTGGATCACCAGAGGACAGGAGTTCGAGACAAGCCTGGCCAACATGGTGAAACCCCGTTTCTACTAAAAATGCAAAAAATTAGAAGGCGTGGTGTTGGGTGTCAGTGATCCACCTGCCTCGGCCTCCCAAAGTGCTGATATTATAGGCGTGAGCCACTGCGCCCGGCCTTTTTTTTTTTTTGAGGGAGAGTCTTGCTCTGTCTCCCAGGCTGGAGTGCAAAGGCACAATCTCAGCTCACTGCAACCTCCGCCTCCCGGGTTCAAGTGATTCTCCTGCCTCAGCCTCCCGAGTAGCTGGTATTACAGGCACCTGCCACCGCGCCCAGCTAATTTTTGTATTTTTTTTTAGTAGAGATGGGGTTTTGCCATGTTCACCAGGGTGGTCTCAAAGTCCTGACCTCAAGTGATCCGCCTGCCTTGGCCTCCCAAAATCCTGGAATGACAGGCATGAACCACCATACCCAGTCCTGTTTTTCCTACTTTCACACTCAACACAGAATACTTCACCAAAAATGTATGTTTCTCCCCACCAACAACCAGTTCTCCAGCAGAGACCAGCTGGGTGTCCTCTCCTTTGATTTAGTTCTGACACTCCCTACCTGGGGACAGCATCAGATCCCAAAGGTTCAGGGCTGAGTCCCACAAGACTGACTGACTTCCTTCCTTCCTTCCTTGTCCCACAAGACTGACTTCCTTTCCCTCCTTCCCTTCCCTCCTTCCCTCCTTCCCTCCTTCCTTCCTTTCTCTCCCTCTGTTGCCCAGGCTGGAGTGCAGTTGCGAGATCATGGCTCACTGTAGCCATGACCTCCCAGTCTCAAGTGATCCTCCTGCCTTGGCCTCCTGAGTAGCTGGGACTACAGGCATGCACGATCACAGTTGGCTATTTATTTATTTATTTATTTATTTTTGAGACACAGTCTTGCTCTGTCATCCAGGCTGGAGTGCAGTCCTGTCATCTAGGCTGGAGTGCATTTTTGCAATACAAAAATTAGCCAGGCATGGGAGCGAATGTCTATAATCCCAGCTACTTGGGAGGCTGAGGCTCGACAATCCCTTGAACCCAGGAGGTTGAGGATCACAGCTCACTGCAACCTCAGTCTTGCTGTGTCGCCCAGGCTGAAGTGCAGTGGCACGATCTTGGCTCACTGCAACCTACGACTCCGGGATTCACGTCATTCTCCTGCCTCAGCCTCCCGAGTAGCTGGGACCACAGGCGCCCACGACCTCCTGGCTAACTTTTGTATTTTTTGTAGAGATGGGGTTTCGCCATGTTAGTCAGGCTGGTCTGACCTCAAATGATTCACCCACCTCAGCTTCCCAACATGCTGGGCTTACAGCCACTGTGCTCAGTCGAAATTCTGTATATTTGATCAAGAAGAGGTTTCATCATGTTGTCCAGGCTGGTCTGGAACTCTTGAACTCAAGCAATCCACCTACCTGGGCTGCCCAAAGTTCGGGGATTCCAGGCATGTGCCACCATGCCTGGCCCAAGGCTGCTCTTCCTAAAGAAGAAAATTATTCCAATGATTTTATTTATTTATTTTTGAGACGGAGTTTCACTCTTGTTGCCCAGGCTGGAGTGCAATGGCATGATCTTGGCTCACTGCAACCTCTGCCACCCGGGTTCAAGTGATTCTCCTGCCTCAGCCTCCTGAGTAGCTGGGATTACAGGCACGCACCACCACACCCAGCTAATTTTTTTGTATTTTAGTAGAGACGGGGTTTCTCCATGTTGGTCAGGCTGGTCTCAAACTTCGGACCTCAGGTGATCCGCCAGCCTTGGCCTCCCAAAGTGCTGGGATTGCAGGCGTGAGCCACCGCGCCCGGCCACCAATGATATTTTTTAAAAGCAAGTAAGGACGAGCTGGGCATGGTGGGTTCTTGAATCTCATACCAGAAAGAATTCAGGGCGAGACTATGGAGTAAAGTGGAAGCAAGCTTATTAGGAAAGTGAAGGAGTAAAAGAATAGCTACTCCATAGACAGCAGCCCATAGGGCTGCTAGTTGCCCTTATTTTTTTTGAGATGGAGTTTTGCTCTTGTCGCCCAGGCTGGAGTGCAGTGGCGTGATCTTGGCTCACTGAAACCTCTGCCTTGAATCACTTCAGTTCAAGTGATTCTCCTGCCTCAGCCTCCTGAGTAGCTGGGATTACAGGTGCCTGCCATCACGTCTGGCTAATTTTTGTATTTTTAGTAAGAGATGGGGTTTCACCATGTTGGCCAGGCTGATCTTGACCTCCTGAGCTCAGGTGATATGCCCGCCTCGGCCTCCCAAAGTGTTGGGATTACAGGCGTAAGCCACCACGTCCGGCCTCGGTTGCCCTTTTTTTTTTTTTTTTTTTTTTTTGAGACGGAGTCTCGCTCTTTCACCAGGCCAGAGTGCAGTGGCACTATCTCGGCTCACTGCAAGCTCCGCCTCCTGGGTTCAGGCCATTCTCCTGCCTCAGCCTCCCGAGTAGCTGGGACTACAGGCGCCCGCCACCGCACCCAGCTAATTAGTTGTATTTTTTTTTAGTAGAGATGGGATTTCACCGTGTTAGCCAGGATGGTCTCAATCTCCTGACCTCATGATCCACCCGCCTCGGCCTCCCAAAGTGCTGGGATTACAGGCGTGACCACCGCGCCCGGCCGGTTGCCCATTTTTATGGTTATTTCTATGGATATGCTAAACAAGGGGTGGATTATTCATGCCTCCCCTTTTTAGACAGCATAGGGTAACTTCCTGACATTGCCATGGCATTTGTAAACTGTCATGGGGCTGCTGGGAGTGGAGCGGTGAGGACAACCAGAGGTTACTCTCGTCACTATCTTGGTTTTGATGGAGTTTGACTGGATGCTTTATTTATTTTTATTTATTTTTTATTTTTTTGAGACGGAGTCTCGCTCTGTCACCCAGGCTGGAGTGCAGTGGCGCGATCTCCGCTCACTGCAAGCTCCATCACCCGGGTTCACGCCGTTCTCCTGCCTCAGCCTCCCGAGTAGCTGGGACTACAGGCGCCCGCCACCACGCCCAGCTAATTTTTTGTATTTTTTTTTTTTAGTAGAGATGGTTTCACCGTGTTAGCCAGGATGGTCTCAATCTCCTGACCGTGTGATCCACCCGCCTCAGCCCCCGAAAGTGCTGGGATTACAGGTGTGAGCCACCGCGCCCGGCCTGGCTGGATTCTTTATTGCTAAGGGAGGAGACCACCCCTCATATTGTCTTATGCCCAATTTCCACCTCCAAAGAAAGAAAAAGTAAAAACTAAAAGGCAGAAATGAAATCCACAAGCAGACAGCCCCGCGCCCCAGGAATGAAATCCACAAGCAGACAGCCCCGCGGCCCAGGAATGAAATCCACAAGCAGACAGCCCGGCGCCACACCCTGGGCCTGGTAGTTAAAGATTGACCCCTGACCTAATCGGTTATCTATAGATTACAGACATTGTATAGAAAAGCACTGTGAAAATCCCTATCCTGTTTTGTTTGGATCTGATTACCAGTGCATGCAGCCCCCAGTCACGTACCCCCTGCTTGCTCAGTCGATCACGACCCTCTCACGCACACCCCCTTAGAGTTGTGAGCCCTTAAAAGGGACAGGAATTGCTCACTTGGGGATCTCGGCTCTTGAGACGGGAGTCTTGCCGATGCCCCTGGCCGGATAAACCCCTTTCTTCTTTAACTCGGTGTCTGAGGAGTTTTGTCTGTGGCTGGTCCTGCTACATTGCTACCTGTGTTATCAGCAAGGTCCTTATGACCTGTATCTTGTGCTGACTTATCTCATCCTGTGACTTAGAATGCTTTTTTTTTTCTTTTTACTGCAACCTCCGCCTCCCCGGCTCAAGCGATTCTCCTGCCTCAGCCTCGCAAGTAGGTGGGATTACAGGCACGAGCCACCACGCCTGACTAATTTTTGTATTTTCAGTAGAGACGGGGTTTCACCGTGTTGGCCAGGCTGGTCTCAAACTCTACTTCGGGTAATCCACCCGCCTCGGCCTCCCAAAGTGCTGGGCCACCGTGCCTGTCATTTTTGTTTTTTTTGGAGAATGCCTTAACTGTCTGGGAATGCAGCCCGGTAGGTCTCAGCCTTATTTTAGTCAGCTCCTATTCAAGATGGAGTTGCCCTGGTTACACGCCTCTGACAGTAGGTCCGTTGCCCAATGCACGCTGTGAGTCAATTTGCCGGGTCACTGTGTTGCAGAAGAGAAGGAAGTTTAATCACAGGGCTGAGGAATGAGGAGATGGGAGGAAACCTCCAATCCATCTCCCCCAGAAGTTTGGGTCTAGGGTTTTTTTTTTTTTTGAGATGGAGTTTTGCTTTGTCACCCAGGCTGGAGTGCAGTGGCAGGATCTTTGCTCACTGCAACCTCCGCCTCCCAGGTTCAAGTAATTCTCTTGCCTCAGCCTCCTGAGTAGCTGGGGTTACAGGCACCCGCTACCACGCCCGACTAATTTTTTGTGTTTTTAGTAGAAACGGGGTTTCACTATGTTGGCCAGGCTGGTCTTGAACTCTTGACCTCAGGTGATTCACCTGCCTTGGCCTCCCAAAGTGCTGGAGTTACAGGTGTGAGCCTCTGCACCCGGCCGGGGCTAGGGTTTTTAAGTGTTTTGGTGTGGGCCAGAGTGTGGCCATGCTGACTGCTGGCGGAGACAGGGGCATGAAGACGCAGTGTTCTCATGCTGATCCCATTCCTCACTGGGGTCTTCAAACTGGTTAGTGTCAGCTATTTGGCTGGAATTCAAGGTCTGAAAAACATCTGAAACCATCCTTAAACAAAAGCCTTATAATTCTAATGTCCCAGAGTTTATCTGTAGGAACCGTGCAGATACAAATTTGTCTAATGGGGCCGGGCGCGGTGGCTCACGCCTGTAATCCCAGCACTTTGGGAGGCCTAGGCGGGAGGATCACGAGGTCAGGAGATCGAGACCATCCTGGCTAACATGGTGAAACCGCGTCTCTACTAAAAATACAAAAAAAATTAGCCAGGCATGGTTGCAGGCACCTGTAGTCCCAGCTATTCGGGAGGCTGAGGCAGGAGAATTGTGTGAACCCGGGAGGCGGAGCTTGCAGTGAGCAGAGATTGCGCCACTGCCCTCCAGCCTGGGCGACAGAGCGAGACTCCGTCTCAAAAAAAAAAAAAAATTCGTCTAATGACCCTGCTGTCAGAAATCCTATCTACAGCAATGATGAGGAGGCAAAAGTGCAGTGTCTAGAGCCACGTGATACACAGCAGCCAGGATGTGGGCCAGAGTGCAGCCTGATTCACATTTTTTCATTTTTATTTTTTTTACTAAAAGTGGGTTTTCATTTTTTGTTTTGTTTTTGTTTTTGTTTTTTGTTTTTTGAGATGGAGTCTCACTCTGTTGCACCCAGGCTGGAGTGCAGTCGTGCGACCTCGGCTCACTGCAACCTCTGCCTCTGCCTCCCGGGTTCAAACAATTCTGCCTCAGCCTCTCGAGTAGCTGGGATTACAGGCGTTGAACTACCATGCCCCGCTAATTTTTGTATTTTTGTAGAGACGCAGTTTCACCATGCTGGCTGGGCTGGTCTCAAACTCCTGACCTTAAGTGATCCATCTGCCTCAGCCTCCCAAAGTGCTGGGATTACAGGCCTGAGCCACTGTGCCTGGTCTACAAAGGATATTTTTGTGGGGAAAAGAAAGAGAGATCAGATTGTAACTGTGTCTGTGTAGAAAGAAGTAGACACAGGAGACTTCATTTTGTTCTGTACTAAGACAAATTCTTCTGCCTTGAGATGCTGTTAATCTATGACCTTACCCCCAACCCTGTGCTCTCTGAAACATGTGCTGTGTCCACTCAGGGTTAAATGGATTAAGGGCTGTGCAAGATGTGCTTTGTTAAACAAATGCTTGAAGGCAGCATGCTCCTTAAGAGTCATCACCACTCCCTAATCTCAAGTACCCAGGGACACAAACACTGCGGAAGGCCGCAGGGACCTCTGCCTAGGAAAGCCAGGTATTGTCCAGGGTTTCTCCCCATGTGATAGCCTGAAATATGGTCTCATGGGAAGGGAAAGACCTGACCGTCCCTCAGCCCGACACCAGTAAAGGGTCTGTGCTGAGGCGGATTAGTAAAAGAGGAAGGAACACCTCTTTGCAGTTGAGACAAGAGGAAGGCATCTGTCTCCTGCTCGTCCCTGGGCAATGGAATGTATGGGTGTAAACCCCGATTGTATATTCCATATACTGAGATAGGGGAAAACCGCCTTAGGGCTGGAGGTGGGACATGCGGGCAGCAATACTGCTCCGTAAGGCATTGAGATGTTTATGTGTATGCATATCTAAAGCACAGCACTTAGTTCTTTACCTTGTCTATGATGCAGAGACCTTTGTTAACGTGTTTATCTGCTGACCTTCCCTCCACTATTATCCTATGACCCTGCCACATCCCCCTCTCTGAGAAACACCCCAAAATGATCAATAAATACTAAGGGAACTCAGAAGCTGGCGGGATCCTCCATATGCTGAATGCTGGTCCCCTGGGTCCCCTTATTTCTTTCTCTATACTTTGTCTGTGTCTCTTTCTTTTCCAAGTCTCTCCTTCCACCTAACGAGAAATGCCCACAGGTGTGGAGGGGCAACCCGCCCTTTCATATTTTAAAGGATACAAATGAACAGCCAAGGAAGAGATGCGTAGGGGGAGGTTTAGAGGAGTCCGAAGTGCAGGAGCTTCTGTCCCTGTGGACCTGGGGTGCACCACAGTCCTGGCACACGAATGCACCCGGGTTCACCAACCAGGAAGCTCTTCTGAACTCTTTCCTGGTTTTTTTTTTTTTTGAGACAGTCTAACTCCGTCACCCAGGCTGGAGTGCAGTGGCGCTATCTCAGCTCACTGCAGCCTCTGTCTCCTGCGTTCAAGTGATTCTCATGCCTCAGCCTCCTGAGTAGCTGGGTCTACAGGTGCACTCCACCACGCCTGGCTAATTTTTTATTTTTTGTAGAGCCAGGGTCTTGCTATTTTGTCCAGACTGGCCTAGAATTCTTGGGCTCAAGCAATCCTCCCATCTAGGCCTCCCAAAGCGTTGGGATTACGGGCATGAGCCACAGGACACCCGGCCCAAACCCTTTTCTTTTGGGGTTTATGGAGGATTCCTTAGGTGGGCAATGCTGATCACATAGCTGGCAGTTCATAATCAATTCAACCTTCAGCCCCTCTCCCCTCCCTGGAGGCCACTTGGAGCCTGGGGCTGAAAGTTCCCAATGTCTAATCACTGACGGTTTCTTTGGCAGCCAGTCCCTCGCACTTGTGGGGTTATCTAGGGGCTTTCCAAAAGTCACCTCATTTACATAAACTCAGGTGTGGTTGCAGGGCCTGGGTATGTATAACAAGAGATACCTCTTTCATGTTTATCTCTCCATAGCTGCTCTAGGACTAAAGGCCAAATGTTTTAACAAAATATACTCTCTCTCTCTTTTTGTCAGCTAGAATATAATTTATTTTTATTGTTTTTATTTTCTTTTTCTTCAGAGAGGGAGTCTCGCCATATTGCCCAGGCTGGTCTTGAACTCCTGGACTCAGGCAGTCCTCCCGCCTCAGCCTCCCAAAGTGCTGGGATTACATTCATGAACCACTGCGCCTGGCCATCTTTTTTTTTTTTTTTTAAAGATGGAGTCTCTGTCGCCCAGGCTGGAGCGCAGTGGTGCAATCTCGGCTCACGGCAACCTCCAACTCCCAGGTTCAATCAATTCTTACGCCTCAGCCTCCTGAGTAGCTGGGATTACAGGTGCACACCACCATGCCTGGCTAATTCTTTATTTTTAGTAGCCAGGGGTTTTTTGCCATGTTGCCCAGGTTGGTCTCGAACTGCTGACCTCAGATGATCCACCTGCCTCAGCCTTCCAAAGTGCAGGGATTACAGGTGTGAGCCACCATGCCAGGCCTCCATAGTGCCTATTTCTATAGATGGCATGCTGCAACTGATATATACATCTTCATTTGTGGGACCATTTGCTTCCATTAAATTAACAGTTTAAACTACCAAAATTCTGTGCTGAATGCTTTCCACAACATACACTGTTTTATTTAAAAACAATTTTAGGCCAGGTGCGGTGGCTCATGCCTGTAATCACCTGACATCAGGAGTTTGAGACCAGCCTGACCAATATGGTGAAACCCTGTCTCTACTAAAAATACAAAAAATTAGTTGGGCATGGTGGCATGTGCCTGCAGTCCCAGCTACTTGGGAAGCTGAGGCATCAGAATTGCTTGAACCTGGAAGGCAGAGGTTGCAAGAATGGAGATTGCACCACTGCACTCCAGCCTGGGCCACAGAGCAAGACTCCATCCAAAAAAAAAAATTAAATATCAGTTATCTATTTATTTTTTTGAGACTGGGTCTCACTCTGTGGCCTAGGCTGGAGTGAGATGGCCAGTCACAGCTCACTGCAGCCTCAAACTCCTGAGCTCAGGTGATCCTCCCACCTCAGCCTCCTGAATAGCTGGGATTACAGGTGCAGCCCATCATGTATGGCTAATTTTTTTGTTTTTGTTTTTGAGACAGTCTTGCTCTTGTCACCCAGGCTGGAGTGCAATGGCGTGATCGTGCCTCACTCACCCTCCACCTCCCTAGTTCAAGTGATTGTCCTGTCTCAGCCTCCCGAGTAGCTGGGATTACAGGCACCTGCCACCACACCTGGCTAATTTTTTGTATGTTTAGTAGAGACAGAGTTTCACCACGTTGGCCAGTCTGGTCTCCAACTCCTGACCTCAGGTGATCCACCCGCCTCGGCTTCCCAAATTGCTGGGACTACAGGCATGAGCTACCACGCCCAGCCTATGCATGGCTAATTATTAAATATTTTTGAAGAGATGGCATCTTGCTATGTTGCCTAGGCTGGTATCAAACTCCTGGCCCCTAGGGATCCACTGGCCTAGGCCTCTCAGCCTGCTGGGATTTATAGGCAGGAGGCACCACAGTTGGCCACAAAGTAGACTTATTGTATTTGTAACTTAGGAAGTCACGGGAGTTTTTGTCCTCTTTTTTTTTAATTTTTATTTATTTTTGTTTAATTTTTTTTCTCTACAAGAGTTTTTAAAGCTGGGAGCCAGGTACCCTGCAAAACCCAAAATGTGTATTTCCTGTTCTGTCGCCTATCACACCTGGCCCGGGTGGTCTAGGAAGGGAATTGCACATTAATCTCACCTGGGGAGATTCAGCAAGCCGTAATTCTCCAAAGCCCACTGAAGCCCAATTACAGCCAAATCCCTGAGGATGGGGCCCAGGTGATGTCAAGGTGAGCCTGAGGTCAGTGGTTGGGAGCCACCCAATGTTAATCTCAGTGGGGCGGTTCCACCCTGGGCGGGAAAGCTGTCTCTCCACCTAGCGTACCAAGGGCCAGAGACCTCCCCTTTTTATCCGTTTCCTTTGCAGGAAACACAGGCTGGAAGCAAGACCTGACCTGAGGGAGGTGAGTGCTGGTTCTTGCATCGATTTCTTTGTCTTCTCGTTTAAGGGAGAAGAAGCTATTGGTTGAGTTTCCACCATAGCCCTTCCCAAGCCTTAATGGTTGGTGCGAGGATGCTGGAAGGATCTTTGATTTTTTTTTTTTTGAGACGGAGTCTCCCTCTGTCGCCCAGGCTGGAGTGCAGTGGCGTGATCTTGGTTCGCTGCAAACTCCGCCTCCTGGGTTCACCCGCCATTCTCCTGCCTCAGCCTCCTGAGTAGCTGGGACTACAGGCACGTGCCACCATGCCCAGCTAATTTTTGTATTTTTAGTAGAGACGGGGTCTCACCATGTTGGCCAGGCTGGTCTTGAACTCCTGACTTTAGGTAATCTGTCTGCCTCGGCCTCCCAAAGTGCTGGGATTCCAGGTGTGAGCCACCACGCCTGGCCTAATGTCTTAAGGACTTCTATTCAAATATAGTTTAGAGGAGTTCAGGAGATTGAGACTAGCCTGGGCAACATGGTAAAACTCTGTCATTACAAAAAAATATAAGGCCAGGCACAGTGGTTCATGCCTGTTATCCCAACACTTTGGGAGGCCGAGGCGGGTGGATCACTTGAGGCCAGAAGTTTGAGACCAGCCTGCCCAAAATGGTGAAACCCTGTCTCTACTAAAAACACAAAAATTAGCCAGGTGTGGTGGTGCATGCCTGTAATCCCAGTTACTTGGAAGGTTGAGGCAGGAGAATAGCTTAAACCTAGGAGGGGGAGGTTGCAATGAGCTGAGATCGCGCCACTGCACTCCAGCCTGGGAGACAGAGTGCGACTCCGTCTCAAAAAACAAAGAAGGCCAGACCTTGTGCTGTGTCCAAGCTACTTGTGGGGTGAGGTGGGAGGATCACCTGAGCCAGGAGGTGGGGGCTGCAATGAGGTGTGATTGAGCCACTGCACTCCAGCCTGGATGAGATGAAGACCCTGTTTAAAAAAAAAAAAAAGTAGGCTGGGCGCGGTGGCTCACGCCTGTAATCCCAGCACTTTCAGATCACCTGAGGCCGGGAGTTTGAGACCAGCCTGACCAACATGGAGAAACCCCATCTCTACTAAAAATACAAAATTAGCTGGGCGTGGTGGCACATGCCTGTAATCCCAGCTACTCGGGAGGCTGAGGCAGGAGAATCACTTGAACCCGGGAGGCGGAGGTTGCGGTGAGCTGAGATTGCGCCACTGCACTCCAGCCTGGGCAACCAGAGTGAAATGCTGCATCAAAAAAAAAAAAAAATGTAAATGGCCAGATGCGGTGGCTCACGCCTGTGATCCCAGCACTTTGGGAGGCCGAGGCGGGTGGATCAGCTGAGGTCAGGAGTTCGAGGCCAGCCTGGCCAACATAGAGAAACCCTGTCTCGGCCGGGCGCGGTGGCTCACGCCTGTAATCCCAGCACTATGGGAGGCCGAGGCGGGCGGATCACGAGGTCAGAAGATCGAGACCATCCTGGCTAACACGGTGAAACCCCATCTCTACTAAAAATACAAAAAAAATTAGCTGGGCATAGTGGCGGGCGCCTGTAGTCCCAGCTACTTGGGAGGCTGAGGCAGGAGAATGGCGTGAACCTGGGAGGCGGAGCTTGCAGTGAGCCCAGATCGCGCCACTGCACTCCAGCCTGGGTGACAGAGCAAGACTCCATCTCAGAAAAAAACAAGAAACCCTGTCTCTACTAAAAATACAAAAACTAGCCCGGCGTGATGCGGTGCGCCTGTAATCCCAGCTTCTTGAGAGGCTGAGGCACTAGAATCACTTGAACCTGGGAGGTGGAGGTTGCAGTGAGTCGAGATTGTGCCACTGCACTCCAGCCTGGGCAACAGAGGGAGACTCCATCTCAAAAAAAAGAAAAAAAGAAAAAAATGTACTTGGGAAAAAAAATACTTGGCCAGGCCTGGTGGCTCATACCTGTAATCCCAGCACTTTGGGAGGCTGAGGTGGGCAGATCACCTGAGGTCAGGAGTTCAAGACCAGCCTGGCCAACATGGTGAAACCCCGTTTGTACTAAAAATACAAAAAAAATTAGGTGTGGTGGGGCATACCTGTAATCCCAGCTACTTGGGAGGCCGAGGCAGGAGAATCGCTTGAACCCGGGAAGAGGAGGTTGTGGTAAGCCTCGCACCATTGCACTCCAGCCTGGGCGACAGAGCAAGACTTTCTGAAAAAGAAAAAAAAAACCCTGAATTTTTCTTTTCTTTTCTTTTTTTTTTTTTTTTTGAGAGGGAGTCTCACTCGCCCAGGCTGGAGTGCAGTGGCGCGATCTTGGCTCACTGCAAGCTCCGCCTCCCAGGTTCAAGCCATTCTCCTGCCTCAGCCTCCCAAGTAGCTGGGACTACAGGCGCCCGCCACCATGCCCGGCTAATTTTTTTTTTGTATTTTTAGTAGAGACGGGGTTTCACCGTGTTAGCCAGGATGGTCTTGAGCTCCTCACCTTGTGATCTGCCCGCCTCGGCCTCCCATAGTGCTGGGATTACAGGCGTGAGCCACCGTGCCTGGCCAAAAAACCCTGAATTTTTCTAAGTACATCAAGCGTTGTCACTGCAAAAACGAAAGGCAACTATATGAAGCAGTGGATATGTTAATTAGCTGGATTGTGGTAATCATTTCACTGTATATATAACATCGCTCCATGCTGTACACTTTGACAAGTAAACGTTGTATATATTACTTTAAAAATACTTAAAAAATAGAGACAAGGTCTCCTTGTGTCGCCCAGGCTGGTCTGGAACTCCTGGGCTCTCATGCTCTTCCTGCTCCATCCTAAAATAGGATATATGTAATTATACCTCACTGAAGGGGTGGCCTGCCCCTCCACACCTGTGGGTGTTTCTTGTCAGGTGGGACGAGAGACTGAGAAAAGAAAGAGACACAGAGACAAAGTACACAGAAAGAAAAGTGGGCTCAGGAGACCCGCGCCGGCCGGGTCTCTGAGTTCCTTCAGTATTTATTGGTCATTATCTCTACCATCTCGGAGACGGGGATGTGGCAGGACAATAGGGTAACAGTGGGGAGAGGGTCAGCAGGAAAACATGTGAGCAAATGTCTGTGTCATAAACAAGGTTAGGAAATGTGCTGTGCCTTGATGTGCTCATACATAAACATATCTGGTGCATTAAAGAGCAGTATTGCTGCCAGCATGTGTCACCTCCAGCCCTAAGGCGGTTTTCCCCTATCTCGGTGGATGGAACATACCATCGGGTTTTACACCGAGACATTCCATTGCCCAGGGACGAGCAGGAGACAGATACCTTCCTCTTAACTGCAAAAAGGCCTTCCTCTTATACTAATCCTCTTCAGCACAGACCCTTTACGGGTGTCGGGCTGGGGTACGGTCTGGTCTTTCCCTTCCCACGAGGCCTTATCTCAGGCTATCACATGGGGAGAAACTTTGGACAATACCTGGCTTTTCTAGGCAGAGGTCCCTGCAGCCTTCCGCAGTGTATTGTGTCCCTGGGTGCTTGAGATTAGAGAGTGGTGATGACTTTTAACAAGCATGCTGCCTTCAAGCATCTGTTTAACAAAGCACATCCTGCATAGCCCTAAACCCACGTGTGACACAGCACATGTTTCTGGGAGCACAGGGTTGGGGCTAGGGTTACAGGTTAACAGCATCTCAAGGCAGAAGAATTTTTCTTAGTACAGAACAAAATGGAGTCTCTTATGTCTATTTCTTTCTACATAGACACAGTAACAGTCTGATCTGTCCTCCTTTTCCCCACACGTCACAGCTGGGGAAAAAGATTTGCTGTTCCCTCCAAGGGTAAAGCTGTCCACCTCTATCAGCACCCGGGCTTGGCAAGTCACTTTTTCTGTTATTTATTTTCCAGGCTGCCTCTTCCCCCCGCCCCCCCAACCCAGACGGAGTCTCGCTCTGTCGCCCAGGCTGGAGTGCGGTGGCGCGATCTCCGCTCACTGCAAGCTCCGCCTCCCGGGTTCCCGCCATTCTCCTGCCTCAGCCTCCCGAGTAGCTGGGACTACAGGCGCCCGCCACCACGCCCGGCTAATTGTTTGTATTTTTAGTAGAGACGGGGTTTCACCGTGTTAGCCAGGATGGTCTCGATCTCCTGACCTCGTGATCCGCCTGCCTCGGCCTCCCAAAGTGCTGGGATTACAGGCGTGAGCCACCGCACCCGGCCATTAGTTACTTACTTTTGAGACAGGGCCTCACTCTGTCACCCAGGCTGGCGTGCAGTGGCTGGCTCACTGCAACCTCCAAATCGTAGGCTCAAACAATCCTCCTGTGTCAGCCTCCCAAGTATCTGGG
The DNA here is from genome assembly GCF_000001405.40 of Homo sapiens. Classification (NCBI taxonomy): domain Eukaryota; kingdom Metazoa; phylum Chordata; class Mammalia; order Primates; family Hominidae; genus Homo; species Homo sapiens. The sequence goes on along the minus strand of NT_187693.1, from coordinate 925,673 downwards.
ACTACGGGTATGTTCCACCAGGCCTGGCTAAGTTTTTTTTTTTTGAGATAGAGTTTCGCTCTTGTTGCCCAGGCTGGAGTACAATGGCGCTATCTCAGCTCACTGCAACCTCCGCCTCCTGGGTTCAAGCGATTCTCCTGCCTCAGCCTCCCACGTACCTGGGATTACAGGTTCCTACCACTACACTTGGCTAGCTTTTGTATTTTTAGTAGAGATGGGGTTTCACCATGTGGGCCAGGCGGGTCTCAAACTCCTGACATCAGGCGATCCACCTGCCTCAGCCTCCCAAAGTGCTGGGATTCCAGGCCTGAGCCACCATACCCGGCCAGTACAGTTATATTTATATCTGTCCTCTTGCTATTTGTTTTCAATGTGTCATTCAGTGGTGGGCTGAAATGTTAAACAAGTGGCTCTGAGGGTTGGTGGCGAGGAAGTCTTGGTTTGTAGTGTTTGCTGATTTGTTTTTTTGTTTGTTTGAGACAGAGTCTTGTTCTTGTTGCCGAGGCTCGAGTGCAATGGCGTGATCTCAGATCATGCAACCTCCACCTCCCAGGTTCAAGTGTGATTCTCCTGTCTCGGCCTCCTGAGTAGCTGGGATTACAGGCACCCGCCTGTAATTTCTGTATTTTTAGTAGAGATGGGGTTTCGCCGTGTTGGTCAGGCTGGTCTTGAGCTCCCGACCTCAGGTTATCCACCCGCCTTGGCCTCCCAAAGTGCTGGGATTACAGGCGTGAGCCACCGCGCCCTGCCGTGTTTGCTGATTTCTGTGGCATAAACACTCCCCTTGTGATTTTGTACTATCAGTGTGAAATCACAGCCCATGGACGTTGGTATAGGTACATATAGGAAGCCCCCATTAGGCAGCACGGGCTGGCCCTAGCATACCACTGACCCTTCATTCTTTGTATTCTTTTTTTTTTTTTTTTTTTTTTTTTTGAGACGGAGTCTCGCTCTGTCGCCCAGGCTGGAGTGCAATGGTGAGATCTCTGCTCACTGCAAGCTCCACTTCCCGGGTTCACACCATTCTCCTGCCTCAGCCTCCCGAGTAGCTGGGACTACAGGTGCCCGCCACCACGCCCTGCTAATTTTTTGTATTTTTTTAGTAGAGGCAGGGGTTTCACTGTGTTAGCCAGGATGGTCTCGATCTCCTGATATCGTGATCCATCCGCCTCGGCCTCCCAAAGTGCTGGGATTACAGGCGTGAGCCACCGTGCCCAGCCTTTTGTTCGTTCTTTTTACCAAGTTAGCCAGGCTGGTCTCGAACTCCTGGCCGCAGGCGTGAGCCACCGTGCTGGGCCAGATTTTCAGTCTCTTAATTCAGTCTTTGGAATATTTTACCACTCACTGTACAGCAGGAACAGTCTTGTTCTTGGCACACAGGAAACTGTGGTTTCATTTAATGATGGTAACTCGTGAACTGTTTTTCCTTTTTTCCCCCCAGTTCTTCAGCCTTAACCTAAGGTCTCATACTCGGAGCACTATGACATCGCCCCAGCTAGAGTGGACTCTGCAGACCCTTCTGGAGCAGCTGAACGAGGATGAATTAAAGAGTTTCAAATCCCTTTTATGGGCTTTTCCCCTCGAAGACGTGCTACAGAAGACCCCATGGTCTGAGGTGGAAGAGGCTGATGGCAAGAAACTGGCAGAAATTCTGGTCAACACCTCCTCAGAAAATTGGATAAGGAATGCGACTGTGAACATCTTGGAAGAGATGAATCTCACGGAATTGTGTAAGATGGCAAAGGCTGAGATGATGGGTAAGTAGAACCTGGGGTGTCCTGGTCATTTTTTTTTTTTTTTTTTTTTTTTTGAGATGGAGTCTCGTTCTGTCGCCCAGGCTGGAGTGTAAGGCTGGAGTGCAGTGGCGAGATCTGGGCTCACTGCAACCTCCGCCTCTGGGTTCAAGTGATTCTCCTATCTCAGCCTCCGGAGTAGCTGGGATTACAGGCGTGTTTCACCACACCTGGCTAATTTTTTTTTTTTTGTATTTTTAGTAGAGATGGGGTTTTGCCATGTTGGCCAGGCTGGTCTTGATCTCCTGACCTTGTGATCCGCCCACCTCAGCCTTCCAAAGTGCTGTGATTACAGGCATGAGCCACCATGCCTGGCTGACACTTTATGTACAATAATGTCTGATTTACGAAGTGTAAATTACTGTGTCAGGCTTACATCTAAGTATTTTACAGAGGACGGACAGGTGCAAGAAATAGATAATCCTGAGCTGGGAGATGCAGAAGAAGACTCGGAGTTAGCAAAGCCAGGTGGGTAAATACGGTCCTATGGTCATGAGTTTGGTGTTTGAGAGCATGCAAGGTGCATCACTTCTTCCTGGTTTTATTCATTTCTGGTAGTTTTTTTTTTTTTTGAGACGGAATCTTGCTCTGTAGCCCAGGCTGGAGTGTAGTGGCTCCGTCTCTGCTCATTGCAACCTCTGCCTCCCGGGTTCAAGCAATTCTCTGCCTCAGCCTCCTGAGTAGCCGGGATTACAGGCGGCCGCCACTACCCCCAGCTAATGTTTTGTATTTTTAGTAGAGATGGGGTTTCACTATCTTGGCCAGGCTGGTCTTGAACTCCTGACCTCAAGTGATCCACCCACCTTGGCCTCCCAAAGTGCCGGGATTACAAGCATGAGACACCGTGCCTGGCCCTCATTTCTGGTACTTGACAAAATAATTCAGAAAATCATCATCATCAACCTCAACTGTCCTATGGGCTGTCACTGCAGGTGAAAAGGAAGGATGGAGAAATTCAATGGAGAAACAGTCTTTGGTCTGGAAGAACACCTTTTGGCAAGGAGACATTGACAATTTCCATGACGACGTCACTCTGAGAAACCAACGGTTCATTCCATTCTTGAATCCCAGAACACCCAGGAAGCTAACACCTTACACGGTGGTGCTGCACGGCCCCGCAGGCGTGGGGAAAACCACGCTGGCCAAAAAGTGTATGCTGGACTGGACAGACTGCAACCTCAGCCCGACGCTCAGATACGCGTTCTACCTCAGCTGCAAGGAGCTCAGCCGCATGGGCCCCTGCAGTTTTGCAGAGCTGATCTCCAAAGACTGGCCTGAATTGCAGGATGACATTCCAAGCATCCTAGCCCAAGCACAGAGAATCCTGTTCGTGGTCGATGGCCTTGATGAGCTGAAAGTCCCACCTGGGGCGCTGATCCAGGACATCTGCGGGGACTGGGAGAAGAAGAAGCCGGTGCCCGTCCTCCTGGGGAGTTTGCTGAAGAGGAAGATGTTACCCAGGGCAGCCTTGCTGGTCACCACGCGGCCCAGGGCACTGAGGGACCTCCAGCTCCTGGCGCAGCAGCCGATCTACGTAAGGGTGGAGGGCTTCCTGGAGGAGGACAGGAGGGCCTATTTCCTGAGACACTTTGGAGACGAGGACCAAGCCATGCGTGCCTTTGAGCTAATGAGGAGCAACGCGGCCCTGTTCCAGCTGGGCTCGGCCCCCGCGGTGTGCTGGATTGTGTGCACGACTCTGAAGCTGCAGATGGAGAAGGGGGAGGACCCGGTCCCCACCTGCCTCACCCGCACGGGGCTGTTCCTGCGTTTCCTCTGCAGCCGGTTCCCGCAGGGCGCACAGCTGCGGGGCGCGCTGCGGACGCTGAGCCTCCTGGCCGCGCAGGGCCTGTGGGCGCAGATGTCCGTGTTCCACCGAGAGGACCTGGAAAGGCTCGGGGTGCAGGAGTCCGACCTCCGTCTGTTCCTGGACGGAGACATCCTCCGCCAGGACAGAGTCTCCAAAGGCTGCTACTCCTTCATCCACCTCAGCTTCCAGCAGTTTCTCACTGCCCTGTTCTACGCCCTGGAGAAGGAGGAGGGGGAGGACAGGGACGGCCACGCCTGGGACATCGGGGACGTACAGAAGCTGCTTTCCGGAGAAGAAAGACTCAAGAACCCCGACCTGATTCAAGTAGGACACTTCTTATTCGGCCTCGCTAACGAGAAGAGAGCCAAGGAGTTGGAGGCCACTTTTGGCTGCCGGATGTCACCGGACATCAAACAGGAATTGCTGCAATGCAAAGCACATCTTCATGCAAATAAGCCCTTATCCGTGACCGACCTGAAGGAGGTCTTGGGCTGCCTGTATGAGTCTCAGGAGGAGGAGCTGGCGAAGGTGGTGGTGGCCCCGTTCAAGGAAATTTCTATTCACCTGACAAATACTTCTGAAGTGATGCATTGTTCCTTCAGCCTGAAGCATTGTCAAGACTTGCAGAAACTCTCACTGCAGGTAGCAAAGGGGGTGTTCCTGGAGAATTACATGGATTTTGAACTGGACATTGAATTTGAAAGGTAAGAACTGTTTTCCCATCCCACGCTCCACTAGGAAGAGGCCAGCGTCTCCTTTGCCCTGTCGCTTACTGTCAGAATTTCCCTCTGGCTGGACTTCTTTCCAGCTTCATGTTCAACGTGGAGACACGACTTGGCAATTAGGAATTGGGGCTTTTTATTTTTGAGACGGAGTCTCGCTCTGTCCCCCAGGCTGGAGTGCAGTGGCGCGATCTTGGCTCACTGCAACCTCCGCCTCCCGGGTTCAAGTGATTCTCCTGCCTCAGCCTCCCGAGTAGCTGGGACTATGGGCGTGCACCACCTTGCCCGGTTAATTATTTTATTTTTTTGTAGAGATGGGGGTCTCAGTTTCTAGCCCAAGTTGGTCTTAAACTCCTGGGCTCAAGTGATCTTCCCACTTTGGCCTAGCAAAGTGTTGGGATTACAGGCATGAGCCACCTCACTCAGCCTTATCTATTATTTTATTTTTTTTGTAAAACTTAAGATCTATACTGGTAGCAAAGCATGTGATGCAATATTGTTTACTATAGACACTGTTTTAGGTTGGTGCAAAAGTAATTGTGGTTTTTGCCATTGAAATGTGGTTTGCAGATGCCCATCTCACCATGCAGGTACTAGTCCTAAGAGATGAACGTGTGTTCTCCTGCAGGTGCACTTACCTAACCATTCCGAACTGGGCTCGGCAGGATCTTCGCTCTCTTCGCCTCTGGACAGATTTCTGCTCTCTCTTCAGCTCAAACAGCAACCTCAAGTTTCTGGAAGTGAAACAAAGCTTCCTGAGTGACTCTTCTGTGCGGATTCTTTGTGACCACGTAACCCGTAGCACCTGTCATCTGCAGAAAGTGGAGTAAGTAGAAGCTCATCTTGCAAGGAAGACCCTGAACGATGACTAAGCTTCTTGTACTTTTGTTTTTTAAATTTGGAAATGTGCTGTTTCATCTCCATGTATTTGGGGATTTTCCAGCTGTCTTTTTTTTTTTTTTTTTTTTTGGTGAGACGGAGATTTACTCTTGTTGCCCAGGCTGGAGTGCAATGGCGCGATCTCAGCTCACTGCATCCTCCACCTCCCAGGTTCAAGCAATTCTCCTGCCTCAGCCTCCCGAGTAGCTGGGATTACAGGCATGTGCCACCTTGCCCGGCTAATTTTGTACTTTTAGCACAGACAGGTTTTCACCGTGTTGCCCAGGCTGATCTCGAGCTCCTGACCTCAGGTGATTTGCCTGCCTCGGCCTTCCAAAGTGCTGGGATTATAGGCATGAGCCGCTGCACCTGGCCCCTTTTTTATTTTTTATTTTTTCTGAGACAGAGTTTCACTCTGTCACCTAGGCGCTGGAGTGCAATGACTTAATCTTGTGTTTTTAGTAGAGGTGGAATTTTCTCCATCTTGGCCAGGCTTGTCTCGAACTCCTGACCTAAGGTGATGCGCCTGCCTCGGTCTTCGAAAGTGCTGGGATTACAGGCATGAGCCACCATGCCTGGCCCCAGCTATCTTTTTTTTGGTTTGTTTTGTTACCAAAACAAACCAAAAAGTAGGTACAAGTACAGGTTAGTTACACAGGTAACCGTGTGTCATAGGAGTTTGTTGTACAGATTATTTTGTCACCCAAGTATTAAGCCTAGTACCCCTTAGTTGTTTTTCCTGATCCTCTGCTTCTTGACTTTTTTTTTTTTTTTTGAGACAGTCTCGCTATGTTCCCCAGGCTGGAGTGCAGTGCAGCAATCTCGGCTCACTGCAAGCCCTGCCTCCCGGGTTCATGCCATTCTCCTGCCTCAGCCTCCCGAGTAGCTGGGACTACAGGCGCCCGCCACCACGCCCGGCTAGTTTTTTGTAATTTTAGTAAAGACGGGGTTTCACCGTGTTAGCCAGGATGGTCTTGATCTCCTGACCTCGTGATCCACCCGCCTCGGCCTCGGCCTCCCAAAGTGCTGGGATTACAGGCGTGAGCCACCACACCCGGCGAATTTTTTTTTCTTTTGAGATGGAGTCTTGCTCTGTTGCCCAGGCTGGAGTGCAGTGGTGCGGTCTCGGCTCACTGCAACCTCTGCCTCCTGGATTCAAGTGATTCTCCTACCTCAGCCTCCCGAATACCTGGGACTACAAGCATGCCCCTCCATGTGCAGCTAATTTTTGTATTTTTAGTAGAGACGGGGCTTCCCCATGTTGGCCAGGCTGGTCTCGAACTCCTGACCTCAGGCGATCTGCCTGCCTCGGCCCCAGCTAATTTATTTTTTGTAGAGATGGAGTTTCACCATGTTGCCCAGGTTGGTCTCAGACTCCTGACCTCAGGTTATCCTCCTGCCTCAGCCTCCCAAAGTGCTGGGGTTACAGACACGAGCCACTGCACCCGGCCAAGAACTTCTAATAATTTCTAAATGTGAAACAGCTTTTTGTTTATACATGCCTCCACACAATGTGAGTATTAATCACTCCAAGTGGAATCTCTTCTGCTTTTCCCTAGGATTAAAAACGTCACCCCTGACACCGCGTACCGGGACTTCTGTCTTGCTTTCATTGGGAAGAAGACCCTCACGCACCTGACCCTGGCAGGGCACATCGAGTGGGAACGCACGATGATGCTGATGCTGTGTGACCTGCTCAGAAATCATAAATGCAACCTGCAGTACCTGAGGTGGGTCTCACGGTCACGGCTCTCCCCAGCACCTGGAGTCCACTGCACCGTGTTGCTGGGGGATCTAGGAAAAAGGGTAACCACTCCAGATGCCGTCCCAGACAGGGAATGTATTCCTCAAACAGGCCTGTGTGGGGGAGTCGGCCTCTCCTCTTTCCCCCACCAGCTTGTCTTCTGTGTTGCATAACCAGCTATCCATGCAAAGAAACACCCCGAATTCTGTGCTGGGTTCCAGCTTTAGGGACATGCTATTCCTGACTGCACCTTGCCTAATTGTTGGGATTGAGAGCAGTGGCCCCCAGCCTTTTCTGCACCGCGGGCCGGTTTTGCACAAGACAGTTTTTTCCACAGACGGGTTTGGGGGTAGTTTTGGGATGAAACTGTTCGATCTCAGATCAGGCACAGGAGCTAATCGTTGGTGCCTGATCCTATGGAGTGCATGATCCTCGCACTTTGGGAGCCTGAGGAGAATGGATCATCAATCTCAGATCATCAGGAGTTAGGTATTCATAAGGAGCATGCAACCTTCTCTGCACTCAATGAGAATCTTTTTTTTTTTTTTTTTTCTTTGAGACAGTTTTATTCTTGTCACCCAGGCTGGAGCGCAGTGGCGCGATCTCGTTCACTGCAACCTCCGCCTCCTGGGTTCAAGCAGTTCTGCCTCAGCTTCCCGAGTAGCTGGGGTTACAGGCGTGCACCACCACGCCTGGCAAATGTTTGTATTTTTAATAGAGACAGGGTTTCACCATGTTGGCCAGGCTGGTCTCGAACTCCTGACCTCAAGTGATCCGCCTGTCTCGGCCTCCCAAAGTGCTAGGATTACAGGCATGAACCACTGCGCCTGGCCAGGATAAAATTTTTATTTTGAGTATTAAGCATCAATTTGCCCCTTCTAGTCCCAGCTACAGTGGATGCTGAGGTGGGAGGATCATTTGAGCCCAGGAGACAGGTTGTGGTGACCTGTGATCATGCCACTGCACTCCAGCCTGGGCAACAGAGCGAGATCCTGTCTCAAAAAAAAAATTTTTTTTTCCCCCCTGCAAAATCATCCACACAGGCCGTTTTGGTGAAACATTGCACAGAATTGTATTACAATCTCTTGGAGAAGTGGCTGGATGTTACCCTAATGGCCATGGGGATACTTGAAGAAGCAGAGGCAACATTAGATCTCTCCAGTAATTCAGGCCAGGGTTGGAGGCATGAGTAGAATGAGATAAACCAAAGACATAATGTCTTGGGAAGTGAAGCAGAAGAAGCTGATCTGGGCCAGGCGCGGTGGCTCACACCTGTAATCCCAGTACTTCGGTAGGCCAAGGTGGGTGGATCACCTGAGGTCAGGAGTTCAAGACCAGTGTGGCCAACATGGTGAAATCCCGTCTCTACTAAAAATACAAAAATTGGCGAATGCCTGTAATCCCAGCTACTTCGGAGGCTGAGGCAGGAGAATAGCTTGAACCCGGGAGGCGGAGGCTGCAGTGAGGTGAGATCACGCCTTTGCATTCCAGACTGGGCAACAGAGTGAAACTCTGTCTCAAAAAAAAAAAGCTGATAGGGTATACTCTGTCCTCCCAGAAGAATGACTTTTCCCACTCTTTTCACAGGTTGGGAGGTCACTGTGCCACCCCGGAGCAGTGGGCTGAATTCTTCTATGTCCTCAAAGCCAACCAGTCCCTGAAGCACCTGCGTCTCTCAGCCAATGTGCTCCTGGATGAGGGTGCCATGTTGCTGTACAAGACCATGACACGCCCAAAACACTTCCTGCAGATGTTGTCGTAAGTCTCCTCTTCCCATGGGCAGCTCTGGTTTAGTTCTGGGGCTATAGAAGAGAAAGGGTAACACCTGACTTACTGCGCCACCCACGTGGCGCCTCTTGCTGAAATAAACACCTGCTTCAGGCCCGGCACGGTGGCTCCTGCCTGTAATCTCAGCAGAGAGGTGGGCGGATCATCTGAGTTCAGGAGTTCGAGACCAACCTGGCCAACATGGTGAAACCCTGTTTCTATTAAAAATACCAAAAACAGGCCGGGTGCGGTGGCTCATGCCTGTAATCCCAGCACGTTGGGAGGCCAAGGCGGGGAGATCACGAGGTCAAGAGATCGAGACCATCCTGGCTAACATGGTGAAACCCCGTCTCTACTAAAAAATACAAAAAATTATCCAGGTGTGGTGGGCGCCTGTAGTCCCAGCTACTCAGGAGGCTGAGTCAGCAGAATGGTGTAAACCTGGGAGGCGGCGATTGGCAGTGAACCGAGATCGCGCCACTGCACTCCAGCCTGGGCGACAGAGCGAGACTCCGTCTCAAAAACAACACCTGTGTCCTGTGATGGCTCCAGGTGGACCGCTGCATCTTGGCCTTCTCGCCTTCCTGCTCTTTTGTGGCCATGATGACTCCCACAGGACAGAGGGCAGGGGATGAACAGGAAGGGCTGAAGCTGAGTACCCTAGCATGTGGACATCACTGAGCAGGTTGGAGTTGTGGAAATGTTCTCATCCTTCTACCATTTGTTTCATATTTTTGCAGGTTGGAAAACTGTCGTCTTACAGAAGCCAGTTGCAAGGACCTTGCTGCTGTCTTGGTTGTCAGCAAGAAGCTGACACACCTGTGCTTGGCCAAGAACCCCATTGGGGATACAGGGGTGAAGTTTCTGTGTGAGGGCTTGAGTTACCCTGATTGTAAACTGCAGACCTTGGTGTAAGTCCCTGCTGGGTGTGTGTGTGTGTGCACATGAATTCAAGCAGGAGAGACATGAAAGTACTTGTTAATTCATTTCAAATGTAACTTTTAAAAACCTGGTAAGAATTAAAGAACAGGCAGAGGCCAGGCGTGGTGGCTCATGCCTGTAATCCCAGCACTTTGGGAGGCCGAGGCGGGTGGATCATGAGGTCAGGAGATGGAGACCATCCTGGTTAACATGGTGAAACCCTGTCTGTACTAAAAATACCAAAAATTAGCCAGGTGTGGTGGCGGATGCCTGTAGTCCCAGCTACTTGGGAGGATGAGACAGGAGAATGGCGTGAACCTGGAAGGCGGAGGTTGCAGTGAGCCGAGATCGCACCACTGCACTCCAGCCTGGGCGACAGAACAAGACTCCTTCTCAAAAAAACAAAGAAACAAAAAAAACCAGGCAGATACAGGTAGAAACATGTTAATATTTGCATGTCAGCAGAGCCTCTTCCTGCTATGAAGGAAGATTTGAGATGAGTAGTTGGTTCTCGGATCTGATGCTTTGTGTGTGTTCTTTCAAATTCCTATGACATAGTACTGCCTGCTATTGGAGGTAGATTGAGTTATGTGGTAGGGCCAGTGGCACCTTTTTTTAAACTTTTATTTCCATAGGTTATTGGGGAACAGGTGGTGAATGGTGGGCAGATCACCTAAGGTTCGAGACCAGCCTGGCCAACATGGTGAAAACCCATCGCTACTAAAAAATACAAAAATTAACCAGGCTTGGTGGTGCGTGCCTATAGTACCAGCTACTCAGAAGGCTGAGGTAGGAGAATCGCTTGAATCTGGGAGGCAGAGGCTGCAGTGAGCTGAGATGGCGCCACTGCACTCCAGCCCGGGCGACAGAGTGAGACTCCGTCTCAAGAAAAAAACAAAAAAAAACTCAACAAAAATCCTTATTTGTAAAAGACATAGGTGGCAGGTTGGAATTGACCCACGAACTATAGTTGGCTGAATCTTGTTATATGGAAAGAAGCCCAGCGTGAGCTACCTGTTCACATTAAAATTATGGTTAGAAAAATATTCAAGAGATTGCATAGGGTTGAAGACCTGTTCCTGTTCAGAAATTCTAGCTAGTGGTCATTTCTGAGATTCATTTTTTTTTTTTTGGATGAAGTCTCACTCTGTCGCCCAGACTGGAATGCAGTGGTGTAATCTTGGCTGACTGCAACTTCTGCCTCCCAGGTTCAAGCGATTCTCCTGCCTCAGCCTCCCAAGTAGCTGGGATTACAGGTGCCCTCCACCATGCCTGGCTAATTTTTGCACTTTTAGTGGAGATGAGGTTTCACCATGTTGGCCAGGCTGGTCTTGAACTCCTGGCCTTAAGTGATCTGCCTGCCTCGGCCTCCCAAAGTGCTGGCGTTCCAGGCATGAGCCACTGTGCCTGGCTTAGAATAACTATTGTTAAACAAACAGTCACCTACCTGATCGTTATACGAAGTGTACCTGCACCAAAACATCACACTATACCCCTATATATGTAGAATGTGTCAGTTAAAGACAAAACTTAAACATGAAATAAAATGACAGGGAAAGTGAAATTTCCATAATCTAACCACGCAGAAAATAAGTGACCCAGGGCTCAGATCCTGTCCTGGGTCGGTCTGAACCCAGAGCCTAAGCTGTTGTCCCAGGCAGAGCTGGAAATGGATGGAATCAGAAGGCCATTTGGATGTTTTTTTTTTTTTTTTAACAGTCTCTCTCTGTCACCAGGCTGGAGTGCAGTGGTGCGATCTTGGCTCACTGCAACCTCCGCTTCCTGGGTTCAAGTAATTCTCCTACCTCAGCCTCCTGAGTAGCTAGGATTACAGGCATGGGCCGCCACACCTGGCTAATTTTTTTTTTTTTTTGAGATGGAGTTTCGCTCTTGCCCAGGCTGGAGTGCAATGGTGCAATCTCTGCTCACCACAACCTCCGTCTCCCCAGTTCAAGAGATTCTCCTGCCTCAGCCTCCTGAGTAGCTGGGATTACAGGCATGTGCCACCACACCTGGCTAATTTTGTATTTTTAGTAGAGACGGGTTTCTCCATATTGCTTAGGCTGGTCTTGAACTCCCGACCTCAGGTGATCTGTCTGCCTCAGCCTCCCAAAGTGCTGAGATTACAGGTGTGAGCCATCGTGCCCAGCTAATTTTTGTATTTAGTAAAGATGGGGTTTCACCACTTTGGCCAGGCTGGTCTTGAACTCCTGATCTTGTGATTCACCCACCTTGGTCTCCCAAAGTGCTGAGATTACAGGTTTGAGCCACCGCGCCCGGCCCGATTTTTGTATTTTTTAGTAGAGATGGGGTTTCACCATGTTGGCCAGGCTGGTCTTGAACTCCTGACCTCAAATGATCTGCCCGTCTTGGCCTCCCACTGCTGTGATTATAGGCGTGAGCCACTGTGCCCGGCCCATTTGCATGCTTTTATGTGCAAGCCCACCTGGAAGTATATAGCTCCAGTTCATGGGTCAATTCCTACCTGCCACCTATGTTTTATATAAATACTTTTTGTTGTTGTTGTTGTTTTCTTGAGACGGAGTCTCGCTCTGTCGCCCGGGCTGGAGTGCAGTGGCGCGATCTCAGCTCACTGCAGCCTCTGCCTCCCGGATTCAAGCGATTCTCCTGCCTCAGTCTTCTGAGTAGCTGGCACTACAGGCGTGCACCACCAAGTCTGGTTATATAGGTGGCGGGCACCTATAATCCCAGCTACTTGGGAGGCTGAGGCAGAAGAATCGCTTGAACCTGGGAGGCAGAGGTTGCAGTGAGCCAAGAGTGCAGCACTGCATTCCAGTATATAAGTGGAAGGTATATAGTGTTGGAAATAACTGCTTCACAGGGCGTTAGCCAGAGGGATAACAGGCTTCTCTTCCTTTGATTATCCTGTAGGTTACAGCAATGCAGCATAACCAAGCTTGGCTGTAGATATCTCTCAGAGGCGCTCCAAGAAGCCTGCAGCCTCACAAACCTGGACTTGAGTATCAACCAGATAGCTCGTGGATTGTGGATTCTCTGTCAGGCATTAGAGAATCCAAACTGTAACCTAAAACACCTACGGTAGGCGATTTTCTTTTTCTTCTTTCTTTCTTTTTTTGAGACAGGGTCTTGCTCTGTCCCCCAGCCTGGAGTGCAGTGGGGTGATTACGGCTCACTGCGGCTTCGGTCTTCCAGGCTTGATCGGTTCTCCCACCTCAGCCTCCTGAGTAGCTGGCTCTACAGGCATGTATTACCATGGCCAGGTAACTGTTTTCTGTAGAGATGAGGTCTTGTCATCTTTCCCGGGCTGGTTTTGAATTCTGGTGCTCAAGGAATCCTCCCACCTCGGCCTCCCAATGTGCTAGGATTACAGGCATGAGCCATCATGCCTGGCCTCATTTTTAAAGTGTTTGGAAATCTGGAAATCCTTAATTTCTATGTTTTCTTTTTTTTTTTTTTTTTTTGAGACGGAGCCTCGTTCTAGTTGCCCAGGCTGGAGTGCAGTGGCGCGATCTCGGCTTACTGCAACCTCTTCCTCCCGGGTTCTCGCTATTCTCCTGCCTCAGCCTCCTGAGTAGCTGGGACTACAGATGCCCGCCACCGTGCCTGGCTAATTTTTTTTGTATTTTTAGTAGAGATGGGTTTCACAGTGTTAGCCAGGATGGTCTCGATCTCCTGACCTCATGATCTGCCCGCCTTGGCCTTCCAAAGTGCTGGGATTACAGGCGTGAGCCACCACGCCCGGCCAATTTCTATGTTTTCAATATCTCAGACTGTATCACTTCGGATCCAGTTTTAAGATCAAACCCCTCCAGAAACTGAATATATGTGGGTGGGCACTTCTAAAGTCAGGTAGAGGGCCTGGAGAAGTGAAATATATATAACAATGGCCCCCAGTGACCTGGACTTCAGCAGCATGCTGCTTCTGCTGGGATCCAGTAATCAGGAAGCAGTGAGCCTGCCCCACCTCATAAACCCAGGGAACCATAGGTGGGATACCACCCCCAGAAAATGCAAAGTCTCCACAAATGGAATGGCGAGCTCTTCATCACTTCTCTCCCCAAAGTTTGTCAGTTGCATCTCTTGGATGCAACCTATTTTCCAACTAGAATCTGCAATCCTAATGCAAAGAGAATCTGCACGTCATTACTACTTAGCTTTGCTGTAGAGTAAAGAAAAAAAACACTAGAACACAGGGTACTTTTTTTCTTTTTTCAGACAGAGTCTCGCTTTGTCACCCAGGCTGGAGTGCAGTGGTGCGATCTTGGCTCACTGCAACCTCAGCCTCCAAGGTTCAAGCGATTCTCCTGATTGAGCTGAGTAGTTGGGATTACAGGCGTGCACCACCATACCCAGCTAATTTTTGTATTTTTAGTAGAGACCAGGTTTCACCATGTTAGCCAGACTGGTCTCAAACTCCTGACCTCAAGTGATCCACCTGCCTCAACCTCCCAAAGTGCTGGGATTACAGGCATGAGCCACCATTCCTGGCCTCCTGAAGTTTCTTAACCCATCCCCCTGAGGAATATTTCAAGCCTCAAGCCAGACCGTGATACCTTTATTTCCAAAGACTCAAAAGCTCAATGCAAACGGGTGGATTACCTGGTGTCTTGTTCCTGTAATCTCAGCTATGACTGTAATCCTAGATTCTCGGGAGGCTGGGGCAGGAGAATCGCTTGAACCCAGGAGGCGGAGGTTGCAGTGAGCCGAGATCACGCCATTGCACTCCAGCCTTGGCAACAAGAGTGAAACTCTGCCTTAAAAAAAACAAAACCAAAGGCTTCTACAGTGGCCTACAGGGCCTTATGGGGGATCCTCGTGTAAGTTATGAGCCATAAATCATTCTACTTTCTCACTAGCTCAGTATTTTATTTACAAGATTCCCTCCCCCAGTTAGCATGCTGGTTCATGATCTACCATCCTTCAGTTTCTTTCCTCATATCACTTTCCAAAAGAGGACTTAAATGACCAGCATAAGTCTAGCCAATCAATGCCTCTCTGTTTGACTTACCTCTACCCTGTTTATTTTAATACCATCATCCATTGTCTTCAATAGAACATATCGAGATGTCTGCTGTCACTAAAAACTCTGAGGACAAGGATTTCTTCTGCTCACTCCCCTCTGCCTTTCCTCACTACTGGAGCCCCAGCAAATATGCTGCTTGTTTTTTTGTTTTGTTTTGTTTGAGACCAAGTCTCACTCTTTCACCCAAGCTGGAATGCAGTGGTGATATGTTGGCTAACTACAACCTCTGCCTCCTGGTTCAGGCGATTCTCCTGCCTCTCGAGTAGCTGGAATTATAGGTGGTTCCACCATACCTGGCTAATTTTTGTATTTTCATTTTATGTTATATATTTGTGAGATGGAGTCTCATTCTATTGCCCAGGCTGGAGTGCAGTGGCGCAATCTGGGCTCACTGTAACCTCCGCCTCCCAGGCTGAAGCGATTCTTGTGCCTCAGCCTCCCAAGTAGCTAGCATTAAAGGCACACACCACCATGCATGGCTAATTTTTTGTAGAGATGGGGTTTTGCCATGTTGGCCTGGCTGGTCTCGAACTCCTGACCTCAGGTGATCTACCCTCCTCGGCCTCCCAAGGTGCTGGGGCTACAGGTGTCTGTCCCCACGCCCTGCCTAATCTTTGTATTTTTAGTAGAGATGGGGTTTGACCGTGTTGGCAAGGCTGGTCTCGAACACCTGGCCTCAAGTGATCCACCCGCCTTGGCCTCCCGAAGTGTTGGGATTACACGCTTGAGCCACTACCTGCTCAGTGAATGCGTGGATTTCCATGTTCTTCCTCAACAGCCTCTGGAGCTGCTCCCTCATGCCTTTCTATTGTCAGCATCTTGGATCTGCTCTCCTCAGCAATCAGAAGCTTGAAACTCTGGACCTGGGCCAGAATCATTTGTGGAAGAGTGGCATAATTAAGCTCTTTGGGGTTCTAAGACAAAGAACTGGATCCTTGAAGATACTCAGGTATGGGTTTTTTGTTTTGTTTTGTTTTGTTTTTTGTTTTTGTTTTTTTGAGATGGAGTCGTGCTCTGTCATTCAGGCTGGAGTGCAGTGGCGCAATCTTGGCTCACCGCAACCTCTGCCTCTCAGGTTCAAGCAATTCTCCTGCCTCAGCCTCATGAGTAGCTGGGCCTAGAGGCATGCCAACATGTCCAGCTAATTTTTTTCTTTTTCTTTTTTTTTTTTTGAGACGGAGTTTTGTTCTTGTAGCCCAGGCTGGAGTGCAGTGGTGCGATCTTGGCTCACTGCAACCCCCACCTCCTGGGTTCAAGCGATTCTCCCACCTTGGCCTCCCAAGTAGCTGGAATTACAGATGCCTGCCACCATGCCTGGCTAATTTTTTAGTAGAGAGGGGTTTCACCATGTTGGCCAGGCTAGTCTTGAACTCCTGACCTCAGGTGAGCCACCTGCCTCGGCCTCCCAAAGTGGTGGGATTACAGAGGTGAGCCATTGCACCCGGCCTTTTTGGTTTTTGCTTTTTGGGATGGAGTCTCACTGTTGCCCAGGCTGGAGTGCAGTGGCGCGATCTTGACTCACTGCAGCCTCCTTCTCACAGGTTGAAGCGATTTTCCTGCCTCAACCTCCTGAGTAGCTGGGATTACAGGTACACACCACCACAGCTGGCTAATTTTTTTTTTTTTTTTTTTTTTTTAAAGACAGAGTCTCTCTCTGTCCCCCAGGCTGGAGTGCAGTGGCGCTATCTCGGCTCAGTGCAACCTCTGCCTCCTGGGTTCAAGTGATTCTCCTGCCTCAGCCTCCTGAGTAGCTAGGATTACAGTCGCTCGCCACCACACCCAGCTAATTTTTGTATTTTTAGTAGAGATGGGGTTTTGCCATGTTGGCCAGGCTGGTCTCGAGCTCCTGACCTCAGGTGATCTTCTCGCCTTGGCCTCCCAAAGTGCTGGGATTACAGGCATGAGCCACTGCACCTGGCCAATTTTTGTAGTTTTTAGTAGAGATGGGGTTTCACCATGTTGGTCAGGTTGGTCTCAAACTCCCAACCTCAGGTGATCCACCTGCCTCAGCCTCTCAAAGTGCCGGGATTACAGGCGTGAGCCACTGTGCTCGGCCCTGGGATGGCTGTTTCACATGGTGAATTTCCCATGCAGAGAAGAGTTTTTTTGGGAGTGTGTGTACTCTTTGTAGGGATCAACTTAAGGCATCTTTCTATAGCACACTCCTAGCTTAGGAGATAATTTAAAAATTAGATACTTTTCTAAAATGCTCTGTGAATTGAATATTGTCCAACTTTCCCCCAAAACACTTAGTCCTAGGCATACTGAGAGTTTAAATCATCCTGGAGTACAGACTGGAAGCTTGTGTGTATGTGTGTGCATGAGCACACACACACACACACACACACCCCTAATCATTATATCCAAAAATAGGTAGTTCCCAGAGCTGTCCTGGGTCTTAGCTTTTCAGAAGATCGTCCTACAGATGCTCCCTTAGTTGTGACCCGTGTATATCTTTTCAATGACTTATTTGTATTTTTTATTTTTTTTTGAGACGGAGTCTTTTTTTTGAGACGGAGTCTGTCTTTTTTTTTGAATCTGTCTTTTTTTTGAGACAGAGACTCCAGTCTCTGTCGCCCAGGCTGGAGTGAAGCGGTGCGATCTCGGCTCACTGCAAGCTCCACCTCCCGGGTTCACGCCATTCTCCTGCCTCAGCCTCCCGAGCAGCTGGGACTACAGGCGCCCGCCACCACGCCCGGCTAATTTTTTGTATTTTTAGTAGAGATGGGGTTTCACTATGTTGGCCAGGCTGGTCTCGAATTCCTGACCTCAGGTGATCTGCCCACCTCGGCCTCCCAAAGTGCTGGGATTACAGGCGTGAGCCACCGCGCCCGGCCTCAGTGACTTATTTTAACGTAATCTACCTTTAGTTTCTTCTTGCCTTTGTCTTTTCTTTTCTGAGACAACGTTTTGCTCTGCTGCACTGTGTGGCCGTGTTGCCGAGGTTCTCAAACTCCTGGCTTCAAACGATCCTCCTGTCTTGGCCTCACAAAGTACCCGGATTGCAGGCGTGAGCCACTGTGCACAGCCCACTTGTCTTATTCAAGAGTTATTTTAGTTGTAGAGATGATACGCATGTAAACTGCTTCATGATGCCCAGTGTTGCATTATTGGAACGCTAAGCATGTGGGAGTTATTTATATCCTGCTCAAGGTACGATTTTTCACACGTCTGCAGTTCAAATAATTGTAACCTCTGGCATAAATGGGTTAAGGTTTTAGGGGTATATCATGAAACTTGAGCTAAATAGTGTCATGCTTCTCTTGTTGGTGGGACCGAGGTCTGTAATGCCACCAAGGACTATTGGTGACAAATCTCTAGCCCCCTGTGGTCTCTTATGTCATATGTTTGGGGCGTATTTCTTTTCTCATTCCTCAGTTCCTCCTTTGGGAGGCCAAGGTGGGAGGATTGTTTGAGGCCAG
Source organism: Homo sapiens (assembly GCF_000001405.40). Lineage (NCBI taxonomy): Eukaryota > Metazoa > Chordata > Mammalia > Primates > Hominidae > Homo > Homo sapiens. The sequence goes on along the minus strand of NT_187693.1, from coordinate 907,613 downwards.
GAGTTTGAGACCAGCCTGGGCAACATAGCAAGCCAGTGTCTCCACAATCACCACCCCTCATGTTCACATACACAGGCTTGCATGCTGCAGCCACGTTAGAGCCAAGTTTGCTATCATTAACCCTGGGGTTCACTCTGGCATTCTCTTAGTTCTACTGAAGGTTTGATTTGCCACTATTTTTTATTTATTTATTTGGAGGCAGAGTCTCGCTCTGTCACCCGGGCTGCAGTACAGTGGTGCGGTATTGGCTCACTGCAACATCTGCCTCCCAGGTTCAAAGCGATTCTCCTGTCTCAGCCTCCTGAGTAGCTGGTATTACAGTTGTCTGCCACCATGCCCAGCTAATTTTTGTATTTTTAGTAGAGACGGGGTTTCACTATGTTGGCCAGGCTGGTCTCGAATTCCTGACCTCAGGTGATCTGCCCGCCTCGGCCTCCCAAAGTGCTGGAATTATAGGCGTGAGTCACCGTGCACCAGCCTGATTATCTATTTTTTAAATTTATTTTTTAAAGGCATGTTTTACTCTGTTACCAGGCTGGAGTGCAGTAGGGCAATCTCTAGCTCGTTGCAACCTCCGCCTCCTGGGCTCAAGTGATCCTCTTGCCTCCGCCTCCCGAGTAGCTGGGACTATAGGCGTGCACCACCATTCCTGGCTAACTTTTTCTATTTTTGGTAGAGACAGGGTTTCACCGTGTTGCCCAGGCTGGCCTTGAACTGCGGAGCTCAAGCAATCTGCCTGCCTTGGCCTCCCAAAGTGCTGGGACTACAGGTGCGAGACACCGTGCCTGGCCATAATCTTTTTTTTCTTAGACTTATAAGGATCCCCATTGTGTGGGTCTAAATTTCTTTTTAGAAAACTTTTCTGACTGGGTGCTGTGGCTCACATCTGTAATCCCATGGCTTTGGGAGGCCGAGGTGGATGGATCACTTGAGGCCAGAAGTTCGAGACCAGCCTGGCTAACATGTCGAAACCCCATCTCTACTGTAAATACAAAACTTAGCCAAGCGTGGTGGTGCACACCTGTAATCACAGTTACTCAGGAGCCTGAGGCATGAGAATTGCTTGAACTTGGGAGCTGGAGGTTGCAGAGAGCCAAGATGGCACCACTGTACCCCAGCCTGGGCAACAGAGCAAGACCCTGTCCCCCAGAAAATCCCAAAAACGTTTCCTGCTTTGAGTGTTTGAAAACAGATATTCAGGCATCCTGGGTAGTTGAGAATGAATTTCTGGGAACATTTGTGTTCTCTGATCCCTCCAGGTTGAAGACCTATGAAACTAATTTGGAAATCAAGAAGCTGTTGGAGGAAGTGAAAGAAAAGAATCCCAAGCTGACTATTGATTGCAATGCTTCCGGGGCAACGGCACCTCCGTGCTGTGACTTTTTTTGCTGAGCAGCCTGGGATCGCTCTACGAATTACACAGGAAGCGGGATTCGGGTCTCTAAGATGTCTTATGAATGCAGGTCAGAGGGTCACATGTTAACACTAGAGTCTGTCGAGAGGTAGGATTTGACACTGGTTTTCTCACTATTTTTGGGAGATTCTGCACGAGTCACGCACCCCCTTCACATGACGCTATGTACTTTCTCACAGGGATAATAAAGTTAGAGCACTCTCGTTGCAGCTGCGTTTATTGACATGCTCAGGAGCAAACCTGCAATAAACATGGTACTCTGTGCTTTGTCTAGGAGGAAGTATTGCTAAGAAGTTCAGGGATGATTCGGTTGATTCTTCTATTTCTTTTCTTCCCTAACTCAGGCGCCATGTGGTCTACTATCTGCCAGGTGCATCTATGTGATCAGTGTGTCTTTGTGACTTATGTGATCATAACTTATGTGATCAACCCACGCATTGACAAACGGGCCAGATAGTTCATATGCTTGGCACTGTGGGCCCCGCGGTCTCTCATCAGCTCTCAGCTGTGCCTTTGGACATGGAAGCAGCGCAGGGCCTGGCTGGCACCTGCGGAGGCTTCCCAGAAACAGCTCGTGGGCCATGGGCAGCCAGCCCTGTTCTAATCTATCCTGTTACTCACAAAGCACAAGCTTACAGTCACTGTTGCCTTTAATTCAGAAGATGGCCCTGCCTCACGCTGGTTCTGCTCGGCTCCCACGGGCCGCCTCCTACTCTCTGTGTGTGTGTGTATGTGTCTCTCTCTCTCTCTGTCTCTGTGTGTCTCTCTTTGTTTCTCTGTGTCTGTCTTTTTGTCTCTCTGTCTCTGTGTCTGTTTCTGTGTGTGTGTCTCTGTGTCTGTCTGTGTTTCTCTGTGTGTGTCTCTGTCGCTGGGCGTTTCTATCTCTGTCTTTGTATGTGTCTCTCTGTTCTTTCGTTTTTTTTTTTTGTTTTTTTTTTTGAGACGGAGTTTCACTCTTGTCGCCCATGCTGGAGTGCAATGGCGTGATCTCAGCTCACTGCAACCGCGCCTCCCAGGTTCAAGTGATTCTCCTGCCTCAGCCTTCCGAGTAGCCGGAATTACAGCCCTGTGCCACCATGCCTGGCTAATTTTTTGTATTCTTACTAGAGACGGGGTTTCACAATGTTGGCCAGGCTGTTCTCGGACTCCTGACCTCAGGTGATCTACCCGCCTCAGCCTCCCAGAGTGGTGGGATTACAGGCGTGAGCCACCGAGCCCAGCCTGTCTGTCTGTTTCTGTGTGAGTCTGTGTGGCTGTCTCTGGGAGTCTCTGTGTATGTCTCTGTCTCTCTCGCCTCCCCGTTTCTCTCGGCTTCCCATTGCCATGGCAAACACAGCTTTTCCACACCCTGTATTTGGTCATTCATAGAAAATGCATAGAAGTCACTCCGCAATTTTCCTTAAGAATGAAAAGTTGTCACCATGATGTTAGCACTGGCTTCCAGGCGCTGCCAAAAGGGACTGACCCCTCTCCTCACTTGGCTCTCCACGCTTGCGGTAGGTGATGAGACTATTTTAATAAGAGCAGCCAGGCGCTGTGGCTCACACCTGTAATCCCAGCACTTTGGGAGGCCGAGGCGGGCGGATCACCTGAGGTCAGGAGTTCGAGACCAGCCTCAACATGGAGAAACCCCGTCTCTACTAAAAATACAAAATTAGCCGGGTGGGGTGGTGTATGCCTGTAATCCCAGCTACTCGGGAGGCTGAGGCAGGAGAATCGCTTGAACCCGGGAGGCGGAGTTTGCGGTGAGCTGAGATTGTGCCACTGCACTCCAGCCTGGGCAATAAGAGCAAAACTCTTGTCTCGAAAAAAAAAAAATAAGAGCATTGATATGGGGAAAGTTGTCATGGTCCCAGGCACAAAAACACGGGCATATGGCTAATGCTTTAGGTTGAAAGCTTGTATGACAAAGTTTTCTTTTCTTTTTTTTTTTTTTTTTTTTTTTGAGATGGAGTCTTGCCTCTGTCGCCCAGGCTGGAGTGCAGTGGTGCGATCTTGGCTCACTACAACCTCTGCCTCCTGGGTTCAAGTGAGTCTTCTGTCCCAGCCTCCGGAGTAGCTGAGACTAGAGGTGTGCGTCACCATGCCTGGCTAATTTTTGTATTTTTAGTAAAGACGAGGTTTCACCATGTTAGCCAGGCTGGTCTTGAACTCCTGACCTCAGGTGATCTGCCCGCCTTGGCCTCCCAAAGTGCTGGGATGACAGGCGTGAGCCACTGTGCCTGGCCTGACAAAGTTCTTTTTACTAACCCAAACCTGGAGGTTGAGTGGCTTCAGCACTGAATGATCCCATGAAGGCCCTCATTTATCTTGCTGTTGAGCATTGCTGTCTTTCGTGAGCCCTTGTCAAGATAAGTCTTCTCAAATGCTCGAGATCACTGTGGTGTTTAAGGCTACAGTCAGCTGGTAGTAATGCAGGCTGTGGGTGGTAACAGTGTTTAGCGGGATACAGCTCACACCGATGGGAAGGGTGGTAGAGACAGCGTGAATAAAGGAAGTGGTCAGGTGATGAGAGGTAGGGCTGAGTCAACATTTAGGGTTCTACATGCACATGAAGTTCCCGTGTAGAATTTGCTAAAAATAAAGACACAAAGATAGTAGGTAGAGGCTGGGAGTGAAAACATCTGGGTCGGACTCTGCTGCATATTTAATTGAAGTTTTTTTCCCCTAAATATTTTATCTACTTAAAAATTTTGATTTTGTTTAAGATAGTAGTCTTTTTTTTGGTGGGGTGGTGGGGCGGACAGAGTCTCACTTGGTTGCCTAGGCTGGAGTGCAGTGGCGTGATTTCACCATGTTGGCCAGGCTAGTCTCAAACTCCTGACCTCAGGTGAGCCACCCGCCTCGGCCTCCCAAAGTGCTGGCATGACAGGCGTGAGCCACCGTGCCCAGCCAAGATGGTGGTGGTGCTGTGTTGCCCACAGCCGGGTTGGAGTGCAATGGTGCGATCTTAGCTCACTGCAGCCTTAAACTCAAGGAATCCTCCCACCTGAGCCTCCTGAGCTGGGATTACAGGTGCATGCCAAACATGCTTGGCTAATTTTAAAATATTTTATAGAGATGGAGTCTTGCTGTATTGACCAGGCTTGTCTTGAACTGCTGGCCTCCAGTTATCCCCTTGCCTTCGCTTCCCAAAGTGCTGGGATTACACGCGTGAGCTGCCACACTGGGCTCTTACCCACTTACCAGTAATAAACACAGAACTCCTAAAGTGCTGTGATTACGGCGCCTGACCAGCCTTAATTACCTCTGAAAAGCCCTGTGTCCAAATAGAGTCACATCTGGGGTAGGGCTTGTACATGACGTTTGGTGGGACCAATTCAGTCCGTAGCAAGGACTGTCCTGTGTATCACGTGATGTATAGCAGCACCCCTGGACTTGGATGAGCCTGAGCCTGCCCCCACTGCAACTCGTGACAACCAAAAAACCTCTCGGGATGTGGCCAGATACCCCCATGGGGACAAAATCACCCCCAGTTAAGAATGGCTGGCTCAGCCATTCACAATTGCAAAGATGTGGAACCAACCGAAGTGCCCATTGAATAATGAGTGGATTGTGGGCGGCAAGGCACCCAGGCACCGAGGCAAGAGACAGAGGACACGAGCTGTTCCAGTATAATAAAATATAAAACAAGAATTGTTATACCAGATATAGATCTTAGATATGATTATATATGAGTATCATTAATCATTAGCCGGTAGCAATTACTTTTTATTCCAATATTATAATAATCCTCACTCTATAATCATAGCCTAGGAAAAACCAGGCCATACAGAGATAGGAGCTGAGGGGACATAGTGAGGTGTGACCAGAAGACAAGAGTGCGAGCCTTCTGTTATGCCCGGACAGGGCCACCAGAGGGCTCCTTGGTCTAGCGGTGACGCCAGCGTCTGGGAAGACACCCGTCACCAAGCGGATCATGGTCCAGCGGTAGCAAAAGGTGTCAATTAACAACACCCGCTACTTAGCAGACCGGGAAAGGGGCAGCGGGTGGGGGGGGGGGTCTCCCTTTCCCCGGGGGAGTTTAGAGAAGACTCTGCTCCTCCACCTCTTGTGGAGGGCCTGACATCAGTCAGGCTCGCCCGCAGTTATCCGGAGGCCTAACCGTCTCCCTGTGATGCTGTGCTTCGGTGGTCACGCTCCTAGTCCGCCTTCATGTTCCATCCTGTACACCTGGCTCTGCCTTCTAGATAGCAGTAGTAAATTAGGGAAAGTACTAATAGTCCCTGATATGCAGAAATAATGGCGTAAGCTGTCTTTCTCTCTGTCTCCTCTCCCTCTCTGCCTCGGCTGCCAGGCAGGGAAGGGCCCCCTGTCCAGTGGACACGTGACCCACGTGACCTTACCTATCATTGGAGGTGACTCACACTCTTTACCCTGCCCCTTCTGCCTTGTATCCAATAAATAACAGCGCAGCCAGACATTCGGGGCCACTACCGGTCTCCGCGCATTGGTGGTAGTGGTCCCCCGGGCCCAGCTGCCTTTTCTCTTGTCTCTTTGTCTTGTGTCTTTATTTCTACACTCTCTCGTCGCCGCACACAGGGAGAGACCCACCGACCCTGTGGGGCTGGTCCCTACAGTGGATAAAGAAAACGTGGTGTCTATGTACCATGGAATACTATTCAGCCATTAGAAGGAATGAAATAATGTCATTTCCAGCAATTTGGATGGAGCTGGAGGCCATTATTCTAACAGGAGTAGAATCCATATGTTCTCACTTTTTTTTTTTTTTTTTAAGACAGTTTTGCTCTTGTTGCCCAGGCTAGAGTGCAATGGTGTGATCTTGGCTCACCGCAACCTCCGCCTCCTGGGTTCAAGCGATTCTCCAACCTCAGCCTCCCTAGTAGCTGGGATTATAGGCACGTGCCACCACACCCAGCTATGTATTTTTCTATTTTTAGTAGAGATGGGGTTTCACCATGTTGGCCAGACTGGTCTTGAACTCCTGGCCTCAGGCGATACACCTGCCTCAGCACCCCCAAAGTGATGGGATTACAGGCGTGAGCCACCGCCACCGTGCCTGGCTCTGTATGTTCTCAGTGGGAGCTAAGCTGTTGGTACACAAAGGCAGAGTGATGTAATGGGCTTCAGAGTCTCAGAAGGGGGAGGGCAGAAGGGAGGCCACAGATAAAAAACTACACATTAGGCCAGTGTGGTCGCTCACGCCTGTAATCTCATCACTTTGGGAGACCCAGGCGGGCCGATCACTTGAGGCCAGGAGTTCGAGACCATCCTGACCAAGATGGTGAAACCCTGTCTTTACTTACTAAAAGTACAAAAAATTAGCCAGGCATGGTAGTGGGTGTCTGTAATGCCAGCACTTTGGGAGGCCAAGGTGGGAGAATCGCTTGAACCCGGGAGGCGGAGGTTGTTGCAGTGAGCTGAGGCCACGACACTGCACTCCAGCCTGGGTAACAGAGCGAGACTTGGTCTCTAAATAAATAAAATAAAGGGCTCAGACTCTATCTCAAAAAATAAATGAATAAGGCCGGGTGCGGTGGCTTACACCTGTAATCCCAGCACTTTGAGAGGCCGAGGCGGGAGGATCACGAGGTCAGATCGAGACCATCCTGGCTAACATGGTGAAACCCCGTCTCTACTAAAAATACAAAAAATTAGCCGGGCTAGGTGGCGGGCGCCTGTAGTCCCAGGAGAATGGTGTGATCCCGGGAGGCGGAGCTTGCAGTGAGCAGAGATCGCGCCACTGCAGTCCAGCCTGGGCGACAGAGCAAGACTCTGTCTCAAGAAAAATAAATGAATAAAAACAATAAGAAAGAAAAATAGCCACGTCTTACGTAGGCTGAGACTGGAGAGTTTCCGTGGACTCGTAACCCTGCCTTTGTCCCTGCACTGAAGGGTGTAAGGTGGTTGCTTTCTGCATGAGCCAGTGTTTCTCAGCCTTGGTGCTGCTGCCATCTGGGGCTGCCCTGGGCATTGTAGGAAGCTGAGCAGCACCCCTGGACCCTACCTACCAGATGCCAGTAGAACCCCTCCCCAAGTCATGACAATTAAAAATTACCATGGGCATTGCCAAATGTCCCCTGGAGTGGAGAGCAAAATCACCCAGCAGAGAACTGCTAGGCTAGAGAGGTGCAGGATCCTAGGCTGGGTGCGGGGGCCTGTAATCCTCGCACTTTGGGAGGCCAAGGTGGGCGGATCACATGAGGTCGGGAGTTCAAGACCAACCTGGCTAACATGGTAAAACCCCCATCTCCACTAAAAATACAAAAATTAGCCAGGCGTGGCGGCACATGCCTGTAGTCCCAGCTCCTTGGGGGGCTGAGGCAGGAGAATCGCTAGACCCCAGCAGGCAGAGGTTGCAGTGAGCCAAGATGGCACCACTGCATTCCATCCTGGGCGACAGAGCAAGACTGTAGTTTTTTTGTTTTTGTTTTTGTTTTTTTTTGAGGAGTCACAGTCTGTCACTCAGGCTGGAGTGCAGTGGCGCAATCTCGACTCACTGCAACCTCTGCCTCCCGGGTTTGAACGATTCTCCTGCCTCAGCCTCCCGAGTAGCTGGGATTGGCTCTGGTGGTGGAGGTGCCTGCAAACCTGTTGGTACTGTAACCGTCAGAAAACGAGTAGCAAGAAGTGTCCGAGAAAGCCAGAGAAGTGAGTCCTTCGAGGAGGAAGTGGTCAACGTGTCAAATACAACTGTGGGGGAGCAATAATGAGAAGGGCTGAAAAGGGTCACTGCATGTTCCAGGAAGGAAGCTCATTAGTGTTGGTCACACAGACAGCTTCAGAGGAAGTGTGGGGAGAGAAGCCAGTTTCTAGCGGGTGGGGAGCACAGGTGAGAAGTCAGAACAAAGGCCACCAGTGTGGGTTATGTCTTAGGGAGCGTGGGTCTTCTGGCTGGGCGCGGTGGCTCAGTAATCCCAGCGACTCTGGAGGCTGAGGCAGGAGAATCGCTTGAACCCGGAAAGCGGAGGTTGCAGTGATCCGAGATTGCAGCACTGCACTCCAGCCTGGGTGTGCAGAGCGAGACTCAAAAAAAAAAAAAAAAAAAAAAAAATAGAACAGTTGATCTCCTAGAAGTGAGAGTAGGTGGAGGTTATCAGGGGCTGGGGGTGGTAGGAGAGGAAGATGTTGGTCAAAAAGCACAAGTAGCTGGGTGTGGTGGCTCACGTCTGTAATCCCAGCACTTTGGGAGGCCAAGGCGGGTGGATCACCTGAGACCAGGAGTTTGAGACCAACATGGAGAAACCCCGTCTCTACTAAAAATACAAAAATTAGCCGGGCGTGGTGGCACGCACTTGTAGTCCCAGCTACTCGGGAGGCTGAGGCAGGAGAATCGCTTGAACCCGGGAGGCGGAGGTTGCAGAGTCAAGATCGCGCCACTGCACTCCAGCCTGGGTGACAGAGCAGGACTTCGTCTCAAAAAAAAAAAAAAAAAAAAAGCACAATATTCAGTTATAAGATGAGTTAGTTCTGGGGGTCTGATATATGGGATGGCGATTATGGTTAACACAAGCAGCTTTTAAATGTCTTTACCCCTGCTCCCCGTTACCAGCCAAAGCTGTGAAGTTCCAGGCCCTTGGTGTTTCGAACAAAGAATTGGGTGTGATACACACACATAGCAAAGCGGCATAAGTTTATTAAGCATAGGATTACACTCTTGGAGAGGGGAGAGCAGGCGGACCTCTGCGAAATGAGATCGGCATCAGCTCGCTGTACTTTGGGTCTTTTTTTTTTTTTTTCTTATTAGGAATATACAACCATTTATTCACTGTTCACTAGTATTTACAATAAAGTGAACAAAATACAGTTCAATAACATTCAGATTACCACAAAGTTGTGTTTCCTGGCTTTTACTGAACCAGTAAAGCAGATACTGAAAAGACTGAGCCTATGTGGTTTTTTTTTTTTTTTTTTTGAGATGGAGTCTCGCTCTGTCGCCCAGGCTGGAGTGCAGTGGCACGATTTTGGCTCACCGCAACCTCCGCCTCCCAGGTTCAAGCGATTCTCCTGCCTCAGCCTTCTGAGTAGCTAGGATTACAGGTGCCTACATGTAAGGAATGAGTTGGGGTAAAGAAAAAATACGCGAGTCAGCAGTTTATTTATTTTGAGAGGGAGTCTCGCTCTGTTACCAGGCTGGAGTGCAGTGGTGCAATCTCGGCTTACCACAACCTCTGCCTCCCGGGTTCAAGTGATTCTGCTGCCTCAGCCTCCCGAGTAGCTGAGATTACGGGTGCAAGCCACTGCGCCTGGCTAATATTTTGTATTTTTTAGTAGAGATGGGGTTTTACCGTGTTGGCCAGGCTGCTATTTAATGGAAAAATCAGATTTAGAGAATAAATTTGACCGGCATGAGGCACCAGAATAATGGGAGGGCGTGAGGACCCATGCGATGAGTATATAAATGGGTTGATAAGTAGAAGTTCTCAGGGAGGAAAGCGATGGTGGTGTCCAGACAGCATTTCAAGACCCCTAGTGAGAAGTCTCAAGTTGCAGGCTGTGCCACAGCCCCGTATATACATTCACTCATTTGATATATATTTCCCGAGAACCCCGTTATAGTTGCGGGAGCTGTGAATGCAGCCACTAAATCTGACATAGATCAATTCACACGAGTTCACGGTAGAGGCAGGAAAATGGACATGCATGCCGAATCAGGGTTCAAGTGCTGTTACAGGGAATTAACAGGTGCTTTGGGATGAGGAAAGTGTTGTCTTGGCTGGGCGCAGTGGCTCACGCCTGTAATCCTAGCACTTTGAGAGGCCAAGGCGGGGGGATCACCTGAACTCAGGAGTTTGAGACCACCCAGGGCAACATGATGAAACCCTACCTCTACTAAAGATGCAAAAAAAATTAACCGGGTGTGGTGGCGCGCGCCTCTAGTCCCAGCTACTTGGGAGGCTGAGGAAGGAGAATCGCTTGAGCCCCAGAGGCGAAGGTTGCAGTGAGCTGAGATTGTGCCACTGCACGCCAGCTTGGGCTACAGAGTGAGACTGTCTCAAAAAAAAAAAAAAAAGTGCTATCTTTGTGAAGTCGGAGTTGTGGAAACTCTTGGAGGAAATGATATCTCTGCAGAGCCCTGAAGAACAAGGCAAGGTGTGGATAAAGAAGCAAAGATGGTGGCCGGGTACGGTGACTCACACCTGTAATTCCAGCACTTTGGGAGGCCGAGGCTGGTGGATCACCTGAGGTCAGGAGTTCAAGACCAGTCTGGCCAACATTGTGAAACCCCATTTCTACTAAAAATACAAAAATTAGCCGGGCGTGGTGGTGCATGCCTATAATCCCAGCTATTCAGGAGGCTGAGGCAGGAGAATCATTTGAACCCTGGAGGTGGAGGTGGCAGTGAGCCAAGATTGCACCACTGCATTCCAGCCTGGGTGACAAAAGTGAAACTCGGGGGAAGGGATAGCATTAGGAGATATACCTAATGTTAAATGACGAGTTAGTGGGTGCAGCACACCAACATGGCACATGTATACATATGTAACTAACCTGCACGTTGTGCACATGTACCCTAAAACTTACATTAAAAAAAAAAAAAGTGAAATTCTGTCCCAACAAAACAAACAAAAAAAAAGAAAAAAAAAAAAAAGGAAGAGAAGATGGAATAATTCTGTGGTTAGAAGGAATTGGGGTATGGTTGGGATGCAGCCAGGAGTCACTTATTTTTTTTTTTTCTTTTTTTTTTTGAGACAGAATCTTGCTCTGTCACGTAGGCTGGAGTGCAGTGGTGCGATCTTGGCTCCCTGCAGCCTCCGCCTCCCGGGTTCAAGCTATTCTCCTGCCTCAGCCTCCTGAGTAGCTGGGATTACAAGCACACGCCACCATACCTGGCTAATTTTTATATTTTTAGTAGAGATGTGGTTTCACCATGTTGGCCAGGCTGCTCTCGAACTCCTGACCTCAGGTGATCCTCCCACCTTGGCCTCCCAAAGTGCTGGGATTACAGGCATGAGCCACCGTGCCTGGCCGAGTTTTTGTATTTTTAGTAGAGATGGGGTTTCATCATGTTGGCCAGGCTGGTCTCGAACTCCTGACCTCAGGTGATCTGCCCGCCTCAGCCTCCCAAAGTGTTGGGATTACAGGTGTGAGCCACCGTGCCTGGCAGGATTCACTTATAAAGCTGCTTCTCTACAACTGGTTGTTGCCACAATGCCTCCTGAACCATTTGATACAGACCTATTCTATATTGGTTATTAACTATTTTGAATGGCTTCCTGCAGAGAAAGGAAAGAAAAAAAGACCAAAGTAGGAAAAAAATATTTCCATGGCCATCCTGTTAAAGAAGGAGAGATCTTTTCAGAAAAGACCAGAGTGGTTAAAAGTATGGTTTGCAGTAAGTGGTACAAAAATAGTTAGAGCCTAGAAGAGACCATAGGATTTGTCTACAGAAGAAATTCAGTGGCTGGGCGCAGCGGCTTATGCCTGTAATCCCAGCCCTTTGGGAGGCCAAGGCGGGGAGATCACTTGAGGTCAGGAGTTCGAGACCAGCCAACAGGGAGAAACCCCGTCTCCACTAAAAATACAAAATTAGCTGGGGTGGTGGCACATGCCTGTAATCCCAGCTACTCAGGAGGCTGAGGCAGGAGAATCACTTGAACCCGAGGGATGGAGAGCTAGAGGTTGCAGTGAGCCAAGATCGCGCCATTGCACTCCAGCCTGGGCAACAAGAGAAAACTCTGTCTCAAAAAAAAAAAAAAAGAAATTTAGCATGTAGTTCTCCCACCCTCTGCATCGTCCGGGATGCTCTGACAAATGGAATGCCAGTGTCCCTCTTTCCCTGCAGTGACTCCCTCCTCCGTGGGTCCAACACAGAGCTCACGCCGCCCAGGCTCAACACCAGCTTTCAGATCCACCCATGGCCACTGTGTCTCATGGTCATTCTTCAAAGAGTCTGTGTGTTCAGCCTTCTCCTGCCTTCCCAAGTGGAAGCTCTGCTGGCTCGCTCTCTAGTCCTCTTCCTGCTGAGCCAGTCTTCAACCAGGAACCACACTAGAGCCACCAGGACTAGAAAGGCCAGGCCCATCCGAAGGAGATTCTGGGCAGTGTGATCCCAGAGGGCATGGTCTGTAGGCAGGAGAACAGGGTGATCGCTGACAGGGATGTAAGGACACCCTCTTTTTTTTTTTTTTTTTTTTTTTTTTTTTTTTTTTTTTTGAGACAGAGCCTCAGTCTTGTCGCCCAGGCTGGAGTGCAATGGCACGATCTCGGCTCACTGCAACCTCCACTTCCTGGGTTCAAGCTATTCTCCTGTCTCAGCCTCCCAAGTAGCTGGGACTACAGGCACACGCCACCACGCCTGGCTAATTTTTTTGTATTTTTAGTAGAGATGGGATTTCGCCATGTTGGCCAGACTGGTCTTGAACTCCCGACCTCAGATGATCTGCCCGCCTCGGCCTCCCAAAGGGCTGAGATTACAGGTGTGAGCTACTGCGCCTGGCCAAGGACACCCTCTTGTTCCCATTTAGATTCCCTTCCTAGGTCTACTCTATGCCCAGCCCCTTCCTTCAGAGCCTATGGCCCCAGCTGTCTACTTACCTTTCTGGAGTCCCGTCTCTGTGGTTAAAAGGTAGGTGCCCCAAGTGTCTGCTGATGATAAGGGAAGTGAAGAAAAGAGGATGGTTTTGACCTCCTCCACCCCAGCACTCCTTCCCTTGGGTCTACCCCATGACGTTCTGCAGCTTTACAAGGTCCCACCTCACCCTGCGGGTCCCAGGAGCTTCATCCAGCAGGTAAAGTGGAAGGGTCCACAGATGGACGAACCTGACGAGGAATTCCATTCTAGCACTTGTGAGCATGTGTCTTTGCACCAGTCATGTCTTCTATTTTTTTTTTTTTTGAGATAGAGTCTCACTGTGTTCCAGCCTCTGGAGTAGCTGGGACTACAGGCACACACCACATACCCAGGTAATTTTTTTCATATTTTTAGTAGAAACGGGGTTTTGCCATGTTGGCCAGGCTGGTCTTGAACTCCCAACCTCAGATGACCTGCCTGCTTCGGCCTCCCAAAGGGCTGGGATGACAGGCCTCTGAGGCTGGAGTACAGTGGTGTGATCTCAGCTCACTGCAACCTCCGCCTCCCGAGTTCAAGCAATCCTCTTGCTTCAGCCCCGAGTAGCTGTAATTACTGGCGTGCGCCACCACACCCAACTCATGTTTGTATTTTTAGTAGAGATGGGGTTTCACTGTGTTGGCCAGGCTGGTCTTGAACTCCTGACCTCAAGTGATCCAGCCGCCCCTGCCTTCCAAAGTGCTGGGATTACATGCGGGAGCCACCCGGCCCAGCCCGTCTTCTATTTAAGCCTCATTTTCCTCATTAAGTCATCATTACCTCTTTCTCCTCACACATACACACATAGTGAAATTCAAAGTCTCACTATTTTTTTTTCTTTTTCTTTTTCTTTTTTTTTTTTTTTGAGACGGAGTCTCACTCTGTCGCTCAGGCTGGAGTGCAGTGGCGCGATCTCAGCTCACTGCAAGCTCCGTCTCCCGGGTTCACGCCATTCTCCTGCCTCAGCCTCTTGTGTAGCTGGGACTACAGGCGCCCGCCACCACGCCCGGATAATTTTTGTATTTTTTTTTAGTAGAGACAGGGTTTCACCGTGTTAGCCAGGATGGTCTTGATCTCCTGACCTCATGACCCACCTGCCTCGGTTTCCCAAAGTGCTGGGATTACAGGCGTGAGCCACCGCGCCGGGCCTCACTCCTGTAATCCTAGCCGTGCGCCCCAGGCCCATCCCACCGTCATCTTCCAAACATCATTTTCAACCCTCCTGGCCTCATAGTTATTATTGTATTACCCCAGTTATCTTCCTGCCCCAGGGCACAGGCAGATGCCATTTCATTCTCTCCAGAGCCTCCTTTCTCCTGACAGCCACATGATTAACTCAAGTCTGAACGCATTTGCTCAGATGCCTTCTTTCTCTGTGAGGTCCATCTGGACAAACCTATTTAATATTGCTAGCTGCCATTTCAATCACTGTAAGTCTGTTCTACTTTGTCTTTTCCTTCCATAGCATCATTCCCTCCTGTGTGCTATCCTGACGTTGACCGATGGTGTGTCTCCTCCTGCTAGAATCTAAGTGCTGCAGAGTCAAGATATCTGCCTGGCTGACTGTTACAGTGTAGTTCACTGTGTATACTATGCACTTGATGAATATATATATATAATAGTTTTGTTTTTGTTTTTCTGTGAGATGGAGTCTCGCTGTGTCGTGCAGTGGAGTGGAATGCAGTGGCGCGATCTCAGCTCACTGCAACCTCTGCATCCCAGGTTCAACAATTCTCCTGCCTCAGCCTCCTGAGTAGCTGGGATTACAGGCGAGCACCACCAGGCCCGGCTAATTTTTGTATTTTTAGTAGAGATGGGGTTTCACCATGTTGGTCAGGCTGGTCTCGAATTCCTGACCTTGTGATCCAACCACCTTGGCCTCCCGAAGTGTTGGGATTACAGGTGTGAGCCATGATGCCCAGCCTAAGTTTTGTATTTTTAGTAGAGACAGGGTTTCGCCATGTTGGCCAGGCTGGTCTCAAACTCCTGACCTCAAATGATGCACCATCTCGGCCTCCCAAAGTGCTGGGATTACAGGCGTGAGCCACCACGCCTGGCCTCGATGAATATTTTGAATGAATGCCACGTTTTTAGTGTCACTGGGAGGCTCTGATCGCTCGTCTGAGCTTAGAAGGACCAGTTACTCACCAGGAAAGGTGGGGTCTTCAGGTGCAAGGCTGGTGTTCTCAATGTCGCCTGGAAAAGGAGATAAAGAAAAAAAAGTAAGGGTTTTTGGTTTCCTCCGGTCTTGCCATTCTTTTTTTTTTTTTTTTTTTTTTTGAGATGGAGTCTTGCTCTGTCGCCCAGGTTGCAGTGCGGTGGTATGATCTCGGTTCACTACAACCCCCGCCTCCCGGGTTCAAGCGATTCTCCTGCCTCAGCCTCCTGAGTAGCTGGGACTACAGGTGTCCGCCACTGCGTCTGGCTAATTTCTGTATTTTTAGTAGAGACGGGGTTTCACCGTCTTGGCCAGGCTGGTCTCGAACTCCTGACCTTGTGATCCACCCGCCTTACCATTCCTTTCTCTGCTCCCTCCTCCTTCCTGCTTCTGGTGTTCTTCCTCACATGACCAACCAGGCACCCAGGAAGTGGACGTCCCTTGGACACCCTCCCCATCACTCTCTGGGGATCCCTCAGGGCTCCAGGTAGGACATGGCGGCGAAGGGTGTGGGGAATTGAGCATTTCCTCACCTGTGACCAGGAGCTTCACTGGCTCACTGGGGAAAGACCAGGCATGGTTGTTATAGGAGCCAAAACATCGGTATGTCCCTCGGTGGGCTGTGGTCACAGGGCCCAGGGGGAACTCCGCCTGGACCTTCCCGTATCCGCGCTGTACGTGGCTGGATCTTCCCTCCTTGAGCAGTAAGAACATGCTTGTTGCAGTGTCTAGACGGCAGTAGAAGGTCACCTTCTCTCCCGAGATCACTTCGGGTCCAGGATGAACCGAGAGGGTGGGTGTGTCATACATTTCTATGAGAGAAGGTGGGGCCACCACACCAGAAACTCAGTGATGAGCAGCCAGCTATTTTTTTTTTTCTTTCTTTAGAGATGGAGTCTCTCTCTGTCGCCCAGGCTGGAGTGCAGTGACACGATCTTGGCTCACTGCAACCTCTGCCTCCCGGGTTCAAGCGTTTCTCCTGCCTCACCCTCCCAAGTAGCTGGGACTACAGGGGCCTGCCACCATGCCTGGCAGCCAGCTTTTTTTTTTTTTTTAATTATTATTTTGGTCAAATACACACAATAGAAGATTTACCGTCTAAAACCATTTTTAAAAATGATACAGGGTCTTGCTCTGTTTCCCAGGCTGGAGCGCCGTGGCACTATCTTTGCTTACTGAAGACTCGACCTCCTGGGTCAGGAGTTTGAGACCAGCCTGGTCAACATGGTGAAACCCCGTCTCTACTAAAAATGCAAAAATTAGCCGGGTGTGGTGGCACATGCCTGTAATCTCAACTACTTGGGAGGCTGAGGCAGGAGAATTGAGGCTGAGGCAGAGGTTGCAGTGAGCTGAGATTGTACCACTGCACTGCAGCGAGACTGTCTCAAAAAAAAAAAAAAAAAGCCCCGGCCAGCCGCCCCGTCCGGGAGGTTGGGGGGCAGCCCCCGCCCGGCCACTGCCCCGTCTGGGAGGTGGGGGGGCGCCTCTGCCCGGCCGCCCCGTCTGGGAAGTGAGGAGCCCCTCTGCCCGGCCGCCACCCCGTCTGGGAGGTGTACCCAACAGCTCATTGAGAATGGGCCATGATGACGATGGCGGTTTTGTCGAATAGAAAAAGGGGAAATGTGGGGAAAAGAAAGAGAGATCAGATTGTTACTGTGTCTGTGTAGAAAGAAGTAGACATAGGAGACTCCATTTTGTTCTGTACTAAGACAAATTCTTCTGCCTTGGGATGCTGTTAATCTATGACCTTACCCCCAACCCCGTGCTCTCTGAAACATGTGCTATGTCCACTCAGGGTTAAATGGATTAAGGGCGGTGCAAGATGTGCTTTGTTAAACAGATGCTTGAAGGCAGCATGCTCCTTAAGAGTCATCACCACTCCCTAATCTCAAGTACCCAGGGACACAAACACTGCGGAAGGCCGCAGGGACCTCTGCCTAGGAAAGCCAGAGACCTTTGTTCACATGTTTATCTGCTGACCTTCTCTCCACTATTGTCCTATGACCCTGCCAAATCCCCCTCTCCGAGAAACACCCAAGAATGATCAATAAATACTAAAAAAATTAAAAAAAAAAGAATAAATGAGTAGCTGTGTTCCCCTGCCAGAACCTCCAAACAAGGTCCAAAGACCCTGAGCAAATGAAAAGGCACAGACAAAAAATATATATATTTCAACACAAGTATATGACACAGAATATAGAAATAACTTTTCCTAATCAATCAAAATATAAGCAACCCAATTTAAAAATAGGCAAAAGATTTAAATAGACATTTCACAAAAGAAGATATTTGAATGGACATGAAATACTGTTGTGAGCTGCATAATGACATTTTGGCCAACAATGTACCACATATATGATGGTGGTCCCATAAGATTATAATGAAACTGAAAAATTCCTATTGCCTGATGACATCATAGCCTTCCTAGCACAAAGTATTGCTCATGTGTTTTTGGTGTTGCTGGTATAAACAAACCTAATTGTATAGCACATACAATTATGTATGTATATGTAACTATGTATAATACTTGATAATAATAATAAACAACCATATTGTTAAAAAAAAAAAAAGCTAATTTTTTTTTTTTTTTTTAGAAAACCACCACCTGGCTGGGTGTGATGGCTCACACCTGTAATCCCAGCACTTTGGGAGGGTGAGGCGGGCGGATCATCTGAGGTCAGGAGTTCGACACCACCCTGGCCAACATGGTGAAACCCCATCTCTACTAAAAATACAAAATGTGGCGTAGTGGTGGGTGCCTGTGATCCCAGCTACTTGGGAAGCTGAGGCTGGAGAATCACTTGAACCCAGGAGGTGGAGGTTGCAGTGACTGGAGATTGCACCACTGCACTCCAGCCTGGGTGACAAGAGCGAAACTCCGTCTCAAAACAGATAAAAAAAAAAAAAACCCACCACCTGTGATGGGTGAGGGAAGCAAAGTGTAAGCCACTGCGCCTAGCCCACAGGCATTGTTTTTGAGGACATTCCTCAGTCATACCCCTGCATACAAATATCTATCTCAGAATCTGTGTCATGGAGAAACTGACTGAGGACACATCTGCTCCTAGGACGTAGAGACACGGTCTGCAGACAACCCCTTGTAGGCAAGGATTGTGATGGGGATCACCCCTCCTTCCAGCCTCCTACCGAGACAAGCAGTGTCTGAGTGGGGCTTGGAAGAGTTCATAGATGATGCTGCATCCCGGATGCAGACTGAGATCACTCTCCAGTTAGAGAACCGGACAGTTACCTGTTACCACCAGATCCAGCAAGTTGCTGGGCTCTGACCAGAGCTCCCCAACCCGATAGATGCAGCTGTATTGCCCTGCCATGCGGGAGTTCATGTCCGGGATGTAGAATTTGACTTTGTTAATCCGCTCAGGGGGTTTTGGTCTGTCCACGGCAAAAAGGCTTCCTTCAAAGTGCAGCTGGTATTCAACAGCCCCATAATTTCCCTGGCAACAGATGGTCACTTGCTTTTCCTTTGGAACCATGAAATGGGGCTCGGCCCAGATGAACGGTTTTGGGAGAGTCTCTGGAAGGGAATCAGAGGCTGGAGTTCCAGCGGAGCCCCCTCCCCCCAACCTTAGGCTCCACCCAGCTGCTGGCCCCAAGCTCTCCTGGGAAGCCAGCACCCTGTCCCCTCTCCCCAGCCGTGCTTGGGTGGAAGGAGCTTGGCCTGAACCCGGAAGAGTGACCCTGGGCTTTGAAGGAAGGACTCACGCTGCTGGGCGCTGATCCTCTGACTCAGACACAGCCCTGGAAGACGGGAGTAATGAGACCTGTTGCCTCCCAGGCACACCGTGATCCCATTCCCCTTCCACGCCAGAACTCACCGACGCAGAGCAGGGCAGGGAGTGTGGAAGACATCGCTCAGATTCTGCCGGCCTAGTGCTGAGCAGTGGGGACTGAGCCGGGCGGGCCAGGGAGATAGATACACAGGAAGTGGTGGGTGAGCACCAGCGCCCATCACCAGAGCGCTTTCACGTTGACTGCTTTCATCAGAACGTTCACAACTCCCCTCCGCCTCTGACCATGAGCTTACAGAAAGGCCGTGGTCCCTCTGACACATCTGTGGTCTAGCCAGCAACTCTGACAATTGTCTGCTCAGCCCAAAATGCATTTCTGGGTCAACTTCTCAATTCTGCAATGTGGAGGTCGTACCCAGAGCTGACTGTGGGAAGTTGTGCCCAATCATGCCCAGAGGAAACCCCCTGAGAATCGTATAAAAACATAGGGAGTTTCACAGTGAGATACTGGAACAGGAATTAAAAGAAATTACAGAATGTGTAAACAAAAACTCAGTTGTATTTAAGAAAACCCAGTTCCCCCCGAGGAAGAGAAAGAGGTGGAGTCCTTTAAACATGAACTGCCTGTTTTTCTGTCTGTGGCTAGTGAGCCTTATCTCTCCCTTTCCCAGGCATTGTGAAGACCCTGTTTCTCTTGCCGTGCGGCTGCAAGATCACTAGACAGGATAACCTCAAGTCGTAAAACATATTTTTCTTGAAAAGTAAGGAATAATGTGATGCATGTCTCAATTGAATAACTGCCTTTGTTTCTTGCTTCTGTAATATGCTTCCCCCTGCACAGATCTCCCCCAACCCCACAAAATGCTTAAAAGGTAACCGGACTCTCTGTTCGAGCCTCAGTCTTTTTGGATGTTAATCTGACTGGGGCCGGTGCACCTAAATAATAATAATAATAATAAATCCTCCTCAACCCCTCGGTCTCTCTGATTCCTAAATTATCCCTCAACAATACCATCTCACACCAGTCAGAATGGCCATTACTGAAAAGCCAGAAATTAACAGATGCTGGTGAGATTGTGGAGCAAAGGGGACACTTATACACTGTTGGTGGGTGTAAATTAGTTCAGCCACTGTGGAAAGCAGTTTGGTTTGGAGATATTTCAGAGAACTACAAACAGAGTTACCATTCAGCCCAGCAATCCCATCGCTGGGTATATAGCCAAAGGAAAATAAATCATTCTACCAAAAAGACACATGCACTTGTATGTTCATTGCAGCAGGATTCACAATAGTGAAGACATGGAATCCACCCAGGTCCCATCAGAGGTGGACTGGATAAAGACAATGTGATATGTATACACCACAGAACGCTATACAGCCTTGAAAAATCACAAGATTATGTCCTTTGCAGCAACATGGATGCAGCTAGAGGCCATTATCCTAAGCGAGTTAACACAGAAACAGAAAACCAAATACTGGCCAGACACGGTGGCTCACGCCTGTCATCCCAGCACTTTGGGAGGCTGAGGCAGGTGGATCACCTTAGGTCGGGAGTTCGAGACCAGCCTGACCAACATGCAGAAACCCTGTCTCTACTAAAAATTCAAAATTAGCCGGGTGTGGTGGCACATGCCTGTAGTCCCAACTACTCGGGAGGCTGAGGCAGGAGAATTGCTTGAACCTGGAAGGTGAAGGTTGCAGTGAGCCGAGATGGTGCCATTGTACTCCAGCCTGGGCAACAAGAGTGAAACTCCATCTCAAAAAAAAAAAAAAAAAAGAAAAGAAAACCAAATACCACATGTTCTCACTTATAAGTGAGAGCGCTAAACATTGGGTAAGGAGGGGAGCAAGGCTTGAAAATCTACCTATTTGGTGACTAGATCATTAATGCAAGCCTCAGCATCATGCAATATACTCATAAAAAACCTGCACATGTATCTGCTGAATCTAAAAAGATAAAAATAGGGGTTTTGACGTTGGCTTCTCTGTGTACAGTATACATATGCTTGGATAAGTTAATTGGTTTCATCAGAATGGAATGATAACACTAACTTCTTCAAAGATAGTGTTATAATGTTTCAATAAAATAAAAGTGAAAAGAAAAGCTTTTCATTTAAAGAACTTAATAAGAAAAGAAACATTTCTTTTCTTTTTCTTTTTCTTTCTTTTTTTTTTTTTTTTGAGACAGAGTCTTGCTCTGTTGCCCAGGCTGTGGTGCAGTGGTGTGATCTCAGCTCACTGCAACCTCTGCCTTGTGGGTTCAAGCAATTCTCCTGCCTCAGCCACCTGAGTAGCTGGGACTACAGACACCCAACACCACGCCCAGCTCATTTTTGTACTTTTAGTAGAGACCGGTTTTTACCACGTTGGCCAGGATGGTCTCCAACTCCTCACCTCAAGTGAATCTTCCTGCCTCGGCCTCTCAAAGTGCTGGGATTACAGGTGTGAGCCACCACACCCAGCCAAGAAACATTTCTTTTAAGTAAGTAACTAACTCTCCACTTAATAAAAAAAAATTCTATGCAGAAGTTGTTAAGATCTACAGTAAGAAAAAAGAAATTCATGCATTTTATATATACACACATATATACATATA
Source organism: Homo sapiens (assembly GCF_000001405.40). Taxonomy (NCBI): domain Eukaryota; kingdom Metazoa; phylum Chordata; class Mammalia; order Primates; family Hominidae; genus Homo; species Homo sapiens. The sequence goes on along the minus strand of NT_187693.1, from coordinate 886,184 downwards.
TACCTTTTATATATATACACATATATACATTTATACATATATGTATACATATATACATATATGTGTATATATACTGCATAGTACCGTACATGTATATATACACATGCATATATACACATACATGTATATGCGTATATATACACATATATGTATATATACACACATGCATACATGCATATATATGTATACACACATGTATGCGTGTATACATACATATATGTATATACATACATGTATGCGTGTATACATACATATATGTATATACATACATATATGCGTGTATACATACATGTATGCGTGTATACATACATATACATATATGTATATACATACATGTATATATACATGTATGTATATATGCATATATGTATATACATACATGCATATATACATGTATGTATACATATACGTATATGTGTATATATGTATATACATATATATATACATGTAAGGTACTATGTAGTTTTCAGCATCCACTGGGGCCTTGGAATATATCCTGGTGGATACATGTGACTACTGTACAAGACTAGTTGTATCTTCTTGAGGCAAACAAATGTGCTAATTCTTTTTTTTTTCTCTTTAAGACGGAATCTCACTCTGTCCCTCAAGCTGGGGTGCAGTGGTGCAATCTCAGCTCACTGCAACCTTCACCTCCTGGGTTCAAGCAATTCTCCTGTTCTAGCCTCCCAAGTAGCTGGGATTACAGGCGTGTGCCACCACACTCGACTAATTTTTGTATTTTTAGTAGAGACAGGGTTTCCCCATGTTGGCCAGGCTAGTCTCGAACTCTTGACCTCAAGTGATCAGCCCACTTTAGCCTCCCAAAGTGCTGGGATTACAGGCGTGAGCCACCACACCCAGCCCGCCTCCTTCTTATTTACTGAAGATTCAGTACTCGGTGCTGGCGTTTCCCCTTACACAGCTGTCATAACTCTGGGTGTTTTCTTTATCCTTCCCCCTACGGAGCGCTTGGATGCCCTCTATGGAGGAGACTTATGTAGGCTGGATCCTCAGACCTCAGCCACCCTCTCAGCCATAACATAGTTACCTTCACCAAAGAAATATAAGAATATTGTCTTTTATTATTTTGAGCTTTTAATTTTGACATAATTCCAGACTTGCAAAAATAGTTTAAAGAATTTCTGGCCAGGTGCAGTGGCTCACACCTGTAATCCCAGCACTTTGGGAGGCCGAGGTGGGTGGATTGCTTGAGACGAGCCTGGGGGAAAAAAAAATGCAAAAATTAGCCAGGTGTGGTGCTGTGCGCCTATAGTCCCAGCTACTTGGGAGGCTGAGGTGAGAGGGTCATCTGAGCCCAGGGAGGTAGAAGCTGCAGTGAGCCATGATCGTGCCACTGCACTCTAGCCTGGGTGACAGAGTGTTACCCTGTCTATAAAAAAAAAAAAAATCTGTAATTTCTTCATCCAGATTTCCCCAAAGTTAGCATTTTACCACATTTGCTTCATCATTCAGCCTCTCTCCCTCTCCCTCTCTCCCCGAAGAAAGTGTGTCTAATTTGCATATGATGCCCTAAACCTCTAATCACTTCAGGTTATATTTCCCAAAACCAAGGACATTCTGTTATTAATGTTCAAGGTCAAGAAATAGCACTGATATGACACTATTGTCTGATCTATCCACTTTATTCAAATTTCACCACTTGTTTTACCAGTGACATATATTTGGTTTAGGATTTAATCCAAGATTACACAATTTATTTAATTGTCATGTCTCTCTTATTTGGAGATGGAATCTTGCTCTGTAGCCCAGGCTGGAGTGCAATGGTGTGATCTCAGCTCACTGCAACCTCCGCCTCCTGGGTTCAAGCAATTCTCCTGCCTCAGCTTCCTGAGTAGCTGGGATTAGAGGCACCCACAACCACGCCCAGCTAATTTTTGTATTTCTAGTAGAGATGGGGTTTCGTCAAGTTGGCCAGGCTGGTTTCGAACTCCTGAACTCAACTGATCCACCTGCCTCAGCCTCCCAAAGTGCTGGGATTAGAGGCATGAGCCACCACGCCCAGCCTCCTTTAAAAAATAAAACTATAGACTTTATTCTGATTTCACCAGTTTTTCCACTAGCATCCTTTCTTCGCTCCAGGAGCTCCAGTGATCCGCCTGCCTCAGCCTCCCACCTGCCTCGGCCTCCCAAGGTATTGGGATTACAGGTGTGAGCCATCTGGATCTATTTAATTCAGCCTTAAGCCCACACCAGCATTCCTGGGACTGTCCCCCCTCTACAGACTCTAAGCCATGTTTGAGATGATGAATTTCAAGTCGTGATTCAATCACTTAAGTGGTAAGTGACACAGAGGATATTACTAATCTTTTTTTTTTTTTTTTTGAGATGGACTCTTGCTCTGTCACCCATGCTGGAGTGCAGTGGCGCAATCTCGGCTCGCTGCAAGCTCTGCCTCCGGGGTTTATGCCATTCTCTTGCCTCAGCCTCCTGAGTGGCGCAATCTCGACTCACTGCAAGCTCTGCCTCCCGAGTTTATGCCATTCTCCTGCCTCAGCCTCCTGAGTAGCTAGGACTACAGGTGCCCACCACCACGTCCGGGTAATCTTTTTTTTTTTTTTTTTTTTTTCAAAGTAGAGATGGGGTTTCACCATGTTAGCCAGGATGGTCTCCATCTCCTGACCTCGTGATCCGCCCTTCTCGGCCTCCCAAAGTGCTGGGATTACAGGCGTGAGCCACCGCACCCGGCCTTTTTTTGGTATTTAAAAATATAACTTTATTGAGATATAATTTACATGCCATACAATTACCCATTAAAAGTGCATAATTCAATGGTTTAAATTTTGTGGTATTCACGGAGTTGGTGCAACCGTCAACACAGTCTAATTTTAGAATGTTGTCATCACTGCCCTTCAGAACCCCATGCCGACCAGCTGCCCATCACCACGATCCCCTCACTCTCCCGGCCCTAGGCAACCACTCATCTTCTGTCTCTAAACACCAGAAGGTACTTTTCAAAAATTGTGGCAAAATACACATAACATACATTTTAATATTTAAGAAGTTTTCTAAGGCCAGGTGCAGTGGGTCATGCCTGTAATCCCAGCACTTTGGGAGGCCGAGGTGTGCGGATCACCAGGTCAGGTGATCCAGACTGTCAGGCCTCTGAGCCCAAGCTAAGCCATCATATCCCCCTGTGGCCTGTATGTACACATCCAGATGGCCGGTTCCTGCCTTAACTGATGACATTCCACCACGAAAGAAATGAAAATGGCCTGTTCTTGCCTTAAGTGATGACATTATCTTATGAAATTCCTTCTCCTGGCTCATCCCGGCTCAAAAGCTCCCCTACTGAGCACCTTGTGAACCCCACTCCTGCCCGCCAGAGAACAACCCCCTTTTGACTGTAATTTTCCTTTACCTACCCAAATCCTATAAAACGGCCGCACTCCTATCTCCCTTTGCTGACTCTCTTTCTGGACTCAGCCCGCCTGCACCCAGGTGAAATAAACAGCCTTGTTGCTCACACAAATCCTGTTTGGTGGTCTCTTCACACGGACGTGAGTGAAATTTGGTGCCATAACTCGAATCAGGGGATCTTCCTTAGGAGATCAATCCCCTGTCCTCCTGCTCTTTGCTCCATGAGAAAGATCCACCTACGACCTCTCGTCCTCAGACCAACCAGCCCAAGGAACATCTCACCAATTTTAAATCCAGTAAGCAGCCTCTTTTTACTCTCTTCTCCAACCTCTCTCACTATCCCTCAACCACTTTCTCCTTTCCACTCTTCAATCTCTCCCTTCTCTTAATTTCAGTTCCTTTCCTTTTCTGGTAGAGACAGGAGACGCGCTTTATTCGTGGACCCAAAACTCCAGCGCCGGTCATGGACTCGGGAAGGCAGCCTTCCCTTGGTGTTTAATCACGCAGGGACACCTCTCTGATTATTCACCCACGTTTCAGAGGTGTCTGACCACATGGGGATGCCTGCCTTGGTCCTTCACCCTTAGTGGCAAGTACTGCTTTTCTGGGGGGGCAAGAACCCCCAACTCCTTCTCTGTGTCTCTACCCCTTCTCTGCTTTTCTGGGGGGGCAAGAACCCCCCAACCCCTTCTCCTTCACCCTTAGTGGCAAGTACCGCTTTTCTAGGGGGCAAGAATCCCCCGATCCCTTATTTCTGTGCCCTGACGTCTTATCTCTGCACCCCGATCCCTTATTTCCACACCCCGACCTCTTGTCTCTGCACCCCAATCCCTTACTTCTGTGCCCTGACCCCTTTCCCGCTTTTCTGGAAGGTAAGAACCCCTGAACCCCTTCCCTCCATGTCTCTACTCTCTCTTTTCTCTGTGCTTGCCTCCTTCAGTATGGGCAACCTTCCACCCTCCATTCCTCCTTCTTCTCCCTTAGCCTGTGTTCTTAAAAACCTAAAACCTCTTCAACTCACACCTGACCTAAAACCTAAATGCCTTATTTTCTTCTGCAATGCTGCTTGACCCCAATACAAACTTGACAGTGGTTCCAAATAGCCAGAAAACGGCACTTTCAATTTTTCCATCCTACAAGATCTAAATAATTCTTGTTGTAAAATGGGCAAATGGTCTGAGGTGCCTGACATCCAGGCATTCTTTTACACATCGGTCCCTCCCTAGTCTCTATGCCCAGTGCAACTCGTCCCAAATCTTCCTTCTTTCCCTCCCGCCTGTCCCGTCAGTCCCAACCCCAAGCATCGCTGAGTCTTTCTAATCTTCCTTTTCTACAGACCCATCTGACATCTCCCCTCCTCGCCAGGCCGAGCTGGGTCCCAATTCTTCCTCAGCCTCCGCTCCTCCACCCTATAATCCTTTTATCACCTCCCCTCCTCACACCCGGTCCAGCTTACAGTTCCATTCCATGACTAGCCCTCCCCCAACTGCCCAGCAATTTCCTCTTAAAAAGGTGGCTGAAGCTAAAGGCATAGTCAAGGTTAATGCTCCTTTTTCTTTATCTGACCTCTCCCAAATCAGATAGTGTTTAGGCTCTTTTTCATCAAATTTAAAAACACAGCCCAGTTCATGGCTCATTTGGCAGCAACCCTGAGACGCTTTACAGCCCTAGACCCTAAGTCAAAAGGCCGTCTTATTCTCAATATACATTTTATTACCAAATCTGCTCCCAACATTAAATAAAGCTCCAAAAATTAAATTCTGTCCCTCAAACCCCACAACAAGACTTAATTAACCTCGCCTTCAAGGTGTACAGTAATAGAGTAGAGGCAGCCAAATAGCAACATATTTCTGAGTTGCAATTCCTTGCCTCCACTCCAGTATCCAGATGAGACAAACCCCAGCCACATCTCCAGCACACGAGAACTCCAAACGCCTGAACCGCAGCTGCCAGGGGTTCCTCCAGAACCTCTTCCCCCAGGAGCTTGCTACAAGTACTGGAAATCTGGCCACTGGGCCAAGGAATGTCCACAGCCTGGGATTCCTCCTAAGCCGCATCCCATCTGTGCGGGACCCCACTGAAAATCGGACTGTTCAACTCACCTGGCAGCCACTCCCAGAGCAGCTAGAACTCTGGCCCAAGGCTCTCTGACTCCTTCCCAGATCTTCTCGGCTTAGCAGCTGAAGACTGACACTGCCCGATCCCGATCGCCTCAGAAGCCTACAGGACCATCACAGTCTAGGTAACTCTCACAGTGGAAGGTAAGCCCGTCCCCTTCTTAATCAATATGGAGGCTACCCACTCCACATTACCTTCTTTTCAAGGGCCTGTTTCCCTTGCCTCCATAACTGTTGTAGGTATTGACAGCTAGGCTTCTAAACCTCTTAAAACTCCCCAACTCTGGTGCCAACTTAGACAATACTCTTTCAAGCACTCCTTTTCAGTTATCCCCACCTGCCCAGTTCCCTTATTAGGCTGAGACACTTTAACTAAATTATCTGCTTCCCTGACTGTTCCTGGACTACAGCTATATCTCATTGCTGCCATTCTTCCCAATCCAAAGCCTCCTTTGCTTCCTCCTCTTGCATCCCCCCACCTTAACCCACAAGTATAGGATACCTCTACTCCCTCCTTGGTGACCGATCATGCACCCCTTACCATCTCATTAAAACCTAATCACCCTTACCCCACTCAACGCCAATATCCCATTCCGCAGCACGCTTTAAAAGGATTAAAGCCTGCTACAGCATGGCCTTTTAAAGCCTATAAACTCCCCTTACAATTCTCCCATTTTACCTGTCCTAAAACCAGACAAGGCTTACACATTAGTTCAGGATCTGCGCCTTATCAACCAAATTGTTTTGCCTATCCACCCCGTAGTGCCAAACCCATATACTCTCCTATCCTCAATACCTGCCTCTACAACCCATTATTCTGTTCTGGATCTCAAACGTGCTTTCTTTACTATTCCTTTGCACCCTTCATCCCAGCCTCTCTTCGCTTTCACTTGGACTGACCCTGACACCGATCAAGCTCAGCAAATTACCTGGGCTGTACTGCCGCAAAGCTTCACAGACAGCCCCCATTACTTCAGTCAAGCCCAAATTTCTTCCTCCTCTGTTACCTATCTCGGCATAATTCTCATAAAAACACACGTGCTCTCCATGCCGATCGTGTCTGACTGATCTCTCAAGCCCCAGCACCTTCTACAAAACAACAACTCCTTTCCTTCCTAGGCATGGTTAGCGTGGTCGGAACTCTTACACAAGAGCCAGGACCGCACCCTGTAGCCTTTCTGTCCGAACAACTTGACCTTACTGTTTTAGCCTAGCCCTCATGTCTGTGAGCAGCGGCTGCCGCTGCTTTAATAGTTTTAGAGGCCCTCAAAATCACAAACTATGCTCAACTCACTCTCTACAGTTCTCATAACTTCCAAAAATCTATTTTCTTCCTCACACCTGACGCATATACTTTCTGCTTCCCGGCTCCTTCAGCTACACTCACTCTTTGTTGAGTCTCCCACAATCACCATTGTTACTGGCCCATACTTCAATCCGGCCTCCCACATTATTCCGGATACCACACCTGACCCCCATGACTGTATCTCTCTGATCCACCTGACATTCACCCCATTTCCCCACATTTCCTTCTTTCCTATTCCTCACCCTAATCACATTTAGTTTATTGATGGCAGTTCCACCAGGCCTAATCGCCACTCACCAGCAAAGGCAGGCTATGCTATAGTATCTTCCACATCTATCATTGAGGCTACCGCTCTGCCCCCTCCACTACCTCTCAGCAAGCCGAATTAGTTGCCTTAACTCAAGCCCTCACTGATGCAAAAGGACTATGCATCAATATTTATACTGACTCTAAATATGCCTTTCATATTCTGCCCCACCATGCGGTCATATGGGCTGAAAGAGGTTTCCTCACTACACAAGGGTCCTCCATCTTTAATGCCTCCTTAATAAAAACTCTGCTCAAGGCCGCTTTACTCCCAAAGGAAGCTGGAGTCATTCACTGCAAAGGCCATCAAAAGTCATCAGATCCCATTGCTCTAGACAATGCCTATGCTGACAAGGTGGCTAGACAAGCAGCTAGCTTTCCAACTTCTGTCTCTCACATCTATGCTTATGCTGATAAGGTAGCTAGACAAGCAGCTAGCATGCCAATTTCTGTCCCCCACAGCCAGTTTTTCTCCTTCTCATCAGTCACTCCCACCTACTCCCCCACTGAAACTTCCACCCATCAATCTCTTCCCACACAAGGCAAATGGTTCTTAGACCAAGGAAAATACCTCCTTCCAGCCTCACAGGCCCATTCTATTCGGTTGATATTTCATAGCCTCTTCCATGTAGGTTACAAGCTGCTAGCCCATCTCTTAGAACCTCTCATTTCCTTTCCATCCTGGAAATCTATCCTCATGGAAACCACTTATCAGTGTTCCATCTGCTATTCTACTACCCCTCAGGGATTGCTCAGGTCCCCTCCCTTCCCTACACATCAGGCTCGGGGATTTGCCCCCGCCCAGGACTGGCAAATTGACTTTACTCACATGCCCTGAGTCAGGAAACTAAAATACCTCTTGGTCTGGGTAGACACTTTCACTGGATGGGTAGAGGCCTTTCCCACAGGGTCTGAGAAGGCCACCGAGGTCATTTCTTCCCTTCTGTCAGACATAATTCCACAGTTTGGCCTTCCCACCTCTATACAGTCTGATAGCACACCGGCCTTTATTAGTCAAATCAGCCAAGCAGTTTTTCAGGCTCTTGGTATTCAGTGAAACCTTTATATCCCTTACAGTCCTCAGTCTTCAGGAAAAGTAGAATGGACTAATGGTCTATTAAAAACACACCTCACCAAGCTCAGCCACCAACTTAAAAAAGACTGGACAATACTTTTACCACTTTCTTTTCTCAGAATTCAGGCCTGTCCTCAGAATGCTACAAGGTACAGCACATTTGAGCTCCTGTATAGACACTGCTTTTTATTAAGCCCCAGTCTCATTCCAGACACCAGACCAACTTAGATTGTGCCCCAAAAAACTTGTCATCCCTACTATCTTCTGTCTAGTCATACTCCTATTCACCATTCTCAACTACTCACACATGCCCTGCTCTTGTTTACACTGCTGGTTTACACTGTTTTTCCAAGCCATCACAGCTGATATCTCCTGGTGCTATCCCCAAACCGCCACTCTTAACTCTTGAAGTAAATAAATAATCTTTGCTGGCAAGGCTATGCTGAACCTCCTTAGGCACTCTCTAATCAGATGTCCTGAGTCGTCCCAATTCTTAGACCTTTTATACCTGTTTTTCTCCTTTCCTTATTCCATTTAGTTTTTCAATTCATACAAAACTGCATCCAGGCCATCACCAGTAATTCTAAATGAAAAATGTTTCTTCTAACAATCCCACAATATCACCCCTTAACACAAAATCTTCCTTCAGCTTAATCTCTCCCACTCTAGGTTCCCACGCCGCCCCTAATCCCGCTCGAAGCAGCCCTGAGAAACATCGCCCATTCTCTCTCCATACCACCCCCCAAAATTTTCACCATCCCAACACTTTACCACTATTTCGTTTTATTTTTCTTATTAATATAAGAAGACAGGAATGTCAGGCCTCTGAGCCCAAGCTAAGCCATCATATCCCCTGTGACCTGCACGTACACATCCAGATGGCCGGTTCCTGCCTTAACTGATGACATTCCACCACGAAAGAAATGAAAATGGCCTGTTCCTGCCTTAACTGATGACATTATCTTGTGAAATTCCTTCTTCTGGTTCATCCTGACTCAAAAGCTCCCCTACTGAGCACCTTGTGACCCCCCACTCCTGCCCACCAAAGAACAACCCCCCTTTGACTGTAATTTTCCTTTACCTACCCAAATCCTATAAAACGGCCCCACCCCTATCCCCCTTCGCTGACTCTCTTGTCGGACTCAGCCTGCCTGCACCCAGGTGAAATAAACAGCCTTGTTGCTCACACAGAGCCTGTTTGGTGGTCTCTTCACACGGACGCGCATGAAACAGACCAGCCTAGCCAACATGGTGAAACCCCGTCTCCACGAAAATACAAGAAATTAGCCGGGCGTGGCGGTGCGCACCTGTAGTTCCAGCTACTCGGGAGGCTGAGGCAGGGGAATCACTTGAACCTGGGAGGCGGAGATTGCAGTGAGCCCAGATCACACCAGCGTAGCGACAGAGTGAAACTCTGTCTCAAAAAAAAAAAAAAAAAAAAGAAAAAGAAGTTTTCTAAGGCCAGGCGCAGTGGCTCATGCCTGTAATCCAAGCACTTTTGGGAGGCTGAGGCGGGCAGATCACCTGAGGCCGGGAGTTCGAGACCGGCCTGACCAACATGGTGAAACCCTGTCTCTACTAAAAATACAAAAATGAGCTGGGCGTGGCGGCGGGTGCCTGTAATCCCAGCTTCTTGGGTGCGGGGGGGATCTGTTCTGCAGATCCCAGCTGTACGACAGATGAGACACGTCCTCAGACACCAATATTCAGTGAAAGAGCAGGCCAGGGGGCTGCCGGCACTAGGAGCCAAAGAGAGTGCAGCCCCTCTAAGCTGGCAACGCTTGCATTTATTTAGCACAGATTTAATTAACAAAGGCTTTGAGTCAACACACCTGTGGGTAATTAACCTGGTCACCGCCCCCCGCCACCTCCCTGGAGAGGGCCATCTTGCCCGAGAATGATCAAAGGTTGATTTTAGGACCATATGACTAAGCAAGCTATTTAGATAAAATACTCCGCATTCCTTTGTATCTGCGCCCTAAGCTGTTTGGCTCCTGAAAAGAGAATCTGGCTGCTTTCAGCCAAACTATCTGAAGCTATGCCAACCTCCCTGGCCTTCCAAGAAGGTTTGCTGCTTCCTATTCCTATAATTTCTTCTGCTACTCTGACTGATCTCCCACACTTGGGAGGTTGAGGCAGGAGAATCCCTTGAACCAGGGAGGCAGAGGTTGCAGTGAGCCGAGATCACACTACTGCACTCCAACTTGGGTGACAAGAGCGAGACTCCATCTCAGAAAAAAAAGTTAAAAAAAAATTGTAGGCCAGGCGTGGTGGCTCACGCCTGTGATCCCAGCACTTTGGGAGGCCAAGGCGGGTGGATCACCTGAGGTCCAGAGTTCGAGACCAGCCTGACCAACATGGAGAAACCCCGTCTCTTCTAAAAATATAAAATTAGCCAGGCGTGGTGGCGCATGCCTGTAATCCCAGCTGCTCTGGAGGCTGAGGCAGGAGAATGGCTTGAGCCCAGGAGGCGGAGGTTGCGGTGAGCCGAGACCGCACCATTGCACTCCAGCCTGGGCAACAAGAGTGAGACTCTGTCTCAGAAAAAAAAAAAAAAAAATTGTAGTAAAAACATAACATACAATTTACCATCTTAGCCATTGTAAGTGTACAGTATAGCAGTGTTAAATGTATTCACGGTGTTTTGAAACAGATCTCCAGAATATTTTCATCTTGTAAAACTGAAACTCTATGCCTAAAAGAGGAATCGTTCAACACATAGAAGTTTTATTTCAACCATTTTTGTTGTTGTTGTTGAGATGGAGTCTTGCTCTGTCACCAAGGCTGGAGTGCGGTGGTACGATCTTGGCTCACTGCAACCTCCGCCTCCTGGGTTCAAGCCATTCTCCTGCCTCAGCCTCCTCAGTAGCTGGTAATGCAGGTGCGTGCCACCACACCTGGCTAATTTTTGTATTTTTAGTAGAGACGGGGTTTTGCCATGTTGGCCAGGCTGGTCTCGAACTCCTGGCCTCGTGATCTGCCTGCCTTAGCCTCCCAAAGTGCTGGGATTTCAGGTGTGAGCCACTGCGCTCAGCCTGGGAAATGTATACTTCAGAGATTGTTGGATTTTCAGGGCCTTCTGTGGCTTGACGTCATCTGGAAAAGTGTGGTCATTGGGAAGATATTACTTTGATTGGTTGTCACTCATGCTTGGGTGTTTACTGAAATGAGTCTGATTGGATGACTTTTAGAAGCAAGGAGCTGCCTGACTGATGGTAACATAACAATATAAAACGTATGGAGTGGCCGGGCTTTGTGGCTCACTCCTGTAATCCCAGCACTTTGAGAGGCTGAGGCAGGCAGATCACCCTGAGGTCAGAAGTTTGTGACCAGCTTGGCCAACATGGCGAAACCCGTCTGTACTAAAAATACAAAAATTATCTGCGTGTGGTGGCAGGTGCCTATAATCCCAGCTACTGGGGAGGCTGAGGCAGGAGAATTGCTGAACCCGGGAAAGAGAGGTTGCAGGGAGCCGAGGTCACGTCACTGCTCCCCAGCCTGGGTGACAGAGCAAGACCCCGTCTCAAAAAAAAAAAAAAAAAAAAAGAGCATCTTCACAGAGATGAGTTGTCATTGATGATGGGTTAAAAATCAGTTTTGGTGGCTACTTGTTACTGTGGTTACAGGACAATAAAATACTTTTCTGAAGAGCTCAGGAACTTTATTATTCTGAAAACGCTTTTTCCAAACAAGGTCCTTCTGTCAGCAAAACGACTTATATGAGTTTAATCTTATCCATCTCTGGGAATCTAGCCCCATTGTGTCTCTGTAATCCAAGTCCTGGACCTGACGTAAAGTCCCTCAACCCCCTTCATCCAAAATTGTGGCACTTTCCCTTTATTTATTTATTTATTATTTATTTGTTTGTTTACTTTTGAGACGGAGTCTCGCTCTGTGGCCCAGGCTGGAGTGTAGTGGCGTGATCTCAGCTCATTGCAAGCCCCGCCTCCCAGGTTCACGCCATTCTCCTGCCTCAGCCCCTGGAGTAGCTGGGACTACAGGCACCTGCCACCACACCTGGTGAAAAAAATCAGAACAAACTGAAGATATGGGCCAGAACTTGTATAAAGTGTGAAAAGCAGTCAATAAAGAAAGTTAGAAATACTTTGCATTTTTTTTTTAATCACAGGACCTGAGTTAAGCCAAGAATACAGTAGAAATTTTATCAAGTAGAGATAAGCTCTCAGTAAAGGATAAAAGTGGGCCTAAGTCCCTTCAGTTTCACTGGAAGTAGGACCCTTACATTTTATAATTATATTTTCATACATAAGCTACTGGACAATGAAGTAAATAGCAATCAGTGAAAGAGCCACATATGACCAACTTAGATTTCCTTGAGTAAAGTCTGTCAAGGGTAAAGCTGTGAAAGTTTATAAGAAAAAAGAATGGGGAATTATTTGGAAGACCATTTGAGTTTTGTACACAAGAATTTAATGTTTGCACACTTGATAATATATGTGAATATCATCAAAACTAAGTGAAAAAATAAATTAATGAGGTGAAACACATGCCTGTATTCCTTGTATGAAAATCCGGTAGAAATAGGGTTTGTGAAATAAATAGGGTAATCCTCCTGTAGGATTATGACTTTCACTCTTATCAATTTGTAGATGAACACAGCAGGAGGCTGAGGTAGGAGGATTGCTTGAGACCAGGAGTTCAAGACCAGCTTAGGCAACATAGGGAGAGCCTCACTTCAACAAAAAAAAATAAAGGAGGGGGGTTATTGAATATATTTGGCATGCTTACCAACCATTTATATTTGGGGAAGACACATTTAAAAATATAAAAAGAAGGCTGGGCGCAGTGGCTCACATCTGTAATCCCAGCACTTTGGGAGGCCGAGGCGGGCAGATCACGAGGTCAGAAGTTTGAGACCAGCTTGGCCAATGTGATGAAACCCCGTCTCTACTAAAAATACTGTAAAAGTAGCTGGGCGTGATGGTGGGAGCCTGTAATCCCAGCTACTTGGGAGGCCGAGGCAGGAGAATCACTTGAACCCAGGAGGCAGAGGTTGCAGTGAGCCGAGATCGTGCCACTGCACTCCAGCCTGGGCAACAGAGTGAGACTCTGTCTCAAATAAAAATAAAAATAAAAATAAATAAAATAAATAAAAAAAGAGAAGAACAATGAAGGAAGAAATTAAACAGGATATAAAAAATCAGAAGACAGATAAGATGGAAAACCATAACTTATGTGCAGAAAGGTGGGTGCAAATCGATCAGTCCTGCATAAGAAAACACCATTTGATTGGTTTGAACATGCATCTGGCCAGGCGTGGTGGCTCATGCCTATAATCTCAGCACTTTGGGAGGCCAAGGTGGGTGGATCACCTGAGGTCAGGAGTTCGAGACCAGCCTGGCCAACACAGTGAAACCCCATCTCTACTAAAAATACAAAAATTAGCTGGGTGCAGTGGTATGTGCCTGTAATTCCAGCTACTTGGGAGGCTGAGGCACAAGAATCACTTGAACCCAAGAGGTTCAATGAGCCGAGATTGCTCCACTGCACTCCAGCCTGGGTGACAGAGCCAGACTCTGTCTCAAAAAAAAAAAAAAGTAGATTCAAGCTTCTTAGTGAGCTTTTCTCTCTTGTGTCCTTCAAGTAGCTTTGTCGGACTCCACAGTCCTGGCTCCTCTCTGCCTTCACCTCCAGGTGTTTACTTGCAGACACTTGGTGTTCGTGCAAAGGTCAATCCTGGCTGACACATCTGTTGGCTCCAGCTCGGTTCAGCCACATCTGCCGAGGCTTCCTTGTTCAGTGCCGTATGGCTGTGCCAATTTTCAACCAGTATGGCCAAGAGAGCCACGAGGACCAGTCCTGCCACGGCCATGCGGATCAAGTTCTGCGTCGTGTAATCTTGGTGGATGGAGTCTGGAGACACAATTCAAGGAGATGAATGGTTGGTGGTTGTGTTCCATTCCATCCCAACCCCAGAGCCCTGAAACGGGAGCTCATTTTCCTTTTCGCTTGCCAAAATGGGACTCCCTCAAGCATCCCCTCAATGAGCTCATGCTTCGCCAGCACCACACTGATCAGTCAGCAAGACTGTGTTCACGGGCAAGGAACTGTGCTTCCCAGGGAAGTGCTATAAACTGGGAAGGAGGTGATTATGGGCAGGTTGTGTGTGTTTTTTTTTTTTTTTTTTTTGAGATGGAGTCTCACTCTGTTGCCCAGGCTGGAGTGCAGTGGCGTGATCTCGGCTCACTGCAACCTCCGCCTCCCTGGTCAAGTGATTCTCCTGCCTCAGCCTCCCAAGTAGCTGGGATTACAGGCGCCCACCACCACCACGCCTGGTTAATTTTTGTATTTTTAGTGGAGATGGGGTTTCACTATGTTGGCCAGGCTGGTCTCGAACTCCCGACCTCAGGTGATCCACCTGCCTCAGCCTCCCAATGTGCTCAGATTACAGGCGTGAGCCATCGTGCCCAACCGTGTTTTTTTTTTTTTTCTTGAGGTGGAGTCTCGTTCTGTCACCCAGGCTGGAGTGCAATGGCGTGATCTTGGCTCACTGCAACAGCTGCCTCCTGGGTTCAAGTGATTCTCCTGCCTCAGCCTCCTGAGTAGCTGGGACGACAGGCTCACGCCACCACGCCCGGCCAGGCAGGTTGTGTTTTCTTTTCATTCTCTCCTCACTTGGTGAATTCACTAAATACCTAATCACATCTCTACAACACCAGAACAAGGTGGAATCCTAATAAGAATGTGTGCAGCCTGGCCAGGCGCGGTGGCTCACGCCTGTAATCCCAGCACTTTGGGAGGCCGAGGCAGGTGGATCACCTGAGGTCGGGAGTTCGAGACCAGCCTGGCCAACATGGTGAAACCCTGTCTGTGTGGTCCCAGCTACTCAGGAGGCTGAGGCAGGAGAATTGCTTGAACCTGGGAGGCGAAGGTTGCAGTGAGTCGAGATCGTGCCACTGCACTCCAGCCTTGGCGAAAGAGCAAGACTCTATCCCGGAAAATAAAATGAAATAAATAAAATGAAACAAACTGAGTTAGCCCTTCTGTTCTCCACAGACTAAGTTTTCAATGAACCCTGTCTGGAGAACTCTAGCGAGGAAGTGAAAGCGGAAAGTGTGGTGGGGAAGCCTTTCTCTCTCCACTGTCCTGGAGTGAGAGCCTTTGCCTCTCTTCACTTCACTCTCAGTGCACGTCTTCATATTCCTGCCCGGTGGCAAGGCCCTGGACAGCCAACCCAGACACAGGGCTGGACTGGGCGGTACCTACCTGTGACCACAAGCTCCAAGGCATTACTGGGGAAGGACCACAGGTAGGGGCTCCTGTTGTACCAACCGTAGCACCTGTAGATCCCTGAGACATTGAGGTCCACAGGACCCAAAGAGAAGTTGGCCGGGTGTTCCCCACTTTGGTGCTGTGGCAGAGAAAGTTCTCCCTCCTTGGCCAGTGAAAATCTATCAAATGGGATGTGTGCTGAGCTGCACGTGAGGGAAATATTCTCTCCTGGCATCAACACCAGACCCCGATCTGCAGAGAGGAAGGGTTTGCCATACAAGCCTAAGAGAGAAAAGAGTGAGCTATTAGAAAGACCTTTTCTCCTTTATTCTTTTCTTCTTCTTCTTATTGTTATTATTATATATTTTTTTGAGATGGAGTTTCGCTCTTATTGCCCAAGCTGGAGTGCAGTGGCGTGATCTCAGCTCACTGCAACCTCCGTCTCCCGGGTTCAAGCAATTCTCCTGCCTCAGCCTCCCGAGAAACTGGGATTACAGGTGCGTACCACCACGCCCAGCTAATTTTTGTATTTTTAGTAGAGACGGGGTCTCTCCATGTTGGTCAGGCTGGTCTCGAACTCCTGACCTCAGGTGATTTGCCCACCTTGGCCTCCCAAAGTGCTGGGATTACAGGCATGAGCAACTGCGCCCAGCCTATTATTGTTTTTTGAGATGGAGTCTCGCTCTGTCACTGAGGCTGCAGTGCAGTGGCATGATCTCCGCTCACTGCAACCTCCACCTCCGAGGTTCAAGTGAGTCTCCTGCCTCAGCCTCCCGAGTAGCTGGGATTACAGACACCCGCCACCACGCCCAGCTAATTTTTGTATTTTTAGTAAAGATGAGGTTTCCCCATGTTGGTCAGGCTGGTCTTGAATCCCTGACCTCAGGTGATCCACCTGCCTCAGCCTCCCAAAGTGCTGGGATTACAGGCGTGAACCACAGTGCCCAGCCTCTTTTTTCTTTTTTAGAATTTATTTATTTTAGAGAGGGTCTCACTCTATCGCCCAGGCTGAGGGCAGTGGCATAATCACGGCTCACTGCAGCCTCGACCTCCCAGGCTCAGGTGATCCTACCATCTCAGCCTCTCAAGTAGCTGAGACTACAGGTGGATGCCACCATGCCCAGCTAATTTTTTGATTTTTTGTACAGATGGGGTCTTACTATGTTGCCCAGGCTGGTCTCCTGGGCTTAAGTGATCTGCCCATCTCGGCCTCTCAAAGTGCTGGGATTACAGGCACGAGCCACGGTGTCTGGCCACAGTTACTACTTCAGCCAGGCTTTCAACAACAGCCAGCTCAACATCCACAGTCATGTTCCCATGGACAGTTTAAACCTTTGCTATGAGGAGATGAAATGGCACTTTGCTTCTGTGGTCTTGCCTGCAATGACCCATAACTCAGTCTAGTCATGAGCAAAACATCAGACAATTTCCAGTAGTGGGAGTACCCTTGAAAATAATGGACCACTACCCTCAAAACTGACAAGGTCATGGAAAACCAGCAACATCTGAGAAGCTGTGACAGCCAAGACAAACCTAAAGATACATGACACCTGCTGGGCACGGTGGCTCACGCCTGGAATCCCAGCACTTTGGGAGGCCAGGTGCGGTGGCTCATGCCTGTAATCCCAGCATTTTCGGAGGCCGGGCGTGGTGGCTCACGCCAGTAATCCCAGCACTTTGGGAGGCCAGGCGGGCGGATCACGAGGTCAGAAGATTGAGACCATCCTGGCTAACACAGTGAAACCCTATCTCTACTAAAAATACAAAAAATTAGCCAGGCGTGGTGGCGGACGCCTGTAGTCCCAGCTACTCGGGAGGCTGAGGCAGGAGAATGGCGTGAACCCGGGAGGTTGGAGCTTGCAGTGAGCCGAGATTGTGCCACTGCACTCCAGCCTGGGCAACACAGCGGGACTCCGTCTCAAAAAAAAAAAAAAAAAAAAAAAAAGATGCATGACACCTGAATGCAATGTGAAATCTTTTGTGTGTGTGTGTGTGTGAGATGGAGTCTCGCCCTGTCGCCCAGCCTGGAGTGCAGTGGTGTGATCTTGGCTCACTGCAACCTCTGCCTCCTGGGTTCAAGCGATTCTCCTGCCTCAGCCTCCCAAGTAGCTGGGATTACAGGCGTGTGCCACCAGGCCTGGCCAATTTTTTCCATTTTTAGTAGAGACGAGGTTTCACTGTGTTGGCCAGGCTGGTCTCGAACTCCTGACCTCAGGTGATCCACCCACCTCAGCCACCCAAAGTGTTGGGATTACAGGCGTGAGCCACCGCGCCCGGCGATTGTTGCATTTTCAGTAGAGACGGGGAATTCACCATGTTGGCCAGGCTGGTCTCGAACTCCTGACCTTGGGTGATCCACCCGCCTCGGCTTCCCTAAGTGTTGGGATTACAGGCGTGAGCCACCACTCCCAGCCGCAATGTGAAATCTTGAATGGGATTCTGGAACAGAGAAAGACTATCAGGTAAAAACTAAGAAAATGTAAATAAACTGTAGACTGTAGCTGGGAATGTGTCGATATTTGTTCATTAATGGTAAGAAATGTGCCATACTAATGTAAGATGTTAACTCTGGGGGAAGTGGGGTGCCAGATGGCTGAGAACTCTCTGAAGCAATCATCAATTTTTTTTTGTTTGTAAATCTAAAACTTCTTGAAAAATACTCTATTAAAAATAAGAAAAAAATCACACCAGGGCTGTGGACCCTGGATGTTTCCTTACCTGTCACTACCAGCTCCAGGGTGTCACTGTACCGGAATCTGTAGTGCCCTATCCTATATTGGCACTGATAGCGCCCTGCCTTGTTTGCGTCCATGTGGTCAATGACGAACTCAGGATCAGTCTCATTCCAAAACTTCAGTCTTCTGCCTATCTCTCGGTACGTGGAGTTTTTTATGATCATCAGCTGGGTCAGGTAAGCTTCACGAATGGCCTGGCACTGGATTTTCACAGATCCATCCAAGGGAATCACAGGACTCGATTTGGCAGATATGAAAGGCATGGGAAAGTCCCCTGGAAGAAAAGAAAGCCCAGACTGAGGTGGCTCGCCATGGGGAAGCCATTCCTTTCCTTCTCTGTGGGAGAAGTAAAAATACATTAGGGTGTGAAGAACCTACCATTCTTTATTTAAAAAAAAATTTAGGCCGGGTGCGGTAGCTCACGCCTGTATTCCCAGCACTTTGGGAGGCCGAGGCGGGTGGATCACAAGGTGACGATATCAAGACCATCCTGGCTAACACGGTGAAACCCCGTGTCTACTGAAAATACAAAAAATTAGCAGGACGTGGTGGCGGGCGCGTGTAGTCCCAGCTACTCGGGAGATTGGGGCAGGAGAATGGCGTGAACCCGGGAGGCAGAGCTTGCAGTGAGCCGAGATCACACCACTGCACTCCAGCCTGGGCAACAGAGTGAGACTTCGTCTCAACAACAACAACAAAAAAAATTAAAAAAAGAGAAAAATTTAAATAATTTGTGATGCTGAGGTTTGGAGTACGATTGATCCTGTCACCCAGGTACTGAGCATAGTACCCAATAGGCAGTTTTTCAACCCCCTTTCTTCCCCCCCATCTAGTAGTCTCCAGTGTCTATGGTTGCCATCTTTATTTTTTATTGTTATTATTTTTCGAGACAGAGTCTTGTTTTGTCGCCCAGGCTGCAGTGCAGTGGTGCAATCTCAGCTCCTCCGCCTCCCGGGTTCAAGCAATTCTGCTGCCTCAGCCTTCCGAGTAGCTGGGATTACAGGTGCCCACCACCATGCCTGGATAATTTTTGTATTTTTAGTAGAAACGGGGTTTCACCATGTTGGCCAGGCTGGTCTTGAACTCCTGACTTCAAGTGATCCACCTGCCTCGGCCTCCCAAAGTGCTGGGATTACAAGCGTGAGCCACCGCACCTGGCTGCAACTGGGGTTTTTGCAGAGGCAACACTGAAGCCAGGGGGACCTCCGCAGGCATTGACCCCAGAGCAGTCGGGTGCCGTTACCACAGCCCCCGCAGAGGCCACGGGCATGGTGCGTGGGAGCAGTGAGATGGCTCCACCTGCCGTTACTCCACAAGGCTCAAGGCCAGTTTCCAGCATAGTGGCCCAGCTTCTGCCTGAACTCTGCCCGGGGTCGTGGCTGCATGCTTCCCTGGAAAGCACCCAGATGGTGAAGTGGGTGACTCCACCCACCCCTGCCACTTGCAGCCAGACGGGCCAGGCTTGCTGGGTCTTCCAGCGCTGCAGACCCCCTTCTGCCTGAACTCTGTGGGGTGTGCAGCTCTGTGTTTTTCTTTTCTTTTCTTTTTTTGTTGAGATGAAGTCTCACTCTGTTGCCCAGGCTGGAGTGCAGTGGTGTGATCTTGGCTCACTGCAAGCTCCGCCTCCCGGGTTCACACCATTCTTCTGCCTCAGCCTCCCGAGTAGCTGGGACTACAGGCGCCCGCCACCACGCCTGGCTAATTTTTTTTTGTATTTTTAGTAGAGACGGGGTTTCACCATGTTATCCAGGATGGTCTCAGTCTCCTGACTTCGCAATCTGCCCATCTCGGCCTCCTAAAGTACTGGGATTACACGTGTGAGCCACCATGCCCAGTAGCTCTGTGTTCCCCTGGGAAGCACTGAGATGGCAGATCATGTGGCTCCAATCACCCTTGCTGAGAAGGACTCACCACGTTAGGTGGCGACCAAGCCGTGAGGAGCCCTCATTCTCAGAACGTTCAGAGGGGTGAAACACCTGATTTCATCAGCCTGCAGAGGTGCGGGGTGGTCCTCCCTCCATAGGGCTGGCCGGGGAAGGATACAGCCTGTCTGCCCACCATGCCCTGCCTGAGGGAGCCCCGTGGGCAGAACAATCCTAACAAAGGAAACAGTGGGTGCAGAGCCAGTGACTGTAGGAGGCTCCTCCAAGGCCCAAGAATGGACCAGGCGAGGGAGTCACCCCTCCCCACAACCACAGAGCACTACTGCCGACTTTGTCAAAATACAAGAGTTAGGGGGCCAAGGCAGGCAGATTGCTTGAGCCCAGGAGTTTGAGACCAGCCTGGTAAACATGGTGAAACCCCATCTCTACAAAAAAAAAAAAAAAATTACAAAAATTTTCTCTTTATGGTGCTGCGTGCTTGTAGTCCCAGCTACTCAGGAGGCTGAGGCAGGAGGATCACTTAGCCTGATAGGTAGAGGCTGCAGTGAGCCGAGATTGTGCCACTGTGCTCCAGCCTGGGCGACAGAACAAGACCCTGTGTCAAAAAACGAAACAAAAAACGAAACAAAACTACAAAAGAGCCTTGTGGCTAAGATCCTGTATGCTGGCCAACCCTTTTAAGTGCCACCTACTGGATCACACTTCAAAATACAACACTGAAAAATTTTGCCAGTATACAATGAAGGGAAAAATTCAGCCACAAATAAAGATCCTGTGCAGAGTCCTGGCATCTGAAAACACCCAGAAATGAAGCCAAGCGACTGTACTCAACCGACATCACAGTTAAAGGAACACCAGCCCTCACACAAGAGAAAGAATCAACACCAAGGCCGGGCGCGGTGGCTCACACCTGTAATCCCAGCACTTTGGGAGGCTGAAGTGGGCAGATCACCGGAGGTCAAGAGTTTGAGACCAGCCTGACCAACGTGACAAAACCCGGGCTCTACTAAACATACAAAAATTAGCCGGGCGTGGTGGCACACACCTGTAATCCCAGCTACTCAGGAGGCTGAGACAGGAGAATCGCTTGAACCCGGGAGGTGAAGGTTGCAGCAGTGAGCTGAGATCGTGCCACTGCACTCCAGCCTGGGCGACAGAGTAAGACTCTGCCACAAAAAAGAAAAAAAAAAGAATCAACACAAGAACTCTGGCAACTCGATAGTTCCCCAGAAATCTGGTTCTTAGCTACATTGAGATGAATGAAACGAGGGTTATAGAATTCAGAATCTGGATGGCCAGGACGCTCTTCGAAATTGAGGAGAAATTTGAAACACAATCCAAGGGGTCCATGGTGGGGACACACTGGCTTTTTGAGTTCCCAGAATTCTTTTTCATGTGTGGGGGCCCGGTCATTATGCTACAGCCATCAGACAGAGAGGAGTCCAGTCTCTCTTCCCCGTGAGCTCCCACCCCCACTTTACCAGGCAGAGCCCCCAGCTCGGGAGTGCAGAGCAGCTGCCCCGCCCTCAGCACACTCACTGGTGGTGGCTCGTGTTTCCCTGGGGAGTGGCTCCCAGAGGCAACTGACAGCCCCTCTGCCACTGCCATGGCAAGGGTTCTGCCTCTGCTGCCCGTGATCTGGGGAAGAAGCAAGGAGCCTGGGGCCTTCATTCATGCTTCTATTTATTTATTTATTTATTTGAGACGGAGTCTCGCTCTGTCGCCCACGCTGCAGTGCAGTGGCCCGATCTCGGCTCACTGCAAGCTGCGCCTCCCGGGTTCACGCCATTCTCCTGCCTCAGCCTCATCCTCCTCCCGAGTAGCTGGGACTACAGGCGCCCGCCACCACGCCCGGCTCATTTTTTGTGTTTTTAGTAGAGACGGGGTTTCACCAGATTAGCCAGGATGGTCTCGATCTCCCGACCTCGTGATCCGCCCGCCTCGGCCTCCCAAAGTGCTGGGATTCCGAGCGTGAGTCCACCGCGCCCGGCCTTCATTCATGCTTCCAGCACACCGCAGTCGCCATACGGAGAGGAGCTCAGTCTCCTCTCCCTGTGAGCCCTCAACCCCCTGCTCTTCACCAAGCCCCAGCTTGATTCCGCGGCACAACAGCCCCACCCTCTGGCGGAGCGTTCCCAGCAGCTGTGAGTCTGCGTTTCTCTGTGGCGGAGCTCCCAGAGGCAACGGAAGGTCACTCTGCCGCTGCCACTGCGGTGGTACTGGCCTTGCTGCCCTCAGACTGGGGAAGGAGCAAAGACTCTGAGTGCTTCAACCACACCTCCGGCAAACTGCCCTAAGGAGAAGAGGCCAGTCTGTCACCCCTGTGACCCACCTGTCCCCCCTGCTCATCACTAGGCAGGGCCCCTAGCTTGGACCCACAGTGCAGTCGCCTCACTCTTGGCTCATCGCACTGATAGTGGCTCCACATCTCTCTGGGGTGGAGTTCCAAGGGACAAGTGAAAGGCCGTCTGCCACAACCGCTGCTAAGGTCCCTTCCCCTGCTGCCCCCAAGCCACGGAGGGAACATAAAGTCTGAGCTCACCCCAGAGCTGTGATGTGCAGCCTGGGAGTGCCGAGCCCAGATCTGCAGCCAGCACTTGGGTGGGAGAGGAGCCCGCACTTTCAGAGCGTGAGAGGGAGCACAGCGGCAATCATGAGGAATGACCTACTGGCCGTTGTGCTGAAGCATCATTTACCGGATTGCAGCCCAAACTTCAACACCAAAAATGCTCGCTAATATACCTCCCTGTGAAACCAAGGACAAGAATTTAGCTATAAATAAAGACCCTGTGCGAAGCCCCAGCCCTCTGAAACCATCCAGAAAAGAAGTCTACTGACTGTGCTCAAATTACATCACGGTTAAAAGAAAAAAGAAAAAAATTCAAATTGCAGCACACTCAAAGGAACATTAGCCCACATGGATGAGAAAGAACTGAGCAAGAACTCCATCAACTCAAAAAGCAACAGTGTCTTCCTTCCTCCAAATTACCACACAAGCTTCCCAGCAAGGGCTCTTTACCTGGCTGAAATGACAGAAATAGAATTCAGAATATGGATAGAAATTAAGGTCATCAAGATTCAGGAGAAAGTTGAAACCCAATGCAAGGAACCTAAAGATTACAATAAAATGACAGAGGGGCTAATCTATGAGATGGTCATTTTGAAAGAACCAAACGGATCTGATGGAGCTGAAAAACACACTACGAGATTTCATAATGCGATCACAAGTATTAATGGCAAAATAAAGCAAAATAAGGAAAGAATCTCAGAGCATGAATACTGGCTCTCTGAACTAATTCAGTCAGACAAAAATGAAGAAAAAGAATAAAAATTAATGAACAAAACCTCTAAGAAATATGGGATCATGAAAAGAGACCAAATAGCCCATTGGCATCCCCGAAAGAGATGGGGAGAAAGCAAGGAACATGGAAAACATATTTCAGTGTATTGTTCATGAAAACTTCCCCAACGTCACTAGAGAGGCCAAGAATCAAATGCAGGAAACAGAGAACCCCTGCAAAATACTACACAAGAAGAGCATCCCCAAGACACAAAATCATCAGATTCTTCAAGGTAGAAATGAAAGAAAGAAATGTCGGCCGGGCGCGGTGGCTCACGCCTGTAATCCCAGCACTTTGGGAGACCAAGGCGGGCGGATCACGAGGTCAGGAGATTGAGACCATCCTGGCTAACATGGTGAAACCCCATCTCTACTAAAAAAATATAAAAAATTAGCTGGGCGTGGTGGTGGGCACCTGTAGTCCCAGCTACTGGGGAGGCTGAGGCAGGAGAATGGCGTGAATCCGGGAGGCGGAGCTTGCAGTGAGCCGAGATCACGCCATTGCACTCCAGCCTGGCAGCCTGGGCAACAGAGCAAGACTCAGTCTCAAAAAAAAAAAAAAAAATGTGAAAAGGCAGCAAAAAAGAAGGGGCAGGTCACCTACAAAGGGAATGCCATCGAGCTAACAGCAGACCTTTCAGCAGAAACTCTACAATCCAGAAGAGATTGGGGGCCTATATTTAATGTTCTTATGAAAAGAATTTCCAACCAAGAATCTCATTCCCAGCCAAACTAAGTTTCATAAGTGAAGGAGAAATAAGATCCTTTACAGACAAGCAAATGCTGAGGGAATTTATTACCATCAGGCCTGCCTTACAAGAGGTCCTAAGAGGAACGCTAAATATGGAAAGAAAAGACCATCACCAGCCAATAGAAAACACACTTACGTACATAAACCAGTGACACTATAAAACAACCACACAAACAAGTCTGCATAATAACCAAACCAGCTAACAACATGATGACAGGAAAAAATCTGCACATGTAAATGCTAACTTTGAATGTAAATGGACTAATTGTCCTAATTAAAATGCAGAGAGTGGCAAGTTGGATAAAGAAGCAAGAGGCCAGGTGCAGTGGCTCACGCCTGTAACCCTGGCACTTTGGGAGGCTGAGGTGGGTGGATCATTTGAGGTCAGGAGTTCGACATTAGCCTGGCCAATGTGATGAAATCCCATCTCTAATAAAAAAAAAAAATAGCTGGGCGTGGTGGTACACACCTGTAATCCCAGCTATTTGGGAGGCTGAGGCAGGAGAATCATTTGAACCTGGGAGGCAGAAGTTGCAGTGAGTCAAGATCATACCACTGCACTCCAGCCTGGGTGACAGAGTGAGACTCCATCTCAAAAAAAAAAAAAAAAAAAAAAGCAAGACTCAACATTATGCTGCCTATAAGAAACCCATCTCATATGCAATGACATCCATAGGCTCAAAGTAAAGAAATGGAGAAAAATCTACCAAGCAAATGGAAAGCCAAAAAAAAAAAAAAATGCAGGAGCTGCTATTAAAATTTCAGACAAAACAGACTTTATACCAACAAAGATCAAAAAAGGCAAAGAAGGGCATTAAATCATGGTAAAGGGTTCAATTCAACATGAAGACCATAGCAGGACAGTGGCCACGGAAGTCGGAATCTGCTAAGGAGTGTGTAATAGCCCAACTGCTGAATCAAAAAGAAAAAGAAAAAAAAAATTAAAAAAAGAGCATGAAGACCTAACTATCCTAAATATATATGCACCTAACATGGAAGCACCCGGATTCATAAAGCGTGTTCTGAGAGACCAACGAAGAGACTTAGACAACCACACAATAATAGGGGGAGACTTTAACATCCCGCCGACAGTATTAGATCATTGAGGCAAACAGAGATATTCAGGACCTGAACTCAGCAGTGGATCAAATGGACCTGACAGACATCTACAGAACTCTCCACCCCCAAAACAACAGAATCTACATTGTTTTCATTGCCTCATGGCACATACTCTAAAGTCAATCATACAATCAGACATACAGCAATCCTTAGCAGGCTGGGCACGGTGGCTCACACCTGTAATCCCAGCACTTTGGGAAGCCAAGGCTGGCGGATCATGAGGTCAGGAGATCGAGACCATCCTGGCTAACGCAGTGAAACCCCGTCTTTACTAAAAATACAAAAAAAATTAGCCGGGCGGGGTGGCGGGCACCTGTAGTCTCAGCTACTCAGGAGGCTGAGGCAGGAGAATGGTGTGAACCTGGGAGGCGGAGCTTGCAGTGAGCCTAGATTGCGCCACTGCACTCCAGCCTGGGCGACAGAGCAAGACTCCATTTCAAAAAAAAAAAAAACAATCCTTAGCAAATCCAGAAAAGCGAAATCAGAGCACAGTGGAATAAAAATAGGAATAAATACTAAGAAAACCACTCAAAACTGTACAATGCATGGAAATTAAGCAGTCTGTTCTGGAATTTTTGGGTAAATATAGCAGAATCTCTGGGACACAGCTAAGGCAGTGTTAAGGGGGAAGTTTATAGCACTAAACTCCCACTTCAAAAAGCTAGAAAAAGTTCAAATTAACAACCTAACATCATAACAAGAGGAACTAAGAGAACCAAGAGGAAATCAACCCCAAAGCTCATAGGAAACAAGAAATAACCAAAATCAGAGCTGAGCTGAAGGAGATTGAGACACGAAAAAGCATTCAGAAGATCAGCAAATCGAGGAGTAGAATTTTTGAAAAAATTAGTAAGACAGATGACTAGTTAGACTAATAAAGAAGAAAAGAGAGATGATCCGGATAAACACAATTAGAAACAACAAAGGGTATATTACCACTCACCCCACAGAAATACAATCATCAGAGAATATTATGAACACCTCTATGCACACAAACTAGAAAATCCAGAATAAATGGAGAAATTCCTGGACACATACACCCTCCTGAGATCAAACCAAGAATAAATTGAATACATGAACAGACCAATAATGAGCTCCAAAATTGAATCAGTAATAAAAATCCTACAGACCAGAAAAAGCCCAGTACCAGACAGACTCACAGCTGAATCCCATCTGATATATAAAGAAGAGCTGGTACTATACCTACTGAAACGTTCCAAAAATATTCAGGAGGAGGAATGCCTCCCCAGCTCATTCTATGAGACCAGCATCATCTTGATGCAAAAACATGGCAGAGACACAACAAAACCAGAAAACTTCAGGACAATATCCTTGTTGAACATAAATGCAAAAATCCTCAACAAAATACTAGCAAACTATCCAGCAGCACATCAGAAAGCTAATCCACCACCATCAGGTAGGCTTTATTTCTGGGATGCAAGGTTGATTCGATATAGGAGTCTCGCTCTGTTGCCCAGGCTGGAGTGTAGTGGCGTGAACTTGGCTCACTGCAAGCTCCGCCTCCTGGATTCACGCCATTCTCCTGCCTGAGCCTCCCGAGCAGCTGGGACTACAGGTGCCCACCACCACGCCTGGCTAATTTTTTTGTGTTTTTTAGTATAGACGAGGTTTCACCGTGTTAGCCAGGATGGTGTCGATCTCCTGACCTCATGATCCACAAGCCTTGGCTTCCCAAAGTGCTGGGATTACAGGCATGAGCCACAGTGCCCGGCCAATATACACAAATCTTAAATATGATTCATCACATAAATAGAACAACCCTCCCCACACACATAATCCTCTCAATAGAGCTTTTGATAAAATTCAACATCCCTTTATGCTAAAAAACCTCGACAAACTAGGCATTGAAGAAACATATTTCAAAATAATAAGAATGATGTATGACAAACTCACAGTCAACATCATATTGAATGGGCAAAAGCTGGAAGTATTCCCCTTGAAAACTGGCAAAAGACATGGATGCCGTCTCTCACTACTTCTGTTCAACATAGTACTGGAGGTCCTAGCTAGAGCAATCAGGCAAGAGAGAAATAAAAGGCATCCAAATAGGAAGAAAGGAAGTCAAACTATCCCTGTTTGCAGGTGATATGATTCTATACCTAGAAAACCACAGTCTCTGCCCAAACACTTCTTAATCTGATAAACAACTTTAGCAAAGTTCCAGGATACAAAATCAATATATAAAAATCAGTAGCATTCCTATACACCAAAAACATCTAAGCTGAGAGCCAAATCAAGAATAGAATCCATTCACAATTACTGCAAAAAGAATAAAATACCTGGGAATACAGCTAACCAGGGAGGTGAAAGATCTCTGCAAGGAGAACTACAAAACACTGGTCAAAGAAATCATAGATGACACAAACAAATGGAAAAACATTCCATGCTCATGGATAGGAAGAATGAGTATTGTTCAACACACAAATAATTCAGGCTTTAGAAGGAGCTGGAAGAGAGAAGACATGGATGGACGTGGGGCTCACACCCATTAGGAGGCTAAGGCAGTAGTAGTTGGGGTGGCAGAATATTCAGTAGTACACTAAGACTGCCTCATGCTTAGTACTGCAGTAGTACTACAGAATGCTAGAGTGTTCAGTAGGGTTAGACTATGGCAGCATCCTTTTAAATGAAGTGACGGGAGGAAGTGGGTTGCTAAAACAAAATAGAATCAGCATAAGGAAGGATATTGGGCAGATGACTCCTGACTTCCTCATTCTTGCAGTTTGAGCATTCAGTAAATTACAGATCCTTCATGGACAGTCTAACACAGGCAAGGACTAACTATAAATCCAGGCCTGAGCATTAATGAGTCTGAAGGGTTTGGAGATAACAAAGTGAGATAGAAATTATGCAAGAGAAGCACAGCAGAAACAACTAGAATGGGGATTAAAATAAGAATGGTGCTTCAGGCTATTCTTCAATTTCTTTATCCTAGAGCTCCCAAGAGGGTCTAAAGGGGCTGGGAGAGATTTACAGGACACTTACCTTCCTGTGCCTGAATCCTCTGGCCCAGACAGAGCACTGGAAGAGAGAGATTTATGAAAAATCAAGCTTCCATTTCCAACCTTTACGACAAATCACCCTCTGTAATGACAGACCAGAAAAAGACCAGTACCAGATGGATTCACAGCTCAATCCCACCAGATATATAAAGAAGAGCTGGCATTTTTTTTTTTTTTTGAGACAGAGTCTCGCTGTGTCGCCCAAGCTGGAGTGCAGTGGCATGATCTTGGCTCACTGCAAGCTCTGCCTCCCAGGTTCATGCCATTCTCCTGCCTCAGCCGCACGAGTAGCTGGGACTACAGGCGCCCGCCACCACGCCTGGCTAATTTTTTTGTATTTTTAGTAGAGACAGGGTTTCACCATGTTGGCCAGGATGGTTTTGATCTCCTGACCTTGTGATCCGCCTGCCTTGGCCTCCCAAAGTGCTGGGATTGCAGGTGTGAGCCACTGCGCCCGGCCAAGAAGAGCTAGTATTATTCCTACTGAAACTATTGAAAAAAATCCTGGAGGAGGGACTCCTCCCCAACTCATTCTATGAGGCCAACATTATCCTGATAACAAAATGTGGCAGAGATACAACAAAAACAGAAAACTTCTGGATAATATCTTTGTTGAACATAAATGCAAAAATCTTCAACAAAATACTAGTAACCATATTTCTATATGGGGTTCTATCATATGTTTTCCTTCCACAACAATCACAGTTTTGAGGTTCATTCTTTATTTTTACCTTTCAGATTCCAGCCTCTAAGTCTCTCCTTGATAAGAACCTTGGGACCATCATGAATCCCAGATAACACACTATAGGTTTAATACAAATATTAAACCTTGAGCCCCACAAGCTAGCTTGGGCTTGGGTAGAGACAAAGTTATAGATACATTGACAAAGACGGCCTTTCCACTAAGGAGATCAGAATCTCCTTGGCAGCCACTAAAATCTCCTAGTCACACTGTTAAGAGACACCCTGATTATTTTGGGATTTCTCTATCTTCCCCTCTAACCCACTTTTACTCTGAAACTCACCAAGACACAGGAGGGTGGTCTGTTTGGGGTCCATCGTGCTGACACGGCCTCAGCCCCGTTGCTCTCCTTTCAATGCACATTAGCAGGATGACAGATATTCTTACGACAATAAGCTCCGCAGGAAGTATGAGGACAGAGCCCCTCGTCAGGGAATTTCCACATCTATTGCCTCACAACAAAGTGGAACAGTTCGTTGCCGAATAACTTAGTTCCAGGTTGCTCTTGGGTGGAGCCCAAGAGAAGACATATATATGTATATTTTTTTAAATAGAGATGGGGTCTTTCTATGTTGGCCAGGGTAGTCTCTAACTTCTGGCATCAAGAAATCCTCCTGCCTAAGACCTATATTTCTATTTATGTTTCAGATGAGAAACGAATGAGAAGTGAATTTTCATTAAGCCAGTGTCTAATGGTGTTCAAATTCATCTTTGAACCAGATGCTACATCCAAATAGACGGGCTTGGGACAGAATATAAGGTGGTGGATACCATACAGGCAGACATTGCCTTCACTGGGCCATTAGTCAAAAGCTCTGTGGCTTTGTCTGTTCTGAACCTATGTTTCATCTCTGAGATTCATGGTCTGAGTATATTTACTTGGACTTGACCAGGCATGCAGTATACCCTTATCCTGGAGATGATCTCAATGCCAGAGTGTGGAGGCATTTTCTCTGGCACTATTTGTCATCTCTAAAGAAAGAATCTACTATTTTATTATACTTTTTTGTTTATTTGTATAAATTTAAGGAGCGCAAGTGAAATTTTATTACGTGGATATTTTGTGTAGTGGTGAAGTCTGGGCTTTTAATATAATTATCCTCAAATAATGTACATTGTTGCTCATTGAGTATTTTTTTAACTTTTATTTTAGGTTCAAGGGTACATGGGAAGGTTTGTTATACAGGTAAACTTGTGTCATGGGGGTTTGTTGTACAGATTATTTCATCACCTAGGTAATAAGCTTGGTACCTAATAGTTACTTTGCCTGCTCCTTTCCCGCCTCCCACCCTCCACCCTAAAGGAGACCCCATTGTCTGTTTTTCCCTTTTTTGTGTTCATGAGTTCTATTATTTAGCTTCCACTTATAAGTGAGAACCTGCTGTATTTGGTGTTCTGTTCTTGTATAGTTTGCTAAGGATAATGGCCTCCAGCTCCATCCATGTTTCCACAAAACATATGAACTCATTCTTTTTTTATGGCTTCAAATTAATTTTATTTTTATCTTATTATTTATGTTATTTTGATTGTAGACTCCTGGCTATCACGAATTCTTCAGGTATGGAGAGTGAAATATTCCTAATTAAACCTTCTACTATTTTATTTTATTTTATTTATTCTTTTTTTTTTTTTGAGACGGAGTCTTGCTCTGTCGCCCAGGCTGGAGTGCAGTGGCGTGATCTCAGCTCACTGCAAGCTCCACTTCCTGGGTTCATGCTATTCTCCTGCCTCAGCCTCCCGAGTAGCTGGGACTACAGGCATCCGCCACCACGCCCGGCTAATTTTTTTTGTATTTTCAGTAGAAACGGGGTTTCACCGTGTTAGCCAGGATGGTCTCGATCTCCTGACCTCGTGATCCACCCACTTCGGTCCCCCAAAGTGCTGGGATTACAGGCGTGAGCCACCGCGCCCCACTTTATTTTCATTTTAATACATCATAACTTAGCCCTTCCAACGCCGAAGTATTTTGAAGTCCTGAGCTTGTCCCATATTTCAGAAAGCCGATCAGCTTCCATGTTGACTGTTTCATTTGTGCAAATTTAAGTGACCTTTTGTTTTGCCACATTTTGTTAATTTCCACATACATATTTACGTTCGGGAAATTTGGAAATACTACGTTCTGGAAATTTGGTGTTGATGATTGCATGAAATTGACCGCATTCTAATTTTCTTTTTTTGTTGTTTTGTTACTTATGCCTTATTTATTCATTCCTTTGTTCTCACTTGAATGGGACTTTGGGTGAAAGACAAATAATGGCTGTACTCTTAGTTGAGTATTTAAAATGCAGAGATTGTAAAGGCAGGATGACCTAATTAAAAATACTATTGTTGGCTGGGTGCAGTAGCTCATGCCTGTAATCCCAGCACTTTGGGAGGCCAAGGCAGGTGAATCACTTGAGTTCAGGAATTTAAGACCAGCCTGGTCAATGTGGTGAAACCCAGTCTCTACTAAAAATATAAAAAATTACTTGGGTGTGGTGGCGGGTGCCTGTAATTCCAGCTACTCGGAAGGCTGAGGCAGGAGAGCCACTTGAACCCAGGAGGCAGAGGTTGCAGTGAGCCAAGATCACTGCACTCCAGCCTGGGCAACACAGAGCGAGACTGTGTCTCAAAAAAACAAAAGCTATTGTTATGGTTTACAAATGACGTGGCTTTCTATTGGGAGAGAGATACTTACTAATTGTTGAATTTCAGGAACTTCAGTGGCCAATATTTACTAATGGGCTGGAACAGATTTTGTCAACTTACCACAACATTTGGTGTGGTTTTGTTCTTTTGTTTCCTCCTTTTGTGGAACAGGAATGGTAACGTAGCCATGGGGTGCTGAGATATTTGGTTAAACATTATTCTGTGTGTGTCTGTGGGGGTGTTGCTGAATGAGATTATCAATGGAATTAGTGTAATTTATAAAGCAGATTGCTCTCCCTAATGTGAGTCGGCCTCATTCAATCAGGTGGGACCTGAATAGAACAAAACATTGAACTGGTAATGTAAGATGAAGTTCCTTTTGCCTGGACATCAGTCTTTTCTGGCTCTTGAACTCTCACTAAAACATTGACTCTTTAGATGTTAAGCCTGCCAGCTTTTTTTGTTTGTTTGTTTTTTTGAGATAGAGTCTCACTCTGTCACCCAGGCTGGAGTGCTGTGGCATGATCTCGGCTCACTGCAACCTTCACCTCTTGGGTTCAAGCAATTCTCGTACCTCAGCCTCTGAGTAGCTGGGATTACAAGCGAATGCCACTATGCCCGGCTAATTTTTGTATTTTTAGTAAAGATGGGGTTTCACCATGTTGGCCGGGCTGGTCTTGAACTCTGACCTCAGGTGATCTGCCTGCCTTGGTCTCCCAAAGTGTTGGGATTACAGGCGTGAGCCATCATGCCCGGCATGAGCCTGCTAGCTTTTGGACTGTTACGTATACCACTAACTCTACTGGTTCTCAGACTTTTGCACGTAGACTGGAACTACACGTGGACTCCCCTGGGTCTCCAGCTTGCAGATGGCAGATCATGGGACCTGTCAGTCTACATAGTTGCATAAGCCAATATATAAATACCCTATCTGTGTATCAATCATTATATATCTGTCATTATCCAACTATATGTCTATCATTATTTGTGATATCATTATATATCTATCATTATTTGTCTATCAATCATTATCTATATATCTATCATTATTAGTGTTGATTATTTTTTTTTCTGGAGAACCCTGACTACTATAGCTTCCATGTTCCTGTCTCAACTGTCACCAGTCCCCTTAGCACAGGGCCTATCATAGCCATTCTACGGCCCAAGGAATTACAAGCCACATAACTACAGGAGTCACAGTGACCCAAGGATTTAGACGGAGACACGGAAGAATTGAGGCATCTATTGGTCTCTGCATATTTTGGGATTTGGGATTTCCCAGCAGGGAAATTTGCCTTGAATCTGTCTAACTGGTCACTAAGAGTTGATTGGTAGGTTCCATTCTCCGTGCACAGCATAAACCCTAATAAGCCCAAACTGACTGGCAGTGGAGACTCTCAACCCTCAATGGGACCAAACTGTGACTGGCAGTGGAGACTCTCAACCCTCAATGGGACCAAACTGTGACTGGCAGTGGGGACCTTCAACCCTCAGTGGGACCGAACTGTGACTGGCAGTGGGGACCTTCAACTCTCAGTGGGACTTTACAGCACTCAGCTGCACCTGTGTGGAGAATTTGTCTCAAACACCTAAGAAGGAAGGAGGCCTTTGTTTCGAGGAAGAAGAAGGGGAGCTGCTTCTCTATCCACTGACCTCAGAGGTACCGGAGAGTGTCCAGTGAGGGCCTTAACTCTCTGCAGTATTTTTTTTTTTTTTGAGATGGAGTCTCACCCTGTCGCCCAGGCTGGAGTGCAATGGCAGGATCTCGGCTCACTGCAACCTCTGCCTCCCCAGTTCAAACGATTCTCCTGTCTCAGCCTCCTGAGTATCTCAGATTTACAGGCACCTGCCACCATGCCCAGCTATTTTTTGTATTTTTAGTAGAGACAGAGTTTCACCATGTTGGCCAGGCTGATCTCGAACTCCTGACCTCGTGATCTGCCCACCTCCGCCTCCCAAAGTGCTGGGATTATAGGCGTGAGCCACTGCACCCAGCCACTCTCTGCAGTTTTAAAGGCCATTTCCATGAATTAGAGTATACTTAGGCACTGAGGTAAGCATGGCACAGCTTTCTGAAAATAAAGTTGAAACTTAGAGGTTTCTTTTAGCTTTATTGAGATATGATTGACAAATGGAAATTGTATATATTTAAGGTGTATTACACTTGATGTTTTGATGTATGTATACATGGTGACATGATCATCATAGTCAAGCTAGTTATATCCATCATCTCGCAGGGTTATTGTTTTTTTTTTTTTTTTTTTTTTGAGAGGAAGTCTTACTCTGTCCCCCAGGCTAGAGTGCAGTGGTGCCATCTTGGCTCACTGCAACCTCCGCTCCCAGGTTCCAGCAATTCTCGTGCCTCAGCCTCCTGAGTAGCTGGGATTACAGGCTTGTGTCACCACGCCTGGCTAATGTTTGCATTTTTAGTAGAGACAGGGTTTCACCATGTTGGCCATGCTGGTCTTGAACTCCTGACCTCAAGTGATCTGCCCGTCTTGGCCTCCCAAAGTGCTGGGATTACAGGCGTGAGCCACCGCGCCCGGCCTATGGTTTCTTTTTCTTTCTTTCTTTTTTTTTTTTTTGTGGTGAGGACCCTTAAGATCTACTCTCCCAGCCGGGCGTGGTGGCTCATGCCTGTAATCCCAGTACTTTGGGAGGCCGAGGCAGGCGGATCACGAGGTCAGGAGATCGAGACCATCCTGGCTAACACAGTGAAACCCCGTCTCTACTAAAAATACAAAAAATTAGCAGGGCGTGGTGGCGGGCGCCTGTAGTCCCAGCTACTCGGGAGGCTGAGGCAGGAGAATGGCGTGAACCCAGGAGGCGGAGCTTGCGGTGAGCCGAGATCGCGCCACTGCACTCCAGCCTGGGTGACAGAGCAAGACTCCAGCTCAAAAAAAAAAAAAAAAAAAAAAAAAAATCTACTCTCCCATGCTTGCCTCGGCAGCACATATACTAAAATTGGAACGATACAGAGAAAACTAGCATGGCCCCTGCGCAAGAATGACACGCAAATTCGTGAAGTGTTCCATATTTAAAAAAAAAAATCTACTTTCCTGGTAAATTTCAAGTATAGAGTACAGTATTGTCAACCATAGTGGCAAAGCTGTACAAGAGATCTTCAGACCCATTCCTCCTGAATACCTGATAGTTTGTATCCTTTGATCAACATCTCCCAATTCCCTCCCCCACACTGTCCCTGTAGTTCTAGTGAGTTTCCCAGACTCTGATGTCTCAATTTCATTCAGTCACTTTCCTCCAGATACATCTACCCATTCCTACTGCATCTTAGTATCCTGAGCCTTGGGGGCAGTTTCTGTGCCAAGTGGAAATGTGGAAATGAGATATTACGAAGAAAAATCTTTGCCCACCTAGACAGGGATCTGATGTTTTCCAAGATGACACATGATTACATGTTGAAATGATAATATTTTGAGTCTACTTGTATAATAAAATAATATTTTGGATCTATTAGGTTAATATTTTGGGTCTGTTGGGTTAATAATATTTTGGGTCCATTGGGTTAACTTAAATTAATTTTATCTGTTTCTTGTTAGCTTTTTAATTTGGATACTAGCAAGTTTGAAAGAATGCATGTGGTTTGCATTATGTTTCTATAGGACAGAACTTACCTGTAGATGTAAGGGAGTCACAACAAAATTACAAGCATTGTTTTTGGTGGAAATGAGAAAAATGATTACAAATTTACATGGAAAAGCAAATAGCCAATAATAATAATAATGGCAATCTTAAAGAGGAAGGAGAAATTAGAGGATTCAGGCTGCCAAATTTTAAGGGGTTCTATAAGGCCACATAAAGTGCAGCATCCTCATGAGAGTGGACACAGAGAGCCACTGAGCAGAAAAGAGTGTGTAAAATACATCTGTGTACACACAGTCCTTTTATAGTTGACAGAGGCTGCCATGCGGATTAAGGTGGAATAGAATGTCTTCTCAGTAAATAACATTGGACCAGAGGGTTACAAGCAGGAAAAAATAAATCTAAGCTTATTTTCACACCATAAAAACACTGCTAATTTTTTATCTTATTATCATACATTTTGATGATTTATTTATAAAATTGATGAATGAAAATTATATACAGTTGTCCTTCACTATTCATGGGTGATTGGTTCCAGGAAACCCCCCTCCCTACCAGACACCAAAATCTGCAGATGCTCAAGCCTGTTGCATGAAATGGCACAGCGTTTGCATATAACCCATGCACATCCTCCTGTATACATGAAATCATCTCTAGATTACTTATAATTCCTGATACAGCCTACACACCACCTCACTTGTGTCCACACAATATAGTATTTTTGCTTTTTGGAACTTTGTGGATTTTTTCTCTGAATATTTTTGATTTATATTTGGTTCAATAAACACCTGTAAACCCCACAGATATGGAGGAGCGACTGTATATTTATAGTATGAAAGATGATGTGTTGACATGTGTCCCTGTGGAGATGAGACTAACAAGGCCTATGACTCTACAAATGTTTCATCTTGGAATGACTCTGCCAGCTTTCCAGGTCTGCAGAGAGTAAGAATATCACTTGTTCATGTGATTCACGATCCTTGGAACCTCCTATGTGCTGCATCTTTGGATGGAAATTGGAGTCCCAGAGACAAATGAGGCTCCACCCTGCTTCCAGAAGCTCAGAGTCCAGGGCTGAGAACCCAGTAGAGAACATATCAGGTTATATGGACATAGTAATGATAACACTGGAAACTTTTGGCGAATAAAGAGTCACATTATCGAAACCATGAGGGCAGACATGTTTATTTGAAGAGGAGAGAGCTACACTGAAGTTATAAAAAAAATTTATAAATTTTACTGATGACAGAAGGCTGAAAGATAGTCTGAGGGGAGGTGGAACAGCATGAGGGAAGGTGGAACAGCAAGTGTGTAAGTGCCGTGTTAAGAGGGAGCCTCTTGTATGTTTGGAATTGTGAGTTCCTCAGTGTGATTGCAGCCTCAAGTAGGACTAGGAAGTAAGCCAGTTAGGTTGGAGAGGTGGGCAGGGGTCAAGTGAAATAGATACTTGTGGGCTAAGCAAAGGAGTGTGTTTTCTCTGCAGCAGGCAGTGGCGACCTTAGGCATTTGTAAGCAAGAGAGAGGCATGTTCAGATTCGTGGTGTGAGGAAGAGCGATCCCCTAAGATGCAGACTGATGCCTTCAGATTCCAGCTGCTGGTTCATTGGATCTGGCAACCTGGTTTTGAGACAGGGCTGTTGTCTCCCTAGAAAACCCCCTCAAGACCTGACTGTGGTGCTCGTGGGCAGGAGACAACTTTGGATCTGGGCTCAGCATTTGGAAGTTCCGTGTACACGCTGGTATCTGTTAGGGGTGTCTTGGGCCTCTGAGAAGGGCGACTGATTTTTCTCTGTATGAAAACGCAGTGATCCAACTGTGCGTACGTCACCTCCTGAGGGTCTTGTTCATCAGAGTCCTGGAGAGAGGGAAATGCTGAGTGAGGGAGGGTGCTCACATTTTTCAGGACTATTAGGGATAAGACTGTATCCGTGAGGCTGGGCCGAGGAGGACCTACCTGCCTATTCACTGTTCTGTCCCCCGCAGGCTCTTGGTCCATTACAGCAGCATCTGTAGGAGACGGAAGTCATCAAAACCGCTTGGAGGGCCCTTCTGGGTCCTCATTTCATGGGCAGACACCAACCCACAGGGGGAGGCTGTAGGTGCCTGAGGCTCTTCAGCTGCCAACATCCAGACTCAGACATTCTATCTCTCTGAGTTCAAGACCCCATCCCATGAAGTGCTCTCAATTGGCATCCCATTGATTCTGTCTCCCACTTTCTGCCTGTCATGGAAGCTTCTGGATGTCAGTAGCTGCAGGGGATGTGAGGATACAGTTCAGAACCAGGCAATGGTCTGTGAGCTGAAGGCAGGGGCAGGTTGTCTGGTGCTCTCTCTAGAAAGCCCTGCCTCTGTGGCTCCTCCCTTGGGCCAGGGACCATCCTGCCAGTGAGGAACACACACCCGCGTGCTCCCATCCTGCTTCCCCACATGGCCCTGAGCTCTCTGGCCTCTGCTTCGTGAGACTTACTCTTTTTGTTGGAGCACCAGCGATAAAGGAGAAAGAAGAGGAGGAGGATGAAGAGGAAGATGACCACTGAGGTCCCAATCAGAACATGCAGGTGTCTGCAGATACCTGGAGGAAGATGGGAATCCAATAAGAAGCTAATCATAGCAGTTCCTCTTTATGGATTGTCTCATTTCTTGATTGACAGGTAACCACATGGAACATCTCCTTAGGACAAGCAGCCTGATGGCGGGAGACCCAGCTTTCTCCTGCTTTCTCAGTTACAGCTCTCATAGAAACCATAGAACATGCTGAGGATACAGCTGCTTTAGTTTAGATGTTTGACCCTTTGAAACCTCACACTGAAATATTGAAATTTAACCCCCAGTGTGGAAGTTTGGGCCTATGGGAAGGTGTTTGAGTCATGGAGGTGGATCCATCATGAATAGATTAATGCTGCCCCACATGATGGGGTTAGCAAGTTCCCCCTCTATTAGTTCCCGGAGGGCTGGTTGTTAAAAAGAGCTTGGAAGCTCCATCGCTCGCCCTCCCCCTTGCTCCCTCTCTTGCCATGTGATCTCTGTGGTCTCTGCACAGACAGACCCTCCTTCCCTTCTGCCAGAGTGGGAGCAGCCTGAGGCCGTCACAGGAAACAGATGCTGGTGCCATGCTTCCAGTACAGCCTGCAGAACTGTGAGGCAAACAAATCTGTTTTCTCTAGAAGTTGCCCAGGCTCTGGGATGCAAGGCTGGTTCAATATATGCAAATCAATAAATGTAATCCATCATATAAACAGAACCAAAGACAAAAACCGGACGACTATCTCAATAGATGCAGAAAAGGCCTTTGACAAAATTCAACAACGCTTCATGCTAAAAACTCTCAATAAATTAGGCATTGATGGGACGTATCTCAAAATAATAAGAGCCATCTATAACAAACCCACAGCCAGTATCATACTGAATGGGCAAAAACTGGAAGCATTCCCTTTGAAAACTGGCACAAGACAGGGATGCCCTCTTTCACCACTCCTATTCAACATAGTGTTGGAAGTTCTGGCCAGGGCAATTAGGCAGGAGAAGGAAATAAAGGGTATTCAATTAGGAAAAGAGGAAGTCAAATTGTCCCTGTTTGCAGATGACATGATTGTATATATAGAAAACCCCATTGTCTCAGCCCAAAATCTCCTTAAGCTGATAAGCAGCTTCTACAAAGTCTCAGGATACAGAATCAATGTACAAAAATCACAAGCATTCTTATACACCAATAACAGACAAACAGAGAGCCAAATCATGAGTGAACTCCCATTCACAATTGCTTCAAAGAGAATAAAATACCTAGGAATCCAACTTACAAGGGATATGAAGGACCTCTTCAAGGAGAACTACAAACCACTGCTCAATGAAATAAAAGAGGATACAAACAAATGGAAGAACATTCCATGCTCATGGGTAGGAAGAATCAAGATCGTGAAAATGGCCATACTGCCCAAGGTAATTTATAGATTCAATGCCATCCCCATCAAGCTACCAATGACTTTCTTCACAGAATTGGAAAAAACTACCTTAAAGTTCATATGGAATCAAAAAAGAGCCTGCATTGCCAAGTCAATCCTAAGCCAAAAGAACAAAGCTGGAGGCATCATGCTGCCTGACTTCAAACTATACTACAAGGCTACAGTAACCAAAACAGCATGGTACTGGTACCAAAACAGAGATATAGATCAATGGAACAGAATAGAGCCCTCAGAAATAATGCCACATATCTACAACTATGTGATCTTTGACAAACCTGAGAAAAACAAGCAATGGGGAAAGGATTCCCTATTTAATAAATGGTGCTGGGAAAACTGGCTAGCCATAGGTAGAAAGCTGAAACTGGATCCCTTCCTTACACCTTATACAAAAATTAATTTGAGATGGATTAAAGACTTAAACGTTAGACCTAAAACCATAAAAACCCTAGAAGAAAACCTAGGCATTACCATTCAGGACATAGGCATGGACAAGGACTTCATGTCTAAAACACCAAAAGCAACGGCAACAAAAGCCAAAATTGACAAACGGGATCTAATTAAACTAAAGAGCTTCTGCACAGCAAAAGAAACTACCATCAGAGTGAACAGACAACCTACAAAATGGGAGAAAATTTTCGCAACCTACTCATCTGACAAAGGGCTAATATCCAGAATCTACAATGAACTCAAACAAATTTACAAGAAAAAAACAAACAATCCTATCAAAAAGTGGGCAAAGGACATGAACAGACACTTCTCAAAAGAAGACATTTATGCAGCCAAAAAACACATGAAAAAATGCTCACCATGACTGGCCATCAGAGAAATGCAAATCAAAACCACAATGAGATACCATCTCACACCAGTTAGAATGGCGATCATTAAAAAGTCGGGAAACAACAGGTGCTGGAGAGGATGTGGAGAAATAGGAACACTTTTACACTGTTGGTGGGACTGTAAACTAGTTCAACCATTGTGGAAGTCAGTGTGGCGATTCCTCAGGGATCTAGAGCTTGAAATACCATTTGACCCAGCCATCCCATTACTGGGTATAAACCCAAAGGACTATAAATCATGCTGCTATAAAGACACATGGACACGTATGTTTATTGTGGCACTATTCACAATAGCAAAGACTTGGAACCAACCCAAATGTCCAACAATGATAGACTGGATGAAGAAAATGTGGCACATATACACCATGGAATACTATGCAGCCATAAAAAATGATGAGTTCATGTCCTTTGCAGGGACATGGATGAAATTGGAAATCATCATTCTCAGTAGACTATCACAAGGACAAAAATCCAAACACCGCATGTTCTCACTTATAGGTGGGAATTGAACAATGAGAACACATGGACACAGGAAGGGGAACATCACACTCTGGGGACTGTTGTGGGGTGGGGGGAGGGGGGAGGGATAGCATTAGGAGATATACCTAATGCTAAATGACGAGTTGATGGGTGCAGCACACCAGCATGGCACATGTATACATATGTAACTAACCTGCACATTGTGCACATGTACCCTAAAACTTAAAGTATAATAATAATAAAAATTTTAAAAAAAAGCTCATCAGAAGCACTATACAAAAAAAAAAAAAAAAAAAAAAGAAGTAACCCAGGCTCAAGTGTTCTTTTATAGCAACAAAAATGGACTAAGACAGCAACGTCCTGAGATCAGGAGGAACGTCTCAGAACAGCCTGTGCTGTCTTCCTGTTCTTCCTGGAGGAGGA
The DNA here is from genome assembly GCF_000001405.40 of Homo sapiens. Lineage (NCBI taxonomy): Eukaryota > Metazoa > Chordata > Mammalia > Primates > Hominidae > Homo > Homo sapiens. The sequence continues at coordinate 845,247 of NT_187693.1, read as the reverse complement.
CGTCATGCAGTGCTTTAGCTGAGTGCTTCCTGTGGCTTCAGGGTACAAAACCCAGGCTGGGCTATTTTCTGGCTTCCCCCAGATACACTGCAAATGAGGTGACTCCATATGTCCCGAGCAGCTTTTCTGAGCCTTGAGGGACTGGCTCACGTTGAAATGTAGGCTTCTGTTGTCACTCGCTGCTTATCTGTTAGTAATGAACCTGCCTATGTAACGTATTCTCTGTGTGTTCTGTCTCCCTGGAGTGACGGTGAGTGATAGAAATTGGCATAGGCCCAGGTGCAGTACAGCAGGTGTTTAGAGTCTTCTCTGGAAAGACTGGACTGGGATTGATACACAGTGAATGTGCTTTACAGTTTCTACATCCACAACCCTCTTGACTCAAATTACATTCTCCAAGAAAAGGACACAAAAGTGAAATCAAGATCAAAAAAGCAAAGTAGAATTCTCTTATGTCAAACAGCCAGGAAATAATGATGAAGCCCATGTGAAACGTGCTACTCTTTGTGATCTCGCGAGACACATGTTAGGCTGCTGTTCCACCTGAGAGGCTGGGGGAAAGACCACCCCCTCCACCATCTATTGCTTCAAAACCACCTGTCCTCCTGTGAATTAGTAGGAAAGGGGAGCAGGAGCTAGTGCTGGTGCTGATCTCTGATTCCAAGATCTGAACTCACTCCAAGGAGTATTAGCGTTTACCTCCCCATGATCTATCTGTATCTCCACAGGTGATTGGAAGTAGGGGTGAGGTGGGGGATTTGGGTGAGGGGGAAAGTTTCTTGTGATGAACAGAGCACTTTCCCTATTTCAGGGCCTGTGCTGGTGGGTTCAGGGGGCTTTCATATTTTCCATATGATCTCATGTTCACAGAAAGCCAAATATGGAAGAGGTTTTAGGCTGATTTTCTAATGGATAAGATAAAGGATCAAAGAAGTAATTATAGAGGAATAGAAAAATGATGATTGGAATTCAGGTGCCTGCATCATTTGTGTATATTATTATATTTATGTATTTTTTATTTTTATTTTTTGAGACAGAGTATCCCTGTGTAGCCCAGGCTGGTGTGCAGTGATGCGATCTCCACTCACTGCAACCTCTGCCTCCAGGGCTGAAGTCATTCTCCTGCTTCCTCCTCCAGAGTAGCTGGGATTACAGTCATGCACCACCATCATGCCTGTTTAATTTTTGTATTTTTAGTAGAGATAGGGTTTCTCCATGTTGGCCAGGCTGGTCTCGAACTCCTGACTTCATGTGATCCACCCGCGTTGGCCTCCTGAAGTGCTGGGTTACAGGCGTGAGCCACCGTTCACAGCCTTGTATATTATGCTATACTAGGTCCCTTCATTTGCACCACCCCTCATCTAGCTCTCCCTCCTCTGCCAGGTATTGATTTAGATGCAGGAGAAATAAATCTCAGAAATAAGTTAGTGAAGCGAGGATTAAACTACCAGGAAAAATTAAACCCAGCAAGCCTTTCCAGCCAATGATTCTACCTCACAAACATATCTTATATCCATCTACTTCATTCATTTAGTGTCTAAATCAGCACCACATTTCACCAGTGGGGCGGCAATTGCCTTTTCCACGGTCTCCTAGATTCCAGTTATGCAACTGAGCCTCCCTTATTTTCATGTCAGTCATATTAATCATGTAGGGATTCCTGGTTACCTCGAGGTGAATCCAATGGCTGTGAGTGTCAAACACACGCTCCTTGTTGCTCCTTAGTTTCCTGTGTACCCAGTGTGCTCTCCGTCTCTCTACAGTCATCTTGTCATTCTCCCCACCTCATTCCCAGCATTTCAGGCAGAGCCTCTTCCTTCCACATCAGATTGTTTTCACCTTTGTGCCTTCACGGCTGACAGCTGTGTGTGCAAAATCCTTCCGCCAATCTTTCAGGGGTTCAATCCGTGTTTTTCATTAATGTCACAAATATCTGATTAGTGAGAACTTCTCTGTCACCTGAAATAATACACTCAGCATTATCTATTATTGATTTGAAAATTTGGCTTGGCCCCGTGGCTCATGCCTCTTATCCCAGCGTGTTGGGAGGCAGAGGCTATTGGATCACCTGAGGTTGGGAATTTGAGACCAGCCTGGCCAACATGGTGAAACATCCTCTCTACAGAAAATATGCAAAAAGAGTTAGCCGGGCGTGGTGGTTGTGGTCTGTAATCCCAGCTACTGGAGAGGCTGAGGGAGGAGATCAGTTCAGCCCAGGAGGTGGAGGTTGCAGTGAGCCGAGATCATGCCACCGCACTCTAGCCTGGACGACAGAGCAAGGCTCCGTCTCAATAAACAAGTAGGTAAATACATAAATAAATAGATTTCATGCACAGATGCTTCTCAATAGATCATTCATTTATTGGTCCCCTTGTGCCTACATTTTCTGCCCTCCCATTTAACCATCTGCAAGATCAGTGTCCCAAGAACAGAGGCCAAATGCATCTTGTTCACTGTTTGTGGAAGGCAGGAGAATGTTGTCCCACCCCAAAAATGTCCATGTCCTAGCCTCCATAGCTTGTGAATATGTTATTTTACATGAAAGGAGGAATGAAGATTGCAGATGGAATTATGGTTGCTAGTCAGCTGAACTTAAAAGGAGGGTATCCTGGATGATTTCCGGGAGATTATGATGGATTTTCATCTTGGTGAACCCAATAGAATCCCCAAGTTTTCAAAAGAAGGGCAAGAAGGGAGAGCAGCATTCAGAGAAAGAGGTGTGGTAAGGAAGAAGGGTCTGAGTGATGCCATGTGAGATGTGACCAGTCTTTGTGGGCTTTGAGGAAGGAGGAAGGGTACCAGGAGCCAAGGAACATGGGAGCCTCTAGAAGCTGAGAAAAGTGAGAAGCAGATTCTTGCCTGGAACCCTCAGAGGGAAGGCAGCCTTGCTGTCACCTTGATTTTAGCCCAGTGACATGCACGTCATGCTTTGAGCTACAGCACTGTAAGATAATTAAATAACCGTTTTGTTTTCACACACGAATCTTGTGGAAATTTGTTATGGCAACAATAGGAAAAGCTTCCACACTGCACAGCCTGAGCATGGGGCTGTGGCTGAATGAGTCACTGAGTCGAAGTGTGCGTGCATGAGCTCTGTTCTCTGTTACGGCAAGGCTCTTGCTCTGCTGAGTCAGCCAGGGTTGCCTGATGACCAACAGTAATTCATTCCTTGGCAAGTGGAACTTCTCTAAAACACCCACCCTCATCAGATGTTCCCTTCCCTTCCCTCTCTCAAGCCCCCGGGAATTTATCCTCCAGTTAGGAATGCAGGCAGAAAAAACACTGCATTTTTCCTGAGAAGGATGTCAGATTGGCAATTATTCTTCTAGCTTGTAGGAGGTCTCACCTGCAGGAAATTAAAGGTAAAGAGACTTCGCTGAGCCCTTTGGTGGCCCTAGATCCCTTTCACTGTTGGAGTGTCTGGAGTTCAGAGATGGTGGAAGACAGGCCCTCATTCACAGAGCTGGGAGGTTTGAGCCAACACTTGCATCCAAGGCTTCCACCTCCCCAGGTTTCCAAAAGCAGAGATAAGAGGGGTCCTTTACTCACCAGATTTGGAGCTTGGTTCTGTGGGTGAAGGCCAACTACTTGAAGGGTTTCCTAGAACACGGGACAGGAGAGATGTGAGGAAATGAGGGTGCTTGTCCTCTACTCAATGGAAATCTTTGAGGTTGGTTCATGGCCAACACTCTGTTATCTAATGTTGGACCCTGGGAGTCTTGGGATCCTTTTCTCCATAATTTTTGTGTGCGATGCCCACTGTCTTGAGACTTGAAGGTATAAAGAGAAAACAGGAGCATCACACTACCTGACTTAGAAATATGTTACAGAGCTGTAGTAAGCAAAACAGCATGACATTGGCATAAAGAAAGGCACATAAAAAATGGAACAGAATGGAGAACACAGATATAATCCATGCATTTACATCCAATGGCTTTCTTTTGTGTGTGTGTGATAGAATCTTGCTCTGTCATGCAGGCTGGAGTGTAGAGGTGCAATCTCAGCTCAATGCAACCTCCACTTCCTGGATTCAAGAAATTCTCTTGCTTCAAACTCCTGAGTAGTGGTATTACAGGCACTGATCACCATGCTCAGCTAATTTTTGTATTTTTAGTAGAGACGAGGTTTCACTCTGTTGGCCAGCCTGGTCTTGAACTCCTGGCTTTAGGTGATCCACCCGCCTCGGCCTCCCAAAGTGCTGGAATTGCAGGTGTGAGCCACCATACCCAGCCCATTTAATGGACTTTGACAAAGGTGCCGAGAACTTACAATCAGGAAAGGACAGTCTTCAATAAATGGTGTGGGGAAAACTGGATATCTACATGCAGAGGAATAAAACTGCATCTATACCTGTCACCTTACACAAAAATCAAATGAAAATGGATTAAAAACATGAGTCTAAGGCCTGAACCTATGAAACATGTAGAAGAAAATAATGGGGAAGACATTTGTCTGATGAAAGACATTTTGTTTAAAACCTTCAAAACACAAGTAATCAAAGCAAAAAATAGACCATTAGGATTACATCAAACCAAGCAACTTCTGCACCACCAAAGATAAACCAACAAAGTGAAGAGACAACCCACAAAATAGGAGCAAATATTTGCAAACTATTCATCTGAGATGGGATTAATAACTGGAAATATAAGAAGCTCAAACAACTCAATAAAACAATTTAATTAAAAAACGAGCAAAAGACATGAGGAGACATTTCTCCACAAACAAAACATAGAAATGGCGATCACGTATATGAAAAAGTGCTCAGCATCACTCATCATCACAGAAATGTAAATTACAATCGCGATGAGTTTTCATCTCATCCCATTAAAATGCCTTTTAGGCCGGTGGCTCACGCCTGTAATTCCAGCACTTTGGGAGGCGGAGGTGGGCGGATCACCTGAGGTCGGGAGACCAGCCTGACCAACATGGAGAAACTCCCTCTCTACTAAACATACAAAAATTAGCTAGGCGTGGTGGCACATGCCTGTAATCCCAGCTACTTTGGAGGCTGAGGCAGGAGAATCAGTTGAACGCGGGAGGCAGAGGTTGCAGTGAGCCGAGATCACACCCTTGCACTCCAGCCTGGGCGACTATGAGTGAAACTCCATCTCAACATAAATAAATAAATAAATAAAGTAAAGTAAAATGGCTTTTATCTGCAAGACAGGCAAAACAAATGCTGGCAAGATGGTAGAGAAAGGAGAACCCTGGTACCCTGTTGGTAGGAATGTAAATTAGTACAACTATTATGGAGAAAAGTATGGAAAATCTTTAAAAAACTAAAAGGAGGCTGGGCATAGTGGCTTATGCCTGTAACTTCAGCACTTTGGGAAACCGAGGCAGGCACCTCACTTGAGGTCAGGAGTTTGAGAGCAGCCTGCCCAAAATTGGGATATCCCGTCTGTGCTAAAAAATACAAGAATTAGTCAGGCATGGTGGCGTGCACCTGTAATCACAGCTATTAGGGAGGCTGAGTCAGGAGAATCGTTTGAACCTAGGAAGCAGAGGTTGCAATGAGCCAAGATCGCACCACTTTGACTCCAGCTTGGACTAAGGAGGGAAACTCTTTCTCAAAAAAGAAAAAAAAAAAAAGAGAACTTTCATAGTGTCCAGCAATTTCACTACTGGGTTTATATCCAAAGGAAAGGACATCAGTGTATCGAAGTGATATCTGCACTCATATGACTGTTCCAGCACTGTTCACAGTAGCCAAGATGTGGAGTCAACCTACCTGCCTATCAGTGGGTGAATGGATAGAGAACTGTAGTACACACACACGGTGGAGACTACTCATCCATAGAAACAATAACATCCTGTCATTTGCAGCCACATGGATGGAACTGGAGGTCATTACAAAGATTCCCATTTCTCACCACATGCAGGAGATAAAAGGTGGATCTCATGAAGGTAGAGAATAGAATGGTGGATACCAGAGGCCAGGAAGGGAAGGGTGGAAGGTAACAAAAAAAAGAATATAGATGTATTTATTTATTTAGAAACAGAGTCTCTCTCTGTCTCCCAGGCTGCAGTGCAGTGGCATGATCTCGGCTCAGTGCAACCTCTGCCTCCTGGCTTTAAGTGCTTCTCCTGCCTCAGCCTCCCAAGTAGCTAGGACTACAGGTGCATGCCGGCATGCTTGGCTAATTTTTCTTGTCTGTTTAGTAAAGATGAATTTCCCGCATGTTGGCCAGGCTGATCTCGAGTCCCTGATCTTAAATGATCCACCTTTCTTGGCCTCTCAAAGCGCCAAGATTACAACCGTGAACCACCACACCCAGCATATAAAGGTATTTATGACCACTAGATTTTACTTTTAAAAATGGTAAAGTTGGTAAATTATATAGTTACATTTAACCTCAATAAATATTTTTGAAAATGAAAAGAAAAGAGTGTAGGGGTTGCTGGTGATGACATCTCTCTGTGTGGGTGAGAGGCCAGGATGGGCTTCTGGGAAATGGGTAAGGTTGAGGGGCTGAGGGAACCTCTGATCTCCCCAAACTGAGCCCAGTCTCCCCTTCTCTGGGTCTGTCCTGACCGCTTTCTCCATCTGCCTGGGTGCCTGGAGCCCTGACCATGGGCCTCCATGCAGGCCATGCAAGAGGGTTTGGAGGTGCCCTGTCTGCCATCCTGCACCCTGACCCCCCCCTCACACCCAGTCTTCGTGTTCTCTCTGCATCTGTCCATGCTTCTCCCCATCATCGGCAGGAAGCTCCTCAGCTATGGCTCTAGGATCATAAGACATGGGACAGACACGGGTTTTCCTCACCTGTGACAGAAACAAGCAGTGGGTCACTTGAGTTTGACCACACGCAGGGCAGGGCACGGAAAGAGCCGAAGCATCTGTAGGTCCCTCCGTGGGTGGCAGGGCCCAGAGGAAAGTCTGCCTGGAATGTTCTGTTGACCTTGGGCACTGCACGGAGCCTACGTTCATGGGCCTCCCCTTCCCTGGACAGATGGTAGATGTCATAGGAGCTCCAGGAGCTACAGGACAAGGTCACGTTCTCTCCTGCCTGAACCGTGGGGCCCGGCTGGGCTGAGAGAGAAGGTTTCTCATATAGACCTGGAAGGAGAAGAGGCAGTTTCCTCAGGGAGGTTCTTCCTTGTCACAGCTCCCCTCATACCTGAGCTGAGAACTCACTCCCCTGCTCTATGACCTAATGCTCTCTCTCTCTCTCACCCTCCACCCCAACTCTCTTCATGTCTATTTCCTCCTTCCGCCTTCTCTGTCTCTCTAGGTCTCTGACCTCACTTCCCCACCCCTGGGTATGCTTTCCCTTTTTGGATTGTTTTATTCTCTCTGACTCTCCTTGGATTGGTTGACTTGATCTTCCTTTTTCTATAATTCTGAGTCTCTCACTTTCTGTCTTGTTCATAACTTTCTGCATATTTCTATCTATTATCTATCTATCTATTTTGTGTCTATCTACAAATTATCTGTCATCTATATCTATGTATCATTTATCTATCAATTGTCTATCTGTCTATCCATCAATCATCTATGTATTATCTGTATCTATGTATCATCTCTCTCTCTCTCTATTACCTCTCTGTCTGCCTGTCAGTCTCTATGTATCATCTATGTATCTATATATTTATATATGTGTCTTCTATCTATCTTCATCATCATCATCATCATCTCTATGTATCATCTATCAATCATCATCTATGTATCTATAACCTATCCATTATCTATCATCTACCTATTTATCATCTATCTATATCTGTCTATCCATCTATCATCTGTCTCTCTCCATCTCCTTGTCTTTCTCTGCCTCTCAGTCTCTCTAGTTCTATTTGGAATCTCTGCAATCCATCCCCACATCTTTATCTTTCTCTGTCTTTGTGCCCCTCCCTCAGGGTTCTGATTTTGGGGCTTTTCTCTCCTCCCTTCCAGCATTCTCTCCACTCCTCTGCCCTCTTTTCTTTCTTTTTGTGTGTCTGTGAGTCTCTCAATCCCCTTCCTCTGGCTCATTCTCTGTGTGTTTATGCCTTTGCTTTTTGAAGTCCCTGATTTATCTCTGTGTCTCTCAGTGATCCTATTATATGTAGGATTATTTGGAATATGAGCCTCAGAATCTAGTCTGGGGACACCAAGTACACACAGTATTTAGGGGTTGGTGTTCTGGGGCCATGATATCCTGGGATAATTATGGCTCCACTGCATGGAAGGCAGAGGTGTCAGAATAAACATGGCATCTGTAGATGCCACAAGGCCTGAGGCCACAGGGCCCAACTCAGGTCAGAAATATGGGTGTCCTTGGGTTCTCCTCGTAGAAGCACTTTGTGGAGACAAAACAGAAATGAAACTTCTAACCTGTGCCAGGTCTCTGAGCAAAGTCAGCATGGAAGGACACTTCTCTCTGGCACATGTCTGTCTGTCTGAGTGTCTCCTTTACCTCTTTCTCTCTTTTCTACTTCCCCGTATGGCCCCTGTGTCTGTCCTCTGTTATGACACCTGGTCTGTACTTATGTCTCCTGTTTCCCTGTCTCTGTTGGTACAGACCTCACCGAGTCAGTCTCTCTCCATAAGAATCCCACGCTTATCTTCCTCATGACCACCTGGGGGTTCCAAGTCCTGGATCATTCACTCTGTGTCCCAATGACAATGAGAAGAATGTCTGGACACTCTCACCTGTGATCACGATGTCCAGGGGGTCACTGGGAGCTGACAACTGATAGGGGGAGTGAGGAACAGAACCATAACATCTGTAGGTTCCTGCAAGGACAGGCATCAAGGGACCGATGGAGAAGTTGGCCTTGGAGACCCCATCATGGATCTGTCCAACGAGGCGTGAGGGGTCCTCAGAGATCCCCTCTCTGTGCAGAAAGAAGTGCTCAAACATGACATCTGACCAACATTGCAGGATGACTGTCTCTCCTGATTTCAGCAGGGGCCCTGGGTGGGCCAGGAGGGAAGGTTTTCTGTGGTTTCCTAGAAAGAGAAGTTGTGAGTTTAGAAGGCATCTCTCTTTATCATCCCATCCATGGCACCTGGAATGAGTGAGGGTTCCCCTCCCAGAGGTCTGTCTCTCTCCTCCCTCTCTGTGTCTCCGTGTCTTTTCTGTGCCCATATCCCCTGGTGCAGGTCCCTCCATTTGTCTTCCTCCCTCTTCTCTGTCCCTCTGTCTCCAGTAGCCCCTGACTCCCTTCCCACTGTGAAGAGAGCCTCATCTCTTGGGCTGTTGTATCTCTTTCCCACTAGTCTCTTTCCTGCTGTCTATGTGGGGGTGGAAGAGGACAGGCTGCATGTCCAGGCTCTCAGCAGCCTGAATCAATCTCTTTTGAACAAATTGGAGTCTCTGGCAGAGGTATCAACTCATCAGTAAGGCAGACATCAGTGTCCACACACCCTGTTCCTGATGGGGATTGGGAGCCTCTCCTGCCATGTCTGTGCCTTCTCCATGGCCCCAGCTTCCATAGGGTGGTCCCTGGTGCTGGTTCCAGGAGCATCAACCCCTTCCTATGTGGATGGAGCCTGGTGGTGGCATCAGCATCCCACCCTTGCTGATCCCACGGTAGCCAACCTTCTCCTTGTTTGGTTTCTTTAATTAATTGATTAATTAATTTATTTTTGAGACAGTCACTTTTTCACCCAGGCTGGAGTGCAGTGGTGTTGTCTTGGCTCACTGCAACCTCTGCCTCCCCGGTTCAAGTGATTATCTTGCCTCAGCCTCCCCAGTCGTTGGATTACTCGTGCCCACCACCACACCTGGCTATCCTTGTTTGGTTTCCTAGCTTGTCCTTGACCTGGGTTCCTGTGTCGGTTTCCTGTTGCTGCTGCAGAAAATTATCACAAACATGGCAGCAGGAGAGAACACACTGACCCCTTCCACTTCTGGGGACAGAAATTGGATCCAGTTCTCCCTGTGCTGAAATCAAGGCATCTGCAGGGCTGCGTTCCCTCTGGAGACTCAGCAAATCAGTTCTCTTGACTTCTCCAGCCCTTAGAGGCCACCTGCATTCTGTGACTAGTGGCCTTCCTCCACCTTCAAAGCCCACAGTGGCTGATAGCGTCTCCCTCCCACTACACTGCTCTAATCCCCACTCCCCTCTTCCTCCACCTCTCACGCGGACCCTTGTGATTACACTGAGCCCAGCAGGACAGTCCAGGCTGTCTCCCCATCTCAAGGTCAACTCATCAACAACCTGAGCTCCACCTTCCCCTTCAGTCCCCTGCCCTATAACATAAATAGTCACAGGCTCCAGGGTTTACAATGTAGCCATCATTGGCGACAGTTATTCTTCCCACCACAGCGCCCATTTCCCCTGTATTCAATCCCCCTTGACCCCAAATACAGTTGGGGCCTGGGTGATGGGACCCTGATGGACACCCCCACCAGAAGCTCTGGGATTCAGGAGGTGGGACAGTGAGAAGCCCAGACAGAAAGCCTCTGACCTGTGACCATGATCACCAGGGGGTTGCTGGGTGCCGACCACCCAGTGAGGGAGTGTGGGCGTGAACCCCGACATCTGTAGGTCCCTGCATGTGCTGGGGTCACAGGGCCCATGATGAAGCTCTCCTGGAATATTCTGCCGTGGAAGATGGGAACGTGGCTTCTGTCTTCTTTGTACAGCATGAAATTGTTAAACCCACGACGATAGTGACACTGAAGAGCCACGTGTCCTCCTCGAGGCACCACAGTGCTGGGCCGGGCAGACAGGAAGGGTTTGTCCTGACCACCTGGGGGAGAAGGAGGCACTGCCTTAGAGAGGAGGATGTGGAGCCACCCCTCCCTCCCTGTGCTCAGAAGATTCTCCCATTTCCGCTTTCTAAGGCTCCTACCACACCTGGGTGCCCAGGGCTACAGGAAGGACCCACCCCACATAGACATGGCGTCTCCCTACAACAAGTGTCAGCTGAGAACTTTGAGCAAGTGCTGAATAAGTGACTCTTACTAGATTTTAATACTGCAAAATTACTCACATAAAACAACACAAAGTAGACACGGCATGGAGGGCATGTCCTATGTGAATGGAATATCAGCCAATTCATGAACTGAGCCCCCTCAGAGGATTTGGAATGTCAGGGCCATGGCTGTGGTTTCCCCCCTCTTCTGGTAGAAAGACCGCAGCCACACTGCAGCCCCTACCGTCACGGAAACGCTGGAGGGTGTCAGTTATACCTTTGTCCTCAGAGGACCTGCTGTTCCTAGCACTGCTTCCCTCTCTTTCTCTGCTGCTGACACCACTTCCTCCCTGCACACCCCAGCTTGGAGCACCCCAGTCTCACCCCAGTCTTCACAGAGCTTGACTCAGGAAAGGGAAAGAAAGGCCAGGGAGGGCGAGGTCAGAAATGTGGGCCGAGTATCCAAGGGTCCCCTCTTCCTAGTTTATGAGAGACTCCCCGACAGGACTTCCCTCCTGTTTCAGAAAAATCCTCTTATGTGGGGAGATGACACCCTAAGGTTTGGGGACGGACTCACCCATGAGTGGCCAGGCCCCCTGCAGCAAGAAGAACCCTGGAAAGAAAGATCATGATAGACGATCCAACTGCAGGCAAACCAGGGCACCCTGCTGCCCCCACTGCACTGTGTGTCTTGGCAGCCAGGCCCTTGCTGGGCTGAAGGTAAACTTAGCCTCCCTGCTACCTGCTGCCAAGAACAGGGCTCTCAGCTGTGGAGAGACCCAGGCTCCAGGCCCAGATCAACACTTCCTGGCCCAGATCTCCACTCCAGGCCCATATCTCCACTCCAGGCCCCTATCTCCACTCCAGGCCCATATCTCCACTCCAGGCCCATATCTCCACATCAGACCCATATCTCCACTCCAGGCCCAGATCTCCCCTCTAGGCCCATATCTCCACTCCAGGCCCATATCTCCACTCCAGGCCCATATCTCCACATCAGACCCATATCTCCACTCCAGGCCCATATCTCCACTCCAGGCCCAGATCTCCACCTGCAGGCCCATATCTCCACTCCAGGCCCATATCTCCACTCCAGGCCCGTATCTCCACTCCAGGCCCATATCTCCACACCCAGGCCCATATCTCCCCTCCAGGCCCATATCTCCACTCCAGGCCCATATTTACACCTCCAGGCCCATATCTCCACACCCAGGCCCATATCTCCACTCCAGGCCCATATCTCCACTCCAGGCCCATATCTTTACCTCTAGGCCGAGATCTCCATCCCCACTCTCCCTCCCTCTATTCCCTTCCAGGACTCACCAACGCACGCCATGCTGACGACCGTGAGCGACATGGTGCTGCCGGTGCAGACAGGAGGCCGCGCCCCAGCTCAGCTCAGCAGCGCACAGGATGTTATTTGGCGCCCTGCCCATGCAGTTTACATGTTGACCACATCATGGGAGGGTGACGTACGCAGGCTCTTTCTACCTTGCATGAGGCCCAGTGGGTGCTCGCTCAAGAGCGGAACATGGCTTCCTGGAAATTGTTGTGACTACAATTGCCACCTTGCATCCTTCACTATGACCAGACTCAAAAGACGTCTCAGATCCAACCTCTCACACATGAGGTGATTGAATTCTGTGCTTACATTAAAGACTTTTGATGTATTTTTGTTTTTATCTGAGATTCAAACTTTTCTTCATGTGTAATGTGCAAAATATCTAAGAGGTATTATTAACATTATCAGAGTAATTGTGACAAAAAGCCATTCTAATTTTCCTGATGAGTTTCTAGTACTAAACCTGAGGCACGAGAATTGCTTGAACCTGGGAGGCGGAGGCTGCAGTGAGCTGAGCTCAAGCCACTGAACTCCAGCTTGGGTGACAGAGGAAGAGTCTGTCTCAAGAAAGAAAAAAAAAAGCAAACTAAATAACCTATAATAACAAATCAGAGAACTCAGGTTACCAAATTTTAAGGGGTTCTATAAGTTTATATGAAATGCAGCATCCTCATGAGAGGGGATACAGAGAACCACTGGGCAGAAAACTGTGTCTAAAATACATCTGTGGATACACAGTCCCTTTATAGTTGACAAAGGCTGCCATGTAGTTTAAGGTGGAATAGAATATTTTCTCAACAAATAACACAGGACCATAGGGTTACACGTAGGAAAAAATAAATCTAAACTTATCCTCACACTATAAAGACACTTCTTATTTTTTATCTTGTTGTTGTAAACTTTTTATGCTTTATTTTTAAGATTGACAAATAAAAATTATATACTGTGGTCCTTCACTATTCCTGGGTGATTGGTTCCAGGATCCCCATTCAGATACCAAAATCTGCAGATGCTCAAGCCCCTTGCATGAAATGGCATAGCGAAGCTGGGCACCGTGGCTCACGCCTGTAATCCCAGCACTTTGGGAGGCTGAGTTGGGTAGATCACGAGGTCAGGAGTTCAAGACCAGCTGGTCCAACATTCTGAAACCCCGTCTCTACTAAAAATACACACACAAAAAAATTTATCTGTGCATGGTGGCACGTGCCTGTAATCCTAGGGGAGGCTACTGGGGAGGCTGAGGGAAGACAATCGCTTGAACCTGGGAGGCGGAGGTTGCAGTGAGCTGAGATCATGCCACTGCACTCCAGCCTGGGTGAGAGAGTGAGACTGTCTCAAAAAAAAAAAAAAAATAGCATAGCAATTGCATAGAACCCATGCACATCCTCCTGTATACATGAAATCATCCCTTGATTACTTATAATTCCTGACACAGCCTACACGCCACTCAATTTGTGTCGATTCAACATAGTTTTTTGCTTCTTGAAACTTCGGGGATTTTTTTCTGAAAATATTTTTGATTTATTGTTGGTTCAATAAACACCTGTAAACCCCACAGATATGGAGGACCGACTGTATATTTATATTATGAAAGATGATATGTTGATATGTGTCCCCGTGGAGATGAGACTAACAAGGCCTATGACTCTACAAATGTTTCATCGTGGAATGACTCTGCCAGCTTTCCAGGTCTGCAGAGAGTAAGAATATCACTTGTTCATGTGATTCACGATCCTTGGAGCCTCCTATGTGCTGTATCTTTGGATGGAAATTGGAGTCTCAGAGACAAATCAGGCTCCATTCTGCTTCCAGAAGCTCAGAGTCCAGGGCTGAGAACCCAATGGAGAACAGATGGGGTTATGTGGACATGGTAATGATAACACCGGAAGCCTTAGGCAAGAAAAGAGTCTCGTTACCGAAACCATGAGGGCAGACATGTTTATTTGAAGGCGGGAAAACTACATTGAAATTATTTAAAAAATTTATAAGTTTTACTGCTGGCAGAAGGCTGAAAGATAGTCTGAAGGGAGGTGGAACAGCACGTGTCTAAGTGCTGTGTTAAGAGGCAGCCTCTTGTATGTTTGGAATTGTGAGTTCCTCAGTGTGATTGCAGCCTCAGGTAGACTAGGAAGTAAGCCAGTTAGGTTGGAGAGGTGGGCAGGGGTCAAGTGAAATGGAGAATTGTGGGCTAAGCAAAGGAGTGTGTTTTCTCTCCAGCAGGCAGTGGGGACCTTAGACATTTGTAAGCAAGAGAGAGGCATGTTCAGATTCGTGGTGTGAGGAAGAGCGATGCCCTAAGATGAAGACTGATGCCTTCAGATTCCAGCTGCTGGTACATGGGAGCTGGCAACCCGGTTTTGAGACAGGGCTGTTGTCTCCCTAGAAGATCCCCTCAAGGCCTGACTGTGGTGCTCGTGGACAGAAGACAACTTTGGATCTGGGCTCAGCATTTGGAAGTTCTATGTACATGCTGGTATCTGTTGGGGGTGTCTTGGGCCTCTCAGAAGGGCGAGTGATTTTTCTCTGTGTGAAAACACAGTGATCCAATTATGCGTATGACACCTCCTGATGGTCTTGTTCATCAGAATCCTGGAGAGAGGGAAATGCTGAGTGAGGGAGGGTGCTCACATTTTTCAGGACTCTTTGGGAATAAGACTAGCCACGAGGCTGGGCGGAGGAGCACCTACCTCGCTGTTCACTGTTCTGTTCCCTGCAGGCTCTTGGTCCATTACAGCAGCATCTGTAGAAGACGGAAGTCAACAAAAGAGCTCGGAGGGCACTTCTGGGTCCTCATTTCATAAGCAGATACCAACAAACAGGGGGAGGCCATAGGTGCCTGAGGTCCCTCAGTTGCCAACAGCAGACTCAGACATTCTATCTCTCTGAGTTCAAGGACCCATCCCATGAATAGCTCTGAGGTCCCATCCCATTGATTCTATCTCCCACTTTCTGCCTGTCATGGAACCTTCTCCTGGATGTGAGTGGCTGCAGGGGACGTGAGGATACAGTTCAGAATCAGGCAATGGTCTGTGAGCTGAAGGCAGGGGAAGGGAATCTGGTGCTCTCTCTAGAAAGTCCTGCCTCTGTGGCTCCTGTCTTGGGCCAGGGACCATCCTGCTGGTGAGGAACACACATCCGCGTGCTCCCATCCTGCTTCCCCACATGGCCCTGAGCTCTCTGGCCTCTGCTTCGTGAGACTTACTTTTTTTGTCGGAGCACCAGCGATGAAGGAGAAAGAAGAGGAGGATGGTGAAAGGGATTTTGACCACTGAGGTCCCAATCAGAACATGTAGGTGTCTGGGGTTACCTGGAAGAAGAGGAGACACCAATAAGAAGCTAATCATAGCAGTTCCTCTTTATGAATTGTCTCGCATTTCTTGATTGGCAGGTAACCACATACAACGTCTCTTTAGGACAAGCACCCAAATGGCGGGAGACCTAGCTTTCCCCTGCTTTCTCAATTATAGCTCTCATAGTAACCATAGAACGTGCTGAGGATACAACTACTTTAGTTGAGATGTTTGACCCTTTCAAACCTCACATTGAAATTTCACCCCCATTGTGGGAGGTTGGGCCTCTTCAGAGGTGTTTGGGTCATGGAGGTGGATCCATCATGAACAGATCAATGCTGTCCCAAGGAGACGGGGTTAGCAAGTTCCCCCTCTGTTAGTTCCTGGAGAGCTGGTTGTTAAAAAGAGCTTGGAAGCTCCATCGCTCCCTCTCCCCCTTACTCTCTCTCTTGCCGTGTGATCTCTGCGGTCTCTGCACAGACAGACCCTCCTTCCCTTCTGCCAGAGTGGGAGCAGCCTGAGGCCGTCACGAGAAATAGATTCTGGTGCCATGCTTCCAGTACAGCCTGCAGAACTGTGAGGCAAACCAATCTCTTTTCTTTAGAAGTTACCCAGGCTCAAGTGTTCCTTTAGAGCAACAAAAATGGACTAAGATAGCAACATCCTGAGATCAGGAGGAATGTCTCAGAACAGCCTGGGCTGTCTTCCTGTTCTTCCTGGAGGAGGACGTCATGCAGTGCTTTAGCTGAGTGCTTCCTGTGGCTCCAGGGTACAAAACCCAGGCTGGGCTGCTTTCTGGCTTCCCGCAGCTACACTGCAAATGGGGTGACTCCATATGTCCCGAGCAGCTTTTCTGAGCCTTGAGGGACTGGCTCACATTGAAATGCAGGCTTCTGTTGTCACTCGCTGCTTATCTGTTAGTAATGAACCTGCCTATGTAACGTATTCTCTGTGTGTTCTGTCTCCCTGGAGTGACGGTGAGTGATAGGAATTGGCATAGGCCCAGGTGCAGTCCAGGATTTGTTTAGAGTCTTCTCTGGGAAGACTGCACTGGGATTGATACACAGCGAATGTGCTTTAGGATTTCTACATCCACAGCATTCTTGAGTCAAACAAATTGCATTCACCAAGGAAAGGAAACAAAGGTGAAATCACGATTAAAAATAGCGAAGCAAGATTCTCTTATGTCAAACAGCCAGGAAATAGTGTTGAAGCCCGTGTGAAATGTGCTACTCTTTGTGATCTCGGGAGACACATGTTAGGCTGCTGTTCTACCCGAGAGGCTGGGGGAAGGACCACCCCCTCGACCATCTATTGCTTCAATACCACCTGTCCTCCTGTGAATTAGTAGGAAAGGGGAACAGGAGCTAGTGCTGTCGCTGATCTCTGATTCCAAGATCTGGACTCACTCCAAGGAGTATTAATGTTTCCTCCCCATGGTCTATCTGAATCTCCACAGGTGATTGGAAGTAGGGGTGAGGTGGGGGATTTGGGTGAGTGGGCAAGTTTTTTTTTGCGATGACCAGAGCACTTTCTCTATTCCAGGATCCGTGCTGGAGGATTCAGCGGGCTTTCACATTTTCTATGTGATCTCATGCTCACAGAAAGCCAAATAGGGAAGAGGTTTTAGGCTCATTGCCTAATGGATAAGATAAAGGATCAAAGAAGTAATTATAGAGAAATAGAAAAATGATGATTGGAATTCAGGTGCCTTTGTCATTCGTGTGTGTTTTATTATATTTATGCATTTCTTATTTTTATTTTTTGAGACGGAGTCTCCTTGTGTCACCCAGGCTGGAGTGCAGTGATGCAATCTCCACTCACTGCAACCTCCACCTCCTGGGTTGAAGTCATTCTCCTGCTTCATCCTCCAGAGTAGGAGCTGGGATTACAGGGATGCACCACCATGCTCGGCTAATTTTTGTATTTTTAGTACAGATAGGGTTTCACCATGTTGGCCAGGCTGGTCTGGAACTCCTGACTTCATGGAATCCACCCGCCTTGGCCTCCTGCAGGGCTGGGTTACAAGCATGAGCCACCGTTCACAGACTTGTATATTATGCTATAATAGGTCCCTTCATTTCCACCACCCCTCATATATCTGTCACTCCTTTGCCAGGTATTGATTTATGTGTAGGATGAATAAATCTCAGAAAGAAATTAATTAAGCGAGGATTAAACAAGTAGGAAAATCAAACCCAGCAAGCCTTTCCAGCCAATGATTCTACCTCACAAGCATATCTTATATCCATCTACTTCATTCATTTAGTGTCTAAATCAGCACCACATTTCACCAGTGGGGCGGCAATTGCCTTTTCCACAGTCTCCTAGATTCCAGTTACGCACCTGGGCCTCCCTTATTTTCTTGTCAGTCACTATTAATCATGTAGGGATTCCTGGTTACCCCGAGGTGAATCCAATGGCTGTGAGTGTCAAACACACACTCCTTGTTCCTCCTTAGTTTCCTGTGTACCCAGAGTGCTCTCCATCTCTCTACAGTCATCTTGTCATTCTCCCCACCTCATTCCCAGCATTTCAGGCAGAGCCTCTTCCTTCAACATCAGATTGTTTTCACCTTTGTGCCTTCACAGCTGACAGCTGTGTGTGGAAAATCCTTCCGCCAATCTTTCAGGGGTTCAATCCGTGTTTTTCATTAATGTCACAAATATCTGATTAGTGAGACCTTCTCTGTCACCCAAAATTATACACTCAGCATTATCTATTATTTATTTTGAATTCTGGCTGGGCAAAGTGGCTCACGCCTGTAATCCCAGTACTTTGGGTTGCTGAGATGGTCGGATCACTTGAGGTTGGGAGTTTCAGACAAGCTTGGCCAACATGGTGAAACATCCTCTCTACAAAAAATATACAAAAAGAATTAGCCGGGCATGGTGGCAGTTGCCTGTAATCCCAGCTACTCGAGAGGGTGAGGCAGGAGAATCACTTGGATCCAGGAGACGCAGGTTGCAGTGAGCCAAGATCGTGACACTGCACTGTAGCCTGGAAGACAGAGGGAGACTCTGTCTCAATAAACAAACGAACGAACAAACAAATAGATTTCATGCACAGATGCTTCCCAATGGATCATTCATTTATTGGTCCACTTGTGCATTCATTTTCTGTCCTCCCATTTAACCATCTGCAATATCAGTGTCCCAAGAGCAGAGGCCAAATGCATCTTGTTCACCATTTGTGGAAGGCAGGAGAATGCTGTCCCACCCCAAAATGTCCCTGTCCTAGCCTCCATAGCTTGTGAATATGTTATTTTACATGGAAAGGAGGAATGAAGATTGCAGATGGAATTATGGTTGCTAATCAGCTGAACTTAAAACAAGGGTATCCTGAATGATTTCCGGGAGATTATGACGGATTTTCATCTTGGTGAACCCAATAGAATCCCCAAGTTTTCAAAAGATGAGGAAGAAGGGAGAGCAGCATTCAGAGAAAGAGGTGTGGTAAGGAAGAAGGGTCTGAGTGATGCCATGTGAGATGTGACCAGTCTTTGTGGGTTTTGAGGAAGGAGGAAAGGGACCAGCAGCCAAGGAACTGGGAGCCTTTATAAGATGGGACAAGTGAGAAGCAGATTCTTGCCTGGAATCCTCAGAGGGAAGGCAGGCTTGCTGTCATCTTGATTTTAGCCCAGTGAGATGCACTTCATGCTTTGAGCTAGAGCACTGTAAGATAATTAAATAACCGTTTTGTTTTCACCCACGAATCTTGTGGAAATTTGTTATGGCAACAATAGGAAAAGCTTCCACACTGCACAACCTGAGCATGGGGCCGTGGCTGAATAAGTCAGTGAGTCAAAGTGTGCGTGCATGAGCTCTGTTCTCTGTTACGGCAAGGCTCTTGCTCTGCTGAGTCAGCCAGGGTTGTTTCATGACCAACAGGAGCTCATTCCTTGGCAAGTGGAACTTCTCTAAAACACCTCGCCCTCATCAGATGTTCGCTTCCCTTCCCTCTCTCAAGCCCCCAGGAATTTATCCTCCAGTTAGGAATGCAAGCAGAACAAACATTGCGTTTTTCCTGAGAAGGATGTCAGATTGGCAATCATTCTTCTAGCTTGTAGGAGGTCTCAGCTCCATAAAATGAGAGATGAAGAGATTTCACTGAGCCCTGTGTTGGGCCCAGATCCCTTTCGCTGTTGGAGTATCTGGAGTTCGGAGATGGTAGAAGACAGGCGTACAATGTCAGAGCTGTGAGATGCTGAGTCAACGCCTGAATCCAAGGTTTCCACCTCCCCAGGGTTCCAAAAGCGGATATAAGAGGGTCCTGTACTCACCGGTTTTGGAGCTTGGTTCAGTGGGTGAAGGCCAACTATTTGAAGGGTTTCCTAGAACATGAGACAGGAGAGAGGTGAGGAAATGAGGGTGTCTGTCCTCTACTCAGTGGAAATCTTTGAGTTTGGTTCATGGCCAACACTCTGTTATCTAACATTGGGCCCTGGGAGTCCAGGGATCCTTTCTTCCATAATTTTTGTATGTGACGCCCACTGTCTTGAGACTTCAAGGTATAAAGAGAAAACAGGAGCATCACACTACCTGATCTCAAAATATGTTACAGAGCTGTAGTAAGCAAAACAGCATGATGTTGGCATGAAGAAAGGCACATAGAACAACGGAGCAGAATGAAGAACACAGATATAATCCATGCATTTACATCCAATTTTTTTTATTTTTTCTTTTGAGATGGAGTCTCGCTCTGTCACCCAGGCTGGAGTGCAGAGGTGCAATCTCGGTTCACTGCAACCTCAGCCTCCTGGGTTCAATCAATTCTCTTGCCTCAAACTCCTGAGTAGTAGTATTACAGGTGCTGACCACCATGCTCAGCTAATTTTTATATTTTTAGTGGAGACGAGGTTTCATCACGTCGGCCAGAGTAATCTTGTACTCCTGTCCTCAGGTGATCCACCAGCCTTGGCCTCCCAAAGTGCTGAAGTTGCTGGTGTTAGCCACCATGCCCAGCCCATCCAATGGACTTTGACAAAGGTGCCAAGAACTCACAATCAGGAAAGGACAGTTTTTTCAATAAACAGTGCAGGGAAACCTGGACATCTACATGCAGAGGAATGAAACTGCACCTCTACCTGTCACCATACACAAAAATCAAATGAAAGTGGATTAAAGATGTGAGTCTAAGGCCTGAACCTGTGAAACACGTAGAAGAAAATATTGGGGAAATGCTCCAGTACATTTGTCTGAAGGAAGACATTTTGTTTTAAACCTTCAAAACACAAGTAATCGAAGCAAAAATAGACCATTGGGATTACCTCAAACTAAGCAACTTCTGCACCGCTAAAAATAAACCAACAAAGTGAAGAGACAACCCACAGATTGGGAGCAAATATGTGCAAACTATGCATCTGAGACGGGATTAATAACTAGAAGTATAAGAAGCTCAAACAACTCAATAAAACAAATGATTTAATTGAAAAAGGAGCAAAAGACATGAAATTTCCCCACATACGAAAAAGTGCTCAGTATCACTCATCATCAGAGAAACGCGAATTAAAATCAAAGTGAGTTTTCATCTCACCCCATTAAAATGGCTTTTAGGCCGGGCGAGGTGGCTCACGTCTGTCATCCTAGAACTCTGAGAGCCCGAGGTGGGCGAATCTCATAAGGTCGGGAGTTTGAGACCAGTCTGACCCACATGGAGAAACGCTGTCTCTACTAAAAATACAAAAATTAGTCGGGCGTGGTGGCGTGTGCCTGTAATTCCAGCTACTCGGGAGGCTGAGGCAGGAGAATCGCTTGAACCTGGGAGGTGGAGGTTGCGGTGAGCCGAGATCGCACCACTGCACTCCAGCCTGGGTGACAAGAGCGAAACTCCATCTCAAAATAAAATGAAATAAAATAAAATGGCTTTTAGCTGCAAGACAGGCAAAACAAATGCTGGCAAGGTGGTAGAGAAAGGAGAACCCTGGTACCCTGTTGGTAGGAGTGTAAATTAGTACAGCCATTACGGAGAAAAGTATGGAAGTCCTTTAAAGAACTAAAAAGAGGTTGGATGAAGTGGATCATGCCTGTAATCCCGGCACTTTGGGAGACCGAGGCGGGCACCTCAGTTGAGGTCATGAGTTTGAGAGCAGCCTAGCCAACCTGGGGAAACCCCATGTACACTAAAAAAAACCAAAAAGTATCCCGGCATGGTGGCGTGCACCTGTAATCCCAGCTACTAGGGAGGCTGAGGCAGGAAAATCATTTGAACCCAGGAGGCGGAGGTTGCAATGAGCCAAGATCACATCACTTGTACTCCAGCCTGGGCACAGAGGGAAACTGTCTCAAAAACAAAAACAAAACAACAAACGAAAAACTAAAAAGAGAACTTTCATAGTATCCAGCAATTTCACTACTGGGTTTATATCCAAAGGAAAGTAAATCAATGTATCGAAGTGATATCTGCACTCGTATGATTGGTGCAGCACTCTTCACAGTAGCCAAGATGTGGAGTCAACCTACCTGCCCATCAGTGGATGAATGGATAGAGAGAATGTAGTACATACGCACAGCGGAGACTACTCATCCATAGAAAGAATAACATCCTGATATTTGCAGCCACATGGATGGAACTGGAAGTCATTACAAATATTCTCATTTCTCACCCATATACAGGAGCTAAAAGGTGGATCTCATGAAGATAGAGAGTAGAATGGTGGCTACCAGAGGCCAGGAAGAAAAGGGTGGAGGATAAAACAAACAAACAAAAAATTTATATGTATGTATTTATGACCACTAGACCTTACACTTAAAATTGGTAAACGTGGCCGGGCGCGGTGGCTCATGCCTGTAATCCCAGCACTTTGGGAGCCTGAGGCGGGTGGATCACGTGGTCAGGAGTTCCAGAGCAGCTCGACCAACATGGTGAAACCCCCTCTCTACTAAAAATACAAAAAGTAGCCCGGCGTGGTGATGGGCGCCTGTAGTACCAGCTACTCAGGTGGCTGAGGCAGGAGAATCGCTTGAACCCAGGAGGCGGAGGTTACAGTGAGCTGAGATTGTGCCACTGCATTCCAGCATAGGAGACAGAGCTAGACTCCACCTCAAAAAAAAAAAAATGTTAAAAGTGGTAAGCTATATAGGTATATTTAACCTCAATGAATATTTTTTCAAACAAAAAGAAAAGGATGTAGGGGTTGCTGGTGATGACATCTCTGTGTGGGTGAGAGGCCAGGAAGGGCTTCTGGGAAATGGGTAAGGTTGAGGGGCTGAGGGAACCTCTGATCTCCCCAAACTGAGCCCAGTCTCCCCTTCTCTGGGTCTCTCCTGACCGCTTTCTACATCTGCCTGGGTTTCTGGAGCCCTAATCGGAGGCCTCCATGCAGGCCATGCAGGAGGGTTTGGAGGTGCTGTGTGTGCCATCCTGCGCCCTGATCCCTCCCTCACAGGCATGCTGCGTCTTCTCTCTGCATCTGTCCATGCTTCTCTCCATCATCAGCAGGAAGCTCCTCAGCTAAGGCTCTAGGATCATAGGACATGGGACAGATATGGGGTTTCCTCACCTGTGACGGAAACAAGCAGTGGATCACTCGAGTTTGACCACTCGTAGGGAGCGTCACGGAAAGAGCCGAAGCATCTGTAGGTCCCTCCGTGGGTGGCAGGGCCCAGAGGAAAGTCGGCCTGGAATGTTCCGTTGATGCTGCGCACTGCAGGGAGCCTACGTTCATGGGCCTCCCCTTCCCTGGATAGATGGAGCTGCAGGACAAGGTCACATTCTCTCCTGCCTGAACCGTGGGGCCCGGCTGGGCTGAGAGAGAAGGTTTCTCATATAGACCTGGAAGGAGAAGGGGCAGTTTCCTCAGGGGGGATCTTCCTTGTCACAGCTCCCCTCACACCTGACCTGAGAACTCACTCCCCTGCTCTATGGCCTAATGCTCTCTTTCTCTGTCTCACCCTCCACCCTATCTCTCTTCATGTCTATTTCCTCCTTCCACCTTCTCTGTCTCTGTAGGTCTCTGACCTCACTTCCCTACCTCTAGTTATGTTTTCCGTTTTTGGATTGTTTTATTCTCTCTGGCTCTCCTTGGATTGGTTGACTTGATGTTACTTTTTTTAACTCTGAGTTTCTCAGTTTGTGTCCCGTTCATAACTTTCTGCATATTTCTATCTATTATCTATCAATCCATCTATTTATCTATTCGGTGCCTATCTACAAATTCTCTACCTGTCATCTATATCTATATATCATCTATTTATCTATCAATTGTCTATCCGTCAATCATCTATTATCTATATATATGTATCATCTCTCTCTCTCTATTATTTCTCTCTTTGTCTTCCTCTCTATCTCTATGTATTATCTATCCATCTATCTTCATCATCATCATCTCTATGTATCATCTATTAATGAATCAATCAATCATCATCTATGTATCTATAACCTATTATCTATCATCTACCTATATATCATCTATCTATATCTATCCATCATCTATCTGTATCTATCCATCTATCATCTGTCTTGCTCTGCCTCTCGGTCTCTCTAGTTCTCTTTGGAATCTCTGCAATTCATCCCCACATCTCCATCTTTCTATGCCCTTGTGCCTCGCCCTCAGGACTCTAATTTTAGTGGTTTTCTCTGCTCTCTTCCATCATTCTCTCCACTTCTCTGCCCTCTTCTCTCTCTTTATGTGTCTGTGAGTCTCTCAATCTCCTTCCTCTGGCTCTTTCTCTGTGTGTTTATGTCTTTGCTTTTTGGTGTCCCTGATTTCTCTCTGTGCTTCTCAGTGATCCTCTCATATGTGATATGTGGGGTTATTTGGAATGTGAGCCTCAGAATCCAGTCTGGAGACCACAAGTTCACACAGCATACAGGGGTTGGTGTTCTGGGGCCATGATATTTTGGGACGATTATTCTCCATTGCATGGAAGTCAGAGGTGTCAGAATAAGCATGGCATCTGTAGGTGCCACAAGGCCTGAGGCCACAGGGCCCAACTCAGGTCAGAAATATGGGTGTCCTTGGGTTCTCCTGGTAGAGAACACTTTGTGGAGGTAAAACAGAAATGAAACTTCTAACCTGTGCCAGGTCTCTGAGCAAAGTCAGCATGGAAGGACACCTCTGTCTGGGACATGTCTGTCTGTCTCCTTTAACTCTTTCTGTCTTTTCTAACTCCCTGTATGGCCCCTGTGTTTGTCCTCTGTTATGACACCTGGTCTGTACTTGTGTCTCTTGTTTCTCTGTCTCTGTTGGCACAGACCTCACCAAGTCAGTCTCTCTCCATAAGAATACCAAGCTCATCTTCCTTACAACCACCTGGGTCTCCAAGTCCTGGATCATTCACTCTGCATCCCAATGACAATGAGAAGAATGTCTGGACACTCTCACCTATGATCACCATGTCCAGAGGGTCACTGGGAGCTGACAACTGATAGGGGGAGTGAGGAACAGAACCGTAGCATCTGTAGGTTCCTGCAAGGACAGGCATCATGGGACCAATGGAGAAGTTGGCCTTGGAAACCCCATCATGGTGCTCTCCAATGAGGTGCAAAGTGTTGTTAAACTTCCCCTCTCTGTGCAGAAGGAAGTGCTCAAACATGACATCCGACCAACATTGCAGGATGACTGTCTCTTCTGATTTCACCAGGTGACCTGGGAGGGCCAGGAAGGAAGGTTTTCTGTGGACTCCTAGGAAGAGAGGTTGTGAGTTTAGAAGGTGTCTCTCTTTATCATCCCATCCATGGCACCTGGAATGAGTGAGCCTTCCCTTCGCTGGTGTCTGTCTCTCTGCTTCCTCTCTGTGTCTTCATGTTCTTTTCTGTGCCCATAACTCCTGGTGCAGGTCCTTCCATCTGTCTCCCTCCCTCTTCTCTGTCCCTCTGTCTCTAGTAGCTGTGATTCCCTTCCCACTGGGCTCAGCCTCATCTCTTGGGCTGTTGTATCTATTTCACACTAATGTCTTTCTTACTGTCTATGTGGGAGTGGAAGAGGAAGCAGGATAGGCTGCACGTCCCGGCTCTTAGCAGCTTGGTTCAATCTCTTTTGGACGAATTGGAATCCTTGGCAGGAGGTATGAACTGATCAGTAAGGCAGGCACCAGTGTCCACACACCCTGTTCCTGGTGGGGACTGGGAGCCACTCTTGCCATGTCTGTGCCTTCTCCATGGTGCCAGTTTCCATAGGCTGGCTCCTCGTGCTGATTTGAGGAGTATCAACCCCTCCCTATGTGGATGGAGCCTGGTGGTGGCATCATCATCCCACCCTTGCTGATCTCGGTGTAGCCAACCTTCTCTTTGTTTGGTTTCTTTAATTAATTAATTAATTTTGGAGACAGAGTCTCACTCCTTCACCCAGGCTGGAGTGAAGTGGTGTGGTCTACGCTCACTGCAACCTCTGTCTCCTGGGTTCAAGCGATTCTCCTGCTCTCAGCCTCCCGAGTCGCTAGGATTACATGCACCTGCCACCATGCCTGGCTATCCTTGTGTCTTTTCTTAACTTGTCCTTGACCTGGGTTCCAGTGTTGGTTTCCTGTTGCTGCTGTAGAAAATTATCAGAAGCATGGCAGCAGGAGAGAGCACACTGACCCCCTCCGATTCTGGAGACAGAAAGCGGACCCTGTTTTTCGAGGGCTAAAATCAAGGCATCTGCAGGGCTGTGTTCCCTCTGGAGACTCAGGAGAATCAGTTACTTGACTTTCCCAGCCTCTATAGGCCACCTGCATTCATGGCTTATGGCCTTCATCCACCTTCAAAGCTGATGGAGTCTCCCACTACGCTGCTCTAATCCCCACTCTCCTCTTCCTCCTCCTTTCATGTGGACACTTGTGATTATACTGAGCCCACCGGGACAGTCCAGGCTGTCTCCCCATCTCAAGGTCAACTCATCAACAACCTGAGCTCCATCTTCCCCTTCAGTCCCTTCCCCTATAACATAAATAGTCACAGACTCCAGGGATTAGAATGCAGTCATCACTGGGGACACTTATTCTTCCCACCACAGCACCCATTTCCCTGTATTCAATCCCCCTTTACCCCAAATACAGTTAGGGCCTGCGTGATGGGACCCTCAAGGACATGCCTACCAGAAGCTCTGGGATTCAGGAGGTGGGACAAGGAGAATCCCAGACAGGAGCCCTCTGACCTGTGACCACGATCACCAGGGGGTTGCTGGGTGCCGACCACCCACTGGGGGAGTGTGTGTGTGAACCCCGGCATCTATAGGTCCCTGCATGTGACGTGGTCACAGGGCCCATGAAAAGGCTTTTCCAGAATATTCTGTTGTACAGCTCAGGGACAGGCACCCCATCATCCTTGTACAGACTGAAGTTGTTAAACCCAAGATTAGAGTGACACTGAAGAGTCACATGTTCTGGAGGCACCACAAGGCTGGGCCAGGTAGAAAGCAAGGGCTTGTCCTGACCACCTTGGGGTGAAGGAGGCGCCGCCTTAGAGAGGAGGATGTGGAGCTGTGCCTCCCTCCCTGTGCTCAGAAGATTCTCCCCACTTTCCACATTTCTATGGCTGCTATCACACCTTGGTGCCTAGGGCTAAAGGAAGGACCCATCCCACAAAGACAAGGTGTCTCCGTACAACAAAAGTGTCAGCTGAGAACTTTGAGCAAGTGCTGAGTAAGAGACTCCTACTAGATTTTAATACTGTAAGATTACTGACATAAAACAACACAGGGTAGACATGAAGTGGAGGGCATGTCCTTTGAGAATGGAATATCAGCAGTTGCCTGAATGAAAATAAAAAACTTAGCCCCCATCAGAGGATTTGGAATGTCAGGGCCATGGCTGTGGTTTCCCACCTCTTCTGGTAGAATGACAGCAGCCACACTGCAGCCCCTACCGTCATGGAAACGCTGAAGTGTGTGAGTAACACCTTTGTCCTCAGAGGATCTGCTGTTCCTACCACTTCCCCACCACACAACCCAGCTTTGAACACCCTAGTCCAACCCTGGTCCCCACACAACTTGACTCTGCCAAGGGGTTGAGAGGCCAGGGAGGCAAGGTCGGAACTGTGGGCCGAGCACCCCAGGGTCCCCTCTTCCTAGTTTATGAGAGACTCCCTGACAGGACTTCCCTCCCGTTTCAGGAAAATCCTCTTATGTGGGGAGATGACACCCTAAGGTTTGGAGAAGGACTTACCCTCCTGTGGCCAGGCCCCCTGCAGCAAGAAGAACCCTGGAAAGAAAGATCATGATGGAAGATCCATTTGCAGGCAAACAAGGCCTTCCTTGCTGCCCCCACTGGGCTGTGAGTCTTGATAGCCAGCCCCTTCCTGGGCCGAAGGGAAACTCACCATCAGAGCCTACCTGCACCCAAGAACAGTGCTCTCGGCTGTGCAGAGACCCAGCCTCCAGGCCCATATCCCCACCCCAAGCCCATATCTCCACTCCAGGCCCATATCTCCACTCCAGGCCGATATTTCCACCCTAGACCCATATAGCCAATCCGGGCCCACATCTCCAATCCAGGCTCAGATCTCCACCCTCGGCCCATATCTCCAATCCAGGCCCATATCTCCACTCCAGGCCCATATCTCCACTCCAGTCCCATATCTCCTCTCCAGTCCCATATCTCCACTCCAGGCCCATATCTCCACCCCAGGCCCAGATCTCCACCTCCAGGCCCATAACTACACTCCAGGATCATATCTCCACTCCAAGCCCATATCTCCACATCAGGCCCATATCTCCACTCCAGTCCCATATCTCCACACCCAGGCCCATATCTCCATTCCAGGCCCATATCCCCATCCTAGGCCCATATCTCCACCGTAGGCCCAGATCTCCACTCCAGGCCCATATCTCCACTCCAGGGCCATATCTCCACTCCAGGCCCATATCTACACACCAGGCCCATATCTCCACCCCATGCCCATGTCTCCACTCCAGATCCATATCTCCACCCCACGCCCATATCTCCACTCCAGGCCCATATCTCCAACCCACGCCCATATCTCCACCTCCAGGCACATATCTCCACCCCACGCCCGTATCTCCACTCCAGTCCCATATCTCCACTCCCGGCCCATGTCTCCACCCCATGCCTATATCTCCACTCCAGTCCCATATCTCCACTCCAGGCCCATATCTCCACTCCAGACCCATATCTCCACTCGGCCCATGTCTACACTCCAGGCCCATATCACCACCTCCAGGCCCATATCTCCACTCCAGGCCCATATCTCCACCTCCAGGCCCGTATCTCCACTCCAGACCCATATGTCCACTCCAGGCCCATATCTCCACTCCAGGCCCATATCTCCACTCCAGGGCCATATCTCCACTCCAGGCTCATATCTCCACTCCAGGCCCATATCTCCACTCCAGGGCCATATCTCCACTCCAGGCTCATATCTCCACTCCAGGCCCATATCTCCACTCCAGGGCCATATCTCCACTCCAGGCCCAGATCTCCACCTCCAGGCCCGTATCTCCACTCTAGTCCCATATCTCCACTCCAGGCCCATATCTCCACCTCCAGGCCCATAACTTCACTCCAGGCCCATAACTCCACTCCAGGCCCATATCTCCACCTCCAGGCCCATATCTCCACTCCAGGGCCATATCTCCACTCCAGGCTCATATCTCCACTCCAGGCCCATATCTCCACTCCAGGGCCATATCTCCACTCCAGGCCCAGATCTCCACCTCCAGGCCCCTATCTCCACTCTAGTCCCATATCTCCACTCCAGGCCCATATCTCCACCTCCAGGCCCATAACTTCACTCCAGGCCCATAACTCCACTCCAGGCCCATATCTCCACCTCCAGGCCCATATCTCCACTGCAGACCCATATCTCCACTCCAGGCCCATATCTCCACTCCAGGCCCAGATCTCCACTCCAGGCCCAGATCTCCACTCCAGGCCCAGATCTCCACCTCCAGGCCCCTATCTCCACTCTAGTCCCATATCTCCACTCCAGGCCCATATCTCCACCTCCAGGCCCATAACTTCACTCCAGGCCCATAACTCCACTGCAGACCCATATCTCCACTCCAGGCCCATATCTCCACTCCAGGACCATATCTCCACTCCAGGCTCATATCTCCACTCCAGGCCCGTATCTCCACCTCCAGGCCCATAACTTCACTCCAGGCCCATAACTCCACTCCAGGCCCATATCTCCACTCCAGTCCCATATCTCCACTCCAGTCCCATATCTCCACCCTAGGCTCCTACCTCCCCTCCAGGTTCCTATCTCTCCTCCAGGTTCCTCTCTCCACTCCAGGTTCCTATCCCCACTCCAGGCCCATATCTCCACTCCAGGCCCAGATCTTCACTCCAGGCCCAGATCTCCACTCCAGGCGCAGATCTCCACTTCTAGGCTCATCACTCCATCTCTAGGCCCAGATCTCCACTCCAGGCCCATAACTCCACCTCCAGGCCCATATCTCCACCTCTGGGCCCAGATCTCCATCCCCACGCTCCCTCCCTCTATTCCCTTCCAGGACTCACCAACACACGCCATGATGATGACCATGAGCGACATGGTGCTGCCGGTGCAGACAGGCGGCCGCGCCCCAGCTCAGCTCAGCAGCGCACAGGATGTTATTTGGCGCCCTGCCCATGCAGTTTACATGTTGACCACATCATGGGAGGGTGACGTACGCAGGCTTTTTCTACCTTGCATGAGGCCCAGTGGGTGCTCGCTCAAGAGCAGAACATGGCTTCCTGGAAATTGCTCTCACTAGAATTGACACCTCGCGTCCTTCACTATGACCAACTCAAAACATGTCTTAGATCCAACCTCCCAAACATGAGATGCCTAAAATCTGTGCTAACATGAAAGACTTTTCATGAATTTTTATTGTTTTTATCTGAGATTCGAACTCTTCTTCCTGTGTAATATGCAAAATATCTAATAGGTATTATTAGTGTTTTCAGAGTCATTGTGACTAATAAACCATTAGAATTGTTCATGCTTGTATTTCTAGTATTACAGCAGAACCAGTTCAAATGATTTAAATTCCCAGGGAAGGATTATGCAATTATTTACAATCTTAGAATTGTACTTTATCAGCAAAAACCACACATGTAAATTCTGGATTTTTGTAGTTTTATCTATAATTTGTCTCATGACTCAAGATTCCAGAGTCCCAACTCTGGAGTTTGCTCTCTCTCTGTCTCTCTGCCTCCCTCATTTTAAATTTTACAGAAATATCCAGTAACATAATGCTATAGAAAATCAAGTTTCCCCCAGCAGGTCGGGAAGCCGAGGTGGGCGGATCAACTGAGATGAGGAGATTGAGAGCAGCCTGGCCAACACAGTGAAACCGCGTCTCTGCTAAAAATTCAAAAATTAGCCATGCCTGGTGGCAGGCACCTGAAACGCCAGCTACTCAAGAGACTGAGGCACGAGAATCGCCTGAACCTGGGAGGCGGAAGTTGCAGTGAGCTGAGATTGCTCCACTACAGTCCCGCCTGGGCGACAGAGCAAGACTCCGCCTCAAGAAAAAAAAATAGCAAGTAGCCTATAATAACAAATTAGAGGGCTCTGGCTACTAAATTTAAAGGGTTTTATAAGGCTACATGAAGTGCAGCATCCTCAAGAGTGTGGACACAGAGAGCCCCTTAGCAGAAACAGTGTCTAAAATACATCCGTGTACACACAGTCCCTTTAGAGTTGACAAAGGCTGCCGTGTGGTTTAAGGTGGCATAGAATGTCTTCTTAATAAATAATATTAAACCAAAGGGTTACACGTAGGAAAAAATAAATCTAAACTTATTCTCACACTATAAAAACACTTCTTACTTTTTATCTAGTTATTGTACATTTTTTATGATTTATATTTAAAATTGAGAAATAAAAGTCATATACGGTCATCCTTTACTATTCGTGGGTGATTGGTTTCAGGATCTCCACTCAGGTACCAAAATCTGCAGATGCTCAAGCCTCTTACATAAAATGACACAGCATTTGGATATAACCCATGCACATCCTCCTGTATACATGAAATCATCTCTTGATTACTTATAATTCCTGATACAGCCTACACACTGCCTCATTTGTGTCCATTCAACATAGTTTTGCATTTTGAAACTTTGTGGACATTTTCTCTGAATATTTTTGATTTACACTTGGTTCAATAAACACCTGTAAACCCCACAGATATGGAGGAGCGACTGTATATTTATAGTATGAAATATGATGTGTTGATATGTGTCCCCGTGGAGATGAGACTAGCAAGGCTTATGACTCTACAAATGTTTCATCGTGGAATGACTCTGCCAGCTTTCCAGGTTGCAGAGAGTAAGAATATCACTTGTTCATGTGATTCACGATCCTTGGAACCTCCTATGTGCTGCATCTTTGGATGGAAATTGGAGTCCCAGAGACAAATGAGGCTCCACCCTGCTTCCAGAAGCTCAGAGTCCAGGGGTGAGAACCCAGCGGAGAACAGATGGGGTTATGTGGACATGGTAATGATAACAGCGGTTTCTTTCAGCGAATACAGTGTCACATTACCTGAAGCAATGAGGGCAGACATGTTTATTTGAAGAGGAGACAGCTACATTGAAATCACAAAAAATTTTATAAGTTTCACTGCTGACAGAAGGCTGGAAAATAGTCCGAAGAAAGGTGAAACAGCATGAGGGAAGGTGGAACAGCACGTGGGTAAGTGCCACGTCAAGAGGGAGCCTCTTGTATGTTTGGAATTGTGAGTTCCTCAGTGTGATTGCAGCCTCAAGTAGACTAGGAAGTAAGCCAGTTAGGTTGGAGAGGTGGGCAGGGGTCAAGTGAAATGGAGAACTGTGGGCTAAGCAAAGGAGTGTGTTTTCTTTCCAGCAGGCAGTGGGGACCTAGACATTTGTAAGCAAGAGAGAGGCACCAGATTTGTGGCGTGAGGAGGAGCGATGCCCTAAGATGAAGACTCACGCCTTCAGATTCCAGCTGCTGGTACATGGGAGCTGGCAACTCGGTTTTGAGACAGGGCTGTTGTCTCCCTAGAAGACGTCCTCAAGGCCTGACTGTGGTGCTCATGGGCAGGAGACAACTTTGGATCTGGGCTTAGCATTTGGAAGTTCCGTGTACAAGATGGTATCTGTAGGGGGTGTCTTGGGCCTCTGAGAAGGGCGAGTGATTTTTCTCTGTGTGAAAACGCAGTGATCCAACTGTGCGTATGTCACCTCCTCAGGGTCTTGTTCATCAGAGTCCTGGAGAGAGGGAAATGCTGAGTGAGGGAGGGAAATGCTGAGTGAGGGAGGGTGCTCACGTTTTCCAGGACTGTTTGGGAATAACACTAGCCACGAGGCTGGGCCGAGGAGCACCTACCTCGCTGTTGGCTGTTCTGTTCCCTGCAGGCTCTTGGTCCATTACAGCAGCATCTGTAGGAGACGGAAGTCAACAAAAGAGCTCGGAGGGCACTTCTGGGTCCTCATTTCATAAGCAGATACCAACAAACAGGGGGAGGCCATAGGTGCCTGAGGTCCCTCAGTTGCCAACAGCAGACTCAGACATTCTATCTCTCTGAGCTCAAGGACCCATCCCATGAATAGCTCTGAGTTCCCATCCCATTGATTCTGTCTCCCACTTTCTGCCTGTCATGGAACCTTCTCCTGGATGTGAGTGGCTGCAGGGGACATGAGGATACAGTTCAGAATCAGGCAACGGTCTGTGAGCTGAAGGCAGGGGCAGGGAGTCTGGTGCTCTCTCTAGAAAGTCCTGCCTCTGTGGCTCCTGTCTTGGGCCAGGGACCATCCTGCCAGTGAGGAACACACAGCTGTGTGCTCCCATCCTGCTTCCCCACATGGCCCTGAGCTCTCTGGCCTGTGCCCCGTGAGACTTACTTTTTTTGTTGGAGCACCAGAGATGAAGGAGAAAGAAGAGGAGGAGGATGAAGAGGATGATGACCACTGAGGTCCCAATCAGAATGTGCAGGTGTCTGGGGTTACCTGGAAGAAGAGGAGACACCAGTAAGAAGCTAATCATAGCAGTTTCTCTATATGAATTGTCTTGCATTTCTTGATTGACAGGTAACCACTTACAGCATCTCTTTCGGACAAGCACCCAGATGGCGGGAGATCTAGCTTCCTCCTGCTTTCTCAGTTATAGCTCTCATAGTAACCATGGAACGTGCTGAGGATACAACTACTTTAGTTGAGATGTTTGACCCCTTCAAACCTCACATTGAAATTTAACCCCCAGTGTGGGAGGTTGGGCCTCTTGGGAGGTGTTTGGGTCATGGAGGTGGATCCATCATGAACAGATCAATGCTGTCCCAAGGAGACGGGGTTAGCAAGTTCCCTCTCTATTAGTTCCTGGAGAGCTGGTTGTTAAAAAGAGCTTGGAAGCTCCATTGCTCCCCCTCCCCCTTGCTCCCTCTCTTGCCGTGTGATCTCTGTGGTCTCAGCACAGACAGACCCTCCTTCCCTTCTGCCAGAGTGGGAGCGGCCTGAGGCCATCATAAGAAATAGATGCTGGTGCCATGCTTCCAGTACAGCCTGCAGAACGGTGAGGCAAACCAATCTCTTCTTTAGAAGTTACCCAGGCTCAAGTGTTCCTTTAGAGCAACAAAAATGGACTAAGACAGCAAAGTCCTGAGATCAGGAGGATTGTCCCAGAACAGCCTGGGCTGTCTTCCTGTTCTTCCTGGAGGAGGACGTCATGCAGTGCTTTAGCTGAGTGCTTCCTGTGGCTCCAGGGTACAAAACCCAGGCTGGGCTGCTTTCTGGCTTCCCCCAGCTACACTGCAAATGGGGTGACTCCACATGTCTCGAGCAGCTTTTCTGAGCCTTGGGGAACTGGCTCACATTGAAATGTAGGCTTCTGTTGTCACTCGCTGCTTATCTGTTAGTAATGAACCTGCCTATGTAACGTATTCTCTGTGTGTTCTGTCTCCCTGGAGTGACGGTGAGTGATAGGAATTGGCATAGGCCCAGGTGCAGTCCAGGAGGTGTTTAGAGTCTTCTCTGGGAAGACTGGACTGGGATTGATACACAGCGAATGTGCTTTAGGATTTCTACATCCACGGCATTCTTGAGTTAAACAACTTGCATTCTCCAAGAAAAGGAAACAAAAGTGAAATCAATATAAAAAAAGCGAAGTAGAATTCTCTTATGTCAAACAGCCAGAAAATAGTGTTGAAGCCCGTGTGAAATGTGCTACTCTTTGTGATCTCGGGAGACACATGTTAGGCTGCTGTTCTACCTCAGAGGCTGGGGGAAGGACCACCCCCTCGACTATCTATTGCTTCAATACCACCTGTCCTCCTGTGAATTAGTAGGAAAGGGGAGCAGGAGCTAGTGCTGGCACTGATCTCTGATTCCAAGATCTGGACTCACTCCAAGGAGTATTAGCATTTACCTCCCCATGATCTATCTGTATTTCCACAGGTGATTGGAAGTAGGGGTGAGATGGGGGATTTGGGTGAGGGGGCAAGTTTTTTTTGTGATGACCAGAGCACTTTCTCTATTCCAGGATTTGTGCTGGAGGATTCAGCGGGCTTTCACATTTTCTATATGATCTCATGCTCACAGAAAGCCAAATACGGAAGAGGTTTTAGGCTGATTGCCTAATGGATAAGATAAAGGATCAAAGAAGTAATTATAGAGAAATAGAAAAATGATGATGGGAATTCAGGTGCCTTTGTCATTCGTGTGTGTTTTATTATATTTATGCATTTCTTATTTTTATTTTTTGAGATGGAGTCTCCTTGTGTCACCCAGGCTGGAGTGCAGTGATGCGATCTCCACTCACTGCAACCTCCACCTCCTGGGTTGAAGTCATTCTCCTGCTTCATCCTCCAGAGCAGGAGCTGGGATTACAGGGATGCACCACCATGCTCGGCTAATTTTTGTATTTTTAGGAGAGATAGGGTTTCACCATGTAGAGATAGGGTTTCTCCATGTTGGCC
Organism: Homo sapiens; assembly: GCF_000001405.40. NCBI lineage: Eukaryota > Metazoa > Chordata > Mammalia > Primates > Hominidae > Homo > Homo sapiens. The sequence goes on along the minus strand of NT_187693.1, from coordinate 809,968 downwards.
AGGCTGGTCTCGAACTCCTGACTTCTTGGAATCCACTGGCCTTAGCCTCCTGCAGTGCTGGGTTACAGGAGTGAGCCACCGTTCACAGACTTGTATACTATGCTATAATAGGTCCCTTCATTTCCACCACCCCTCATATATCTGTCACTCCTTTGCCAGGTATTGATTTATGTGTAGGAGGAATAAATCTCAGAAAGAAATTAATTTAGCAAGGATTAAACAACTAGGAAACTCAAACCCAGCAAGCCCTCCCTGCAAATGATTCTACCTCCCAAACATAGCTTATATCCATCTGCTTCATCCACTTAGGGTCTAAATCAGCACCACATTTCACCAGTGGGGCGGCAATTGCCTTTTCCACTGTCTCCTAGATTCCAGTTACGCACCTGGGCCTCCCTTATTTTCATGTCAGTCACTATTAATCATGTAGGGATTCCTGGCTACCCCGAGGTGAATCCAATGGCTGTGAGTGTCAAACACACACTCCTTGTTGCTCCTTAGTTTCCTGTGTACCCAGTGTGCTCTCCGTCTCTCCACAGTCGTCTTGTCATTCTCCCCACCTCATTCCCAGCATTTCAGGCAGAGCCTCTTCCTTCCACATCAGATTGTTTTCAGCTTTCTGCCTTCACGGCTGACAGCTGTGTGTGGAAAATCCTTCCGCCAATCTTTCAGGGGTTCAATCCGTGTTTTTCATTAATGTCACAAATATCTGATTAGTGAGACCTTCTCTGTCACCCAAAATTATACACTCAGCATTATCTATTATTTATTTTGAATTCTGGCTGGGCAAAGTGGCTCACGCCTGTAATCCCAGTACTTTGGGTTGCTGAGATGGTCGGATCACTTGAGGTTGGGAGTTTCAGACAAGCTTGGCCAACATGGTGAAACATCCTCTCTACAAAAAATATACAAAAAGAATTAGCCGGGCATGGTGGCAGTTGCCTGTAATCCCAGCTACTCGAGAGGGTGAGGCAGGAGAATCACTTGGATCCAGGAGACGCAGGTTGCAGTGAGCCAAGATCGTGACACTGCACTGTAGCCTGGAAGACAGAGGGAGACTCTGTCTCAATAAATAAATGAACGAACAAACAAATAGATTTCATGCACAGATGCTTCCCAATGGATCATTCATTTATTGGTCCACTTGTGCATTCATTTTCTGTCCTCCCATTTAACCATCTGCAATATCAGTGTCCCAAGAGCAGAGGCCAAATGCATCTTGTTCACCGTTCGTGGAAGGCAGGAGAATGCTGTCCCACCCCAAAATGTCCCTGTCCTGGCCTCCATAGCTTGTGAATATCTTATTTTACATGGAAAGAAGGAATGAAGATTGCAGATGGAATTACGGTTGCTAGTCAGCTGAACTTAAAACAAGGGTATCCTGAATGATTTCCGGGAGATTATGATGGATTTTCATCTTGGTGAACCCAATAGAATCCCCAAGTTTTCAAAAGATAAGGAAGAAGGGAGAGCAGCATTCAGAGAAAGAGGTGTGGTAAGGAAGAAGGGTCTGAGTGATGCCATGTGAGATGTGACCAGTCTTTGTGGGCTTTGAGGAAGGAGGAAGGGGACCAGGAGCCAAGGAACTGGGAGCCTTTAGAAGCTGGGACAAGTGAGAAGCAGATTCTTGCCTGGAATCCTCAGAGGGAAGGCAGCCTTGCTGTCACCTTGATTTTAGCCCAGTAAGATGCACTTCCTACTTTGAGCTACAGCACTGTAAGATAATTAAAAAACCGTTTTGTTTTCACCCACGAATCTTGTGGAAATTTGTTATGGCAACAATAGGAAAGGATTCCAACTGCACAGCCTGAGCATGGGGCCGTGGCTGAATGAGTCAGTGAGTCGAAGTGTGCGTGCATGAGCTCTGTTCTCTGTTACGGCAAGGCTCTTGCTCTGCTGAGTCAGCCAGGGTTGCTTCATGACCAACAGTAATTCATTCCTTGGCAAGTGGAACTTCTCTAAAACACCTCGCCCTCATCAGATGTTCCCTTCCCTTCCCTCTCTCAAGTCCCCAGGAATTTATCCTCCAGTTAGGAATGCAGGAAGAAAAAACACTGCATGTTTCCTGAGAAGGATGTCAGATTGGCAATCATTCTTCTAGCTTGTAGGAGGTCTCACCTGCAGGACATTAAAGGTTAAGAGACTTCGCTGAGCCCTTTGGTGGCCCTAGATCCCTTTCACTGTTGGAGTGTCTGGAGTTCAGAGATGGTGGAAGACAGGCCCTCATTCACAGAGCTGGGAGGTTTGAGCCAACACTTGCATCCAAGGCTTCCACCTCCCCAGGTTTCCAAAAGCAGAGATAAGAGGGGTCCTTTACTCACCAGATTTGGAGCTTGGTTCTGTGGGTGAAGGCCAACTACTTGAAGGGTTTCCTAGAACATGGGACAGGAGAGATGTGAGGAAATGAGGGTGCTTGTCCTCTACTCAATGGAAATCTTTGAGGTTGGTTCATGGCCAACACTCTGTTATCTAATGTTGGACCCTGGGAGTCTTGGGATCCTCTTCTCCATAATTTTTGTGTGCGATGCCCACTGTCTTGAGACTTGAAGGTATAAAGAGAAAACAGGAGCATCACACTACCTGACTTAGAAATATGTTACAGAGCTGTAGTAAGCAAAACAGCATGACATTGGCATAAAGAAAGGCACATAAAAAATGAAACAGAATGGAGAACACAGATATAATCCATGCATTTACATCCAATGGCTTTTTTTGTGTGTGTGTGTGATAGAATCTTGCTCTGTCATGCAGGCTGGAGTGCAGAGGTGCAATCTCAGCTCAATGCAACCTCCACTTCCTGGATTCAAGCAATTCTCTTGCCTCAAACACCCGAGTAGTGGTATTACAGGCACTGGTCACCATGCTCAGCTAATTTTTGTATTTTTAGTAGAGACGAGGTTTCACTCTGTTGGCCAGCCTGGTCTTGAACTCCTGGCTTCAGGTGATCCACCCGCCTCGGCCTCCCAAAGTGCTGGAATTGCAGGTGTGAGCCACCATACCCAGCCCATTTAATGGACTTTGACAAAGGTGCCGAGAACTTACAATCAGGAAAGGACAGTCTTTTCAATAAATGGTGTGGGGAAAACTGGATATCTACATGCAGAGGAATAAAACTGCATCTATACCTGTCACCATACACAAAAATCAAATGAAAATGGATTAAAAACATGAGTCTAAGGCCTGAACCTATGAAACATGTAGAAGAAAATAATGGGGAAGACATTTGTCTGACGAAAGACATTTTGTTTAAAACCTTCAAAACACAAGTAATCAAAGCAAAAAATAGACCATTAGGATTACATCAAACCAAGCAACTTCTGCACCACAAAAGATAAACCAAGAAAGTGAAGAGACAACCGACAAAATAGGAGCAAATATTTGCAAACTATTCATCTGAGACGGGATTAATAACTGGAAATATAAGAAGCTCAAACAACTCAATAAAACAATTTAATTAAAAAACGAGCAAAAGACATGAGGAGACATTTCTCCACAAACAAAACATAGAAATGGCGATCACGTATATGAAAAAGTACTCGGCATCACTCATCATCAGAGAAATGTAAATTACAATCGCGATGAGTTTTCATCTCATCCCATTAAAATGCCTTTTAGGCCGGTGGCTCACGCCTGTAATTCCGGCACTTCAGGAGGCGGAGGTGGGCGGATCACCTGAGGTCGGGAGACCAGCCTGACCATCATGGAGAAACTCCCTCTCTACTAAACATACAAAAATTAGCTAGGCGTGGTGGCACATGCCTGTAATCCCAGCTACTTTGGAGGCTGAGGCAGGAGAATCAGTTGAACGCGGGAGGCGGAGGTTGCAGTGAGCTGAGATCACACCCTTGCACTCCAGCCTGGGAGACTATGAGTGAAACTCCATCTCAACATAAATAAATAAATAAAATAAAGTAAAGTAAAATGGCTTTTACTGCAAGACAGGCAAAACAAATGCTGGCAAGATGGTAGAGAAAGGAGAACCCTGGTACCCTGTTGGTAGGAATGTAAATTAGTACAACTATTATGGAGAAAAGTATGGAAATTCTTTAAAAAACTAAAAGGAGGCTGGGCATAGTGGCTTATGCCTGTAACTTCAGCACTTTGGGAAACCGAGGCAGGCACCTCACTTGAGGTCAGGAGTTTGAGAGCAGCCTGCCCAAAATTGGGATATCCCGTCTGTGCTAAAAAAATACAAAAATTAGCCAGGCATGGTGGCGTGCACCTGTAATCACAGCTACTAGGGAGGCTGAGTCAGGACAATCATTTGAACCTAGGAGGCACAGGTTGCAATGAGCCAAGATCTCACCACTTAGACTCCAGCTTGGACTAAGGAGGGAAACTCTTTCTCAAAAAAGAAAAAAAAAAAAAGAGAACTTTCATAGTGTCCAGCAATTTCACTACTGGGTTTATATCCAAAGGAAAGGACATCAGTGTATCGAAGTGATATCTGCACTCATATGACTGTTCCAGCACTGTTCACAGTAGCCAAGATGTGGAGTCAACCTACCTGCCCATCAGTGGGTGAATGGATAGAGAACTGTGGTACACACACACAGTGGAGACTACTCATCCATAGAAACAATAACATCCTGTCATTTGCAGCCACATGGATGGAACTGGAGGTCATTACAAAGATTCCCATTTCTCACCCACATGCAGGAGATAAAAGGTGGATCTCATGAAGGTGGAGAATACAATGGTGGACACCAGAGGCCAGGAAGGGAAGGGTGGAGGGTAACAAAAAAAAGAATATAGATGTATTTATTTATTTAGAAACAGAGTCTCTCTCTGTCTCCCAGGCTGCAGTGCAGTGGCATGATCTCGGCTCAGTGCAACCTCTGCCTCCTGGGTTTAAGTGCTTCTCCTGCCTCAGCCTCCCAAGTAGCTAGGACTACAGGTGCATGCCAGCATGCTCGGCTAATTTTTCTTGTCTGTTTAGTAAAGATGAATTTCCCACATGTTGGCCAGGGTGATCTCGAGTTCCTGATCTTAAATGATCCACCTTCCTTGGCCTCTCAAAGCGCCGAGATTACAACCGTGAACCACCACACCCAGCATATAAAGGTATTTATGACCACTAGATTTTACTTTTAAAAATGGTAAAGGTGGTAAATTATATAGTTACATTTAACCTCAATAAATATTTTTGAAAATGAAAAGAAAAGGGTGTAGGGGTTGCTGGTGATGATATCTCTCTGTGTGGGTGAGAGGCCATGATGGGCTTCTGGGAAATGGATAAGATTGAGGGGCTGAGGGAACCTCTGATCTCCCCAAACTAAGCCCAGTCTCCCCTTCTCTGGGTCTGTCCTGACCGCTTTCTCCATCTGCCTGGGTGCCTGGAGCCCTGATCGGAGGCCTCCATGCAGGCCATGAAGGAGGGTTTGGAGGTGCCCTGTCTGCCATCCTGCGCCCTGACTCCGCCCTCACACCTGCTGTGTCTTCTCTCTGCATCTGTCCATGCTTTTCTCCATCATCAGCAGGAAGCTCCTTAGCTAAGGATTTAGGATCATAGGACATGAGAGAGATATGGGCTTTTCTCACCTGTGACAGAAACAAGCAGTGGGTCACTCGGGTCTGACCACTCGTAGGGAGAGTGACGGAAAGAGCCGAAGCATCTGTAGGTCCCTCCGTGGGTGGCAGGGCCCAGAGGGAAATCTGCCTGGAATGTTCTGTTGACCTTGCGCACTGCAGGGAGCCTACGTTCATGGGCTCCCCCCTCCCTGGATAGATGGTACATGTCATAGGAGCTCCGGGAGCTACAGGACAAGGTCACGCTCTCTCCTGCCTGAACCTTGGGGCCCGGCTGGGCTGAGAGAGAAGGTTTCTCATATGGACCTGGAAGGAGAAGAGGCAGTTTCCTCAGGGAGGTTCTTCCTTGTCATAGCTCCCCTCATACCTGAGCTGAGAACTCACTCCCCTGCTCTATGACCTAATGCTCTCTCTCTCTCTCTCACCCTCCACCCCATCTCTCTTCATATCTGTTTCCTCCTTCTACCTTTTCTGTCTCTCTAGGTCTATGACCTCACTTCCCCACCCTGAGGTATGTTTTCCCTTTTTGGATTGTTTTATTCTCTCTGACCCTCCTTGGATTGGTTGACTTGATCTTCCTTTTTCTTTAATTTTGAGTCTCTCACTTTCTGTCTTGTTCATAACTTTCTGCACATTTCTATCTATTTATCTATTTTGTGTCTATCTACAAATTATCTATCATCTATATTTATGTATCACTTATCTATCTCTCTATCAATTGTCTGTCTGTCTATCTATCCATCAATCATCTATTATCTATATATGTATCATCTATCTCTCTCTCTATTACCTCTCTGTCTGCCTCTCTGTCTCTATTTATGTATCATCTATGTATATATCTATGTGTCTATCATCATCATCGTCATCTCTATGTATCATCTATCAGTCATCATCTATGTATCTATAACCAATCCATTATCTATCATCTACCTATTTATCATCTATCTACGTCTATCTATCCATCTATCATCTCTCTCTCTCCGTCTCCTTGTCTTTCTCTGCCTCTCAGTCTCTCTAGTTCTATTTGGAATCTCTGCAATCCATCCCCACATATTTATCTTTCTCTGTCTTTGTGTCCCTCCCTCAGGGTTCTGATTTTGGGGCTTTTCTCTCCTCCTTTCCATCATTCTCTCCATTCTGCCCTCTTTTCTTTCTTTTTATGTGTCTGTGAATCTCTTAATCTCCTTCTTCTGGCTCATTTTGTGTGTGTTTATGTCTTTGCTTTTTGGTGTCCCTGATTTTTCTCTGTGTCTCTCAGCGATCCTATCATATGTGGGATTATTTGGAATATGAGCCTCAGAATCCAGTCTGGGGACCCCAAGTTCACACAGCATACAGGGGTTGGTGTTCAGGGGCCATGATATCCTGGGATGATTACTCTCCATTGCATGGAAGGCAGAGGTGTCAGAATAAACACGGCATCTGTAGGTGGCACAAGGCCTGAGGCCACAGGGCCCAACTCAGGTCAGAAATATGGGTGTCCTTGGGTTCTTCTGGTAGGAACACTTTGTGGAGGTAAAACAGAAATGAAACTTCTAACCTGTGCCAGGTCTCTGAGCAAAGTCAGCATGGAAGGACACCTCTCTCTGGGACATGTCTGTCTGTCTGAGTGTCTCCTTTACCTCTTTCTCTCTTTTCTACCTCCCTGTATGGCCCCTGTGTCTGTCCTCTGTTATGACACCTGTTCTGTACTTATGTCTCCTGTTTCTCTGTCTCTGTTGGTACAGACCTCACCAAGTCACTCTCTTTCCATAAGAATCCCACACTTATCTTCCTCATGACCACCTGGGGGTTCCAAGTCCTGGATCATTCACTCTGTGTCCCAGTGACAATGAGAACAATGTCTAGACACTCTCACCTGTGACCACGATGTCCAGGGGATCACTGGGAGCTGACAACTGATAGGGGGTGTGAGTAACAGAACCGTAGCATCTGTAGGTCCCTGCAAGGGCAAGCATCATGGGACCGATGGAGAAATTGGCCTTGGAGACCCCATCATGGATCTGTCCAACGAGGCGTGAGGGGTCCTTAGAGATCCCCTCTTTGTGCAGAAAGAAGTGCTCAAACATGATATCTGACCAACATTGCAGGATGACTCTCTCTCCTGATTTCACCAGGGGACCTGGGTGGGCCAGGAGGGAAGGTTTTCTGTGGTTTCCTAGAAAGAGAAGTTGTGAGTTTAGAAGGCATCTCTCTTTATCATCCCATCCATGGCACCTGGAATGAGTGAGGGTTCCCCTCCCCGTGTCTGTCTCTCTCCTCCCTCTCTGCATCTCCGTGTCTTTTCTGTGCCCATATCCCCTGGTGCAGGTGCCTCCATCTGTCTTCCTCCCTCTTCTCTGTCCCTCTGTCTCCAGTAGCCCCTGACTCCCTTGCCACTGTGAAGACAGCCTCATCTCTTGGGCTGTTGTATCTGTTTCCCACTAATCTCTTTCCTGCTGTCTATGTGGGGGTGGAAGAGGACAGGCTGCATGTCCAGGCTCTTAGCAGCCTGAATCAATCTCTTTTGAACAAATCCCCAGTTCAAGTGATTCTCTTGCCTCAGCCTCCCCAGTCGTTGGATTACTCGTGCCCACCACCACATCTGGCTATCCTTGTTTGGTTTCCTAACTTGTCCTTGACCTGGGTTCCTGTGTTGGTTTCCTGTTGCTGCTGCAGAAAATTACCACAAACATGGCAGCGGGAGAGAACACACTGACCCCTTCCACTTCTGGAGACAGAAATTGGATCCAGTTCTCCCTGTGCTGAAATCAAGGTGTCTACAGGGCTGCGTTCCCTCTGGAGAATCAGCGAATCAGTTCTCTTGACTTCTCCAGCCCTTAGAGGCCACCTGCATTCTGTGACTAGTGGTCTTCCTCCACCTTCAAAGCCCGCAGTGGCTGATAGCGTCTCCCTCCCACTACACTGCTCTAATCCCCACTCCCCTCTTCCTCCACCTCTCATGTGGACCCTTGTGATTACACTGAGCCCAGTGGGACAGTCCAGGCTGTCTCCCCATCTCAAGGTCAACTCATCAACAACCTGAGCTCCACCTTCCCCTTCAGTCCCCTGCCCTGTAACATAAATAGTCACAGGCTCCAGGGATTACAATGTAGCCATCATTGGGGACAGTGATTCTTCCCACCACAGCACCCATTTCCCCTGTATTCAATCTCCCTTGACCCCAAATACAGTCAGGGCCTGGGTGATGGGACCCTGACGGACACCCCCACCAGAAGCTCTGGGATTCAGGAGGTGGGACAGTGAGAAGCCCAGACGGAAAGCCTCTGACCTGTGACCATGATCACCACGGGGTTGCTGGGTGCCGACCACCCAGTGGGGGAGTGTGGGTGTGAACCCCGACATGTGTAGTTCCCTGCATGTGCTGTGGTCACAGGGCTCATGTTGAAGCTCTCCTGGAATATTCTGCCATGGAAGATGGGAATGTGGATTCTGTCTTCTTTGTATAGCATGAAATTGTTAAACCTATGACGATAGTGACACCGAAGAGTCACGTGTCCTCCTCGAGGCACCACAGCGCTGGGCCAGGCAGACAGGAAGGGTTTGTCCTGACCACCTGGGGGAGAAGGAGGCACTGCCTTAGAGAGGAGGATGTGGAGCCGCCCCTCACTCCCAGTGCCCAGAAGATTCTCCCCATTTCCACTTTCTAAGGCTCCTACCACACCTGGGTGCCCAGGGCTACAGGAAGGACCCATCCTGCATAGACTTGGCGTCTCCCTACAACAAGTGTCAGCTGAGAACTTTGAGCAAGTTGCTGGAGAAGCAACTCTTACTAGATTTTAATACTGCAAAATTACTCATATAAAACAACACAAAGTAGACACGGCATGGAGGGCAAGTCCTATGTGAATGGAATATCAGCCAATTGATGAACTGAGCCCCCATCAGAGGATTTGGAATGTCAGGGCCATGGCTGTGGTTTCCTCACCTTTTCTGGTAGAAAGACCGCAGCCACACTGCAGCCCCTACCATCACGGAAACGCTGGAGGGTGTGAGTTACACCTTTGTCCTCAGAGGACCTGCTGTTCCTAGCACTGCTTCCCTCTCTTTCTCTGCTGCTGACACCACTTCCTCCCTGCACACCCATCTTGGAGCACCCTAGTCTCACCCCAGTCTTCACAGAGCTTGACTCAGGAAAGGGAATGAAAGGCCGGGGAAGGCAAGGTCAGAAATGTGGGCCGAGCATCCGAGGGTCCCCTCTTCCTAGTGTATGAGAGACTCCCCGACAGGACTTCCCTCCCATTTCAGGAAAATCCTCTTATGTGGGGAGATGACACCCTAAGGTTTGGGGAAGGACTCACCCATGTGTGGACCGGCCCTCTGGACCAAGAACAACCCTAGAAAGAAAGATCATGATGGACCATCCCTCTGCAGGCAAACCAGGGCACCCTGCTGCCCCCACTGGGCTGTGCGTCTTGGCAGCCAGGCCCTTGCTGGGCTGAAGGTAAACTCACCCTCGCTGCCTACCTGCCCCCAGGAACAAGGATCTCGGCTGTGCAGAGACTGAGCCTCCAGGCCCAGATCTCTACCTCCAGGCCTAGATCTACACAACAGGCCCAGATCTCCACTCCAGGTCCGTATCTCCACTCCAGGCCCATATCTCCTCTCCAGGCTGGTAAGTCCACTCCAGGCCCATATCTCCACTCCAGGCTCCTATCTCAACTCCAGGCTCATATATCCACTCCAGGCTCATATCTCCACTCCAGGCCCATATTTCCACTCCAGGCTTCTATCTCCTCTCCAGGCCCATATCTCCTTTCCAGGCTTGTATGTCTGCTCCAGGCCCGTATCTCCACCCCAGGCCCATATCTCCACTCCAGGATCATATCTCCACTCCAGGCCCAGATCTCCACTTCATGCCCTTAACTCCACCTCCGGGCCCATAACTCCACCTCTAGGCCCATATCTCCACTCCAGGCCCATATCTCCACTTCAGGCCCATATCTCTACTGCAGGCCCATAACTCCACCTCCAGGCCCATATCTCCACTCCAGGCCCATCGCTCCACTTCTAGGCCCATCACTCCACCTCTAGGCCCACATCTCCCCTCCAGGCCCATATCTCCCCTCCAGGCCCATCTCTCCACCCCAGGCACATATCTCCACCCCAGGCCCATATCTCCACTCCAGGCCCAGATCTCCACTCCAGGCACATATCTCCACCCCAGGCCCCTATCTCCACTCCAGGCCCAGATCTCCACTCCAGGCCCAGATCTCCACTTCAGGCCCATAACTCCACCTCTAGGCCCATAACTCCACCTCTAGGCCCATATCTTTACCTCCAGGTCCAGATCTCCATCCCCGCACTCCCTCCCTCGATTCCCTTCCAGGACTCACCAACACACGCCATGCTGACGACCATGAGCGACATGGTGCTGCCGGTGCAGACAGGCGGCTGCGCCCCAGCTCAGCTCAGCAGCGCACAGGATGTTATTTGGCGCCCTGCCCATGCAGTTTACATGTTGACCACATCATGGGAGGGTGACGTACGCAGGCTCTTTCTACCTTGCATGAGGCCCAGTGGGTGCTCGCTCAAGAGCGGAACATGGCTTCCTGGAAATTGCTCTCACTAGAATTGACACCTCGCGTCCTTCACTATGACCAACTCAAAACACGTCTCAGATCCAACCTCCCGAACACGAGATGCCTAAAATCTGTGCTAACATGAAAGACTTTTCATGTATTTTTATTGTTTTTATCTGAGATTCAAACTCTTCTTCCTGTGTAATATGCAAAATATCTAATAGGTATTATTAAGGTTTTCAGAGCAATTGTGACAATAAACCATTAGAATTTTTCATGATTGTATTTCTAGTATTACAGCAGAACCAGTTCAAATGATTTAAACTCCCAGGGAAGGATTATGCAATTATTTACAATCTTAGAATTGTACTTTATCAGCAAAAATCACAACATGTAAATTCTGGATTTTTGTAGATTTATCTAGAATTTGTCTCATGTCCCAAGATTCCAGAGTTCCAACTCATGGTTTGCTCTCTCTCTGTCTCTCTGCCTCCCTCATTTTAAATTTTACAGAAATATCCAGTAACATAATGCTATAGAAAATCAATTTCCCCAGCACTTTGGAAGCCGAGGTGAGTGATCAACCGAGGTCAGGAGTTTGAGACCAGCCTGGCCAATATAGTGAAACCATGTCTCTGCTAAAAATACAAAAATTAGCCATGCCTGGTAGCAGGCACTTGTAATGCCAGCTATTCAAGAGGCTGAGGCACGGAATCCCTTGAACCTGGGAGGCGGAAGTTGCAGTGAGCCGAGATCGTGCCACTGCACTCCAGCCTGGGCAACAGAGCGAGACTCTGCCTCAAGAAAAATAAAAAAAGCATAGCAAATAGCCTATAATAAATAACTAGAGGACTCCAGCTACCAAATTTTAGGGGTTGTATAAGGCTGCATAAAATGCAGCATTCTCAAGAGAGTGGACAGAGAGAGAGCCACTGAGCAGAAAACAGTGTCTAAAATACATCCGTGTACACACAGTCCCTTTATAGTTGACAAAGGCTGCCATGTGGTTTAAGGTGGAATAGAATGTCTTCTCAATAAATAACATGGGCCCAAGGGTTACACATAGAGAAAAATATATCTAAACGTATTCTCACACTATAAAACACTTGTTTATTTTATCTTGTTATTGTAATTTTTTTATGTTTTATATTTAAAATTGAGAAATAAAAATTATATACAGTCATCCCTCACTATTCGTGGGTGATTGGTTTCAGGATCTCCACTCAGATAGCACAATCTGCAGACGCTCAAGCCTCTTACATGAAATGGCACAGCATTTGCAAATAACCCATGCACATCCTCCTGTGTACATGAAATCATCCCTTGATTATTTATAATTCCTGATACAGCCTACACACAGCTTCATTTGTGTCCATTCAACATAGTTTTGCTTTTTGAAACTTTGTGGATTTTTTCTCTGAATATTTTTGATTTATATTTGGTTCAATAAACACCTGTAAATCCCACAGATACAGAGGACCGACTGTATATTTATAGTATGAAAGATGATGTGTTGATATGTGTCCCCGTGGAGATGAGACTAACAAGGCCTATGACTCTACAAATGTTTCATCATGGAATGACTCTGCCAGCTTTCCAGGTCTGCAGAGAGTAAGAATATCACTTGTTCATGTGATTCACGATCCTTGGAACCTCTTATGTGCTGCATCTTTGGATGGAAATTGGAGTCTCAGAGACAAATCAGGCTCCACCCTGCTTCCAGAAGCTCCAAGTCCAGGGGTGAGAACCCAGTGGAGAACAGTTGGAGTTATTTGGACATGGTAATGATAACACTGGAAACTTTCAGCCAAAAAAAGAGTCACCTAAAGAATGAAGGCAGACATGTTTATTTGAAGAGGAGAGAACTACACTGAAATCAAAAAAATTTTATAAGGTTTGCTGATGCCAGAAGGCTGAAAAATAGTCTGAGGAAAGGTGGAACAGCACGAGGGAAGGTGGAACAGCACGTGTCTAAGTGCCGTGTTAAGAGAGAGCCTCTTGTATGTTTGGAATTGTGAGTTCCTCAGTGTGATTGCAGCCTCAAGTAGACTAGGAAGTAAGCCAGTTAGGTTGGAGAGGTGGGCAGGGGTCAAGTGAAATAGAGAATTGTGGGCTAAGCAAAGGAGTGTGTTTTCTCTGCAGCAGGCAGTGGGGACCTTAGACATTGGTAAGCAAGAGACAGGCACCAGATTTGTGGTGTGAGGAAGAGTGATGCTCTAAGATGGAGACTCACGCCTTCAGATTCCAGCTGCTGGTACATTAGAGCTGGCAAGCTGGGTTTGAGACAGGGCTGTTGTCTCCCTAGAAGATCCCATCAAGGCCTGACTGTGGTGCTCATGGGCAGGAGACAACGCTCTGGGCTCAGCATTTGGAAGTTCTATACACACGCTGGTATCTGTTGAGGGTCTCTTGCTCCTCTGAGAAGGGCCAGTGATTTTTCTCTGTGTGAAAATGCAGTGATCCAACTGTGCGTATGTCACCTCCTGAGGGTCTTGTTCATCAGAGTCCTGGAGAGAGGGAAATCCTGAGTGAGGGAGGGTGTTCACATTTTTCAGGACTATTTCGGAATAAGACTGTATCCATGAGGCTGGGCTAGGAGGACCTACCTCCCTGTTCACTGTTCTGTGTCCCGCAGGCTCTTGGTTCATTACAGCAGCATCTGTAGGAGACGGAAGCAATCAAAACAGCTGGGAGGGCACTTCTGGGTCCTCATTTCATGAACAGATACCAACACACAGGGGGAGGCCATAGGTGCCTGAGGTCCCTCAGCTGCCAACAGCCAGACTCAGACATTCCATCTCTCTGAGTGCAAGACCCCATTCCATGAATAGCTGTCAGTTCCCATCCCATTGATTCTATCTCCCACTTTCTGCCTGTCATGGAATCTTCTCCTGGATGTGAGTGGCTGCAGGGGACGTGAGGATACAGTTCACAATCAGGCAACGGTCTGTGAGCTGAAGGCAGGGGCAGGGTGTCTGGTGCTCTCTCTAGAAAGCTCTGCCTCTGGCTCCTGCCTTGGGCCAGAGACTTTCCTGCCAGTGAGGAACACACACCTGCGTGCTCCCATCCTGCTTCCGCACAGGGCCCTGAGTTCTCTGGCCTCTGCTTCGTGAGGCTTACTTTTTTTTTGGAGCACCAGCGATGAAGGAGAAAGAAGGGAAGGATGGTAAAGAGGATGATGGCCACTGAGTACCTAATCACAGCATGCAGGTGTCTGGCGATACCTGGAGGAAGATGGGAATCCAATAAGAAGCTAACCATAGCAGTTCCTCTTTGTGGATTGTCTCTCATTTCTTGGTTGCCAGGCAACCACATAAAACACCTCTTTAAGACAAGCACCCACGAGGCGGGAGACCCAGCTTTCTCCTGCTTTCTCCGTTATAGTTTTCATAATAACAATAGAATGTGCTGATGATACAACTGCTATTGTTTCAATGTTTGACCCCTCCAAACCCCACTTTGAAATTTAATCCCCAGTGTGGGAGTTGTGCCTATTGGGAGGGGTGTTTTGGTCATGGGGGTGGATCCATCATGAATAGATTAATGCTGTCCCCAGAGGACGGGGTTAGCAAGTTCTCCCTCTATTAGTACCCTGGAGAGTTGATTCTTAAAAAGAGCTTGGAAGCTCCATCACACCCCCTTTCTCCCTCTCTTGCCATGTGATCTCTGTGGTCTCTGCACACGCAGGACCCCCTTCTCTTCTGTCAGTGTGGGAGCAGCCTGAGGCCGCAGCCAGAAATAGATGGTAGTGTCCTGCTTCTAGTACAGCGTGCAGATCAGTGAGCCAAACACATCTCTTTTCTTTAGAAGATACCCAGGCTCAAGTGTTCTTTTATAGCAACAAAAATAGGCTAAGACAGCAACATCCTGAGATCAGGAGGAACGTCTCAGAACAGCCTGGGCTGTCTTCCTGTTCTTCCTGGAGGAGAACATCATGCAGTGCTTTAGCTGAGTGTTCCCTGTGGCTCCAGGGTACAAAACCCAGGCTGGGCTGCTTTCTGGCTTCCCCCAGCTACAGTGCACATGAAGTGACTCCATGTGTCCTGAGCAGTTTTTCTGAGCCTTGAGGGACTGGCTCACCCTGAAAGGAAGGTTTCTGTTGTCACTCGCTGCTTATCTATAAGTAATGAACCTGCCTATGTAATGTATTCCCTGTGTGTTCTGTCTCCCTGGAGTGATGGTGAGTGATAGAAATTGGCACAGCCCCAGGTGCAGTATGGGAGGTGTTTAGAGTCTTCTCTGGGAAGACTGGACTGGGATTGATACACAGTGAATGTGCTTTACAGTTTCTACATCCACAACCCTCTTGACTCAAACAAATTACATTCTCCAAGAAAAGGAAAAAACAGTGACATTGAAATCAACATAAGTGAGGTTGAGCTGTCTTATATCAAACAGCCAGGAAATAATGATGAAGCTCGTGGGCAACATGCTACTTTTGTCATCTTGGGAGTCAGATATTAGGCTGCTGTTCCACCCGAGAGTCTGGGGGAAAGACCACCCCCTCCATCATCTGTTGCTTCAATACAGCCTGTCTTTCTGTGAATTACTCCAAAAGGTGACCAGGAGATAGTGCTGGCACTGGTCTCTGAGTCTACGATCTGAACTCCAAAGAATATTAGTTTTTACCTCCCCATGATCTATCTGTATCATTAATGTGATTGGAAGTAGGGGTGAGGTGGGGGATTTGGGTGAAGGGGCAAGTTTTGTGCCATGAACAGATCACGTTCTCTATTCCAGGACCTGTGCTGGTGGGTTTCACATTTTCCATATGATCTCATGCTCACAGAAAGCCAAATAAGGAAGATGTTTTCGCCTGATTTTCTTACGGATAGGATAAAGGATCAAAGAAGTCATTATAGAGAAATAGAAAAATGATGATTGGAATTGGTGTGCCTTTGTCATTCGTGTATGTTATATTATATTTATGTATTCTTTATTTTTATTTTTTGCCATGGAGTCTCACTCTGTCACCTAGGGTGCAGTGCAATGACGCGATCTTGGCTCACTGTAACCTCTCCCTCCCTGGTTGAAGCCATTCTCCTTCTTCAACTTCCCGAATAGCTGGTATTACAGGCACGCGCCACCACCCCCAGCTAGTTTTTGTATATTTAGTAGAGATGGGGTTTCACCATGTTGTCCAGGCTGATCTCGAACTCCTGATCTCACTTGATCCAGCCTCCTCAGCCTCCCAAAATGTTGGGTTACAGGTGTGAGCCACCGTTCAGAACCTTGTGTGTTATATTATAATAGGTCTCTTCCTTTGCACCACCCCTCATGTATCTCTCACTCCTCTGCCAAGTATTGATTTACATGTAGGAAAAATAAATCTCAGAAAGAAATCAATGAAGTGAAGATTAAACAATTAGGAAAAATCAAACCAGGCAAGCCCTCCCTGCAAATTACTCTACCTCACAAACACATCTTGTGTCCATCTTTCATTCATTTAGTGTCTAAATCAGCACCACATTTCACCAGGGGGGCGGGAATTGCCTTTTCCACAGTCTCCTAGATTCCAGTTATGCACCTGGGCCTCCCTTATTTTCATGTCAGTCACTATTCATCATGTAGGGATTCCCAGTTAGCCCCGAGGTAAGTCCAATGGCTGTGAGTATCAAACACACGCTCCTTGTTGCTCCTTAGTTTCCTGTGTACCCAGTGTGCTCTCTGTCTCTCCACAGTCGTCTTGTCATTCTCCCCATGTCATTCCCAGCATTTCAGGCAGAGCCTCTTCCTTCCACATAACATTGTTTTCACCTTTGTGCCTTCACGGCTGACAGCTGTGTGGAAAATCCTTCCGCCAATCTTCCAGGGGTTGATCTATTTTTTTCATTAAGGTCACAAGTATTATTTGATCAGTGAGAACTTCTCTGTCACCCGAAATTATACACTCAGCATTATCTATTATTTCTTTTAAAATACGGCTCGGCGCCTTGGCTCACGCCTCTAATCTCAGCACTTTGGGAGGCTGAGACGGGCGGATCCCTTAAGGTTGGGAGTTTGAGATAGCCTGGGCAACATGGTAAAACCTTGTCTGTACTAAAAAAAAATACCAAAAAAAAATTAGCCAGGCGTGGTGGGACATGGGTGTAATCCCAGCCTCTCGGGAAGCTGAGTGTAGAGAATCGCTTTAACCTGGGAGGTGGAGGTTGCGGTGAGCCGAGATCCCGCCACTGCACTCCAGCCTGGGGCACAGAGGGAGACACTGTCTCATAAAAACAACCAATCAATCAATCATTCTCATGCACAGATGCTTCCCAATGGATCATTCATTTATTGGTCCACTGGTGCATTCATTTTCTGCCCTCCCATTTAATCCTTTGCAATATCAGTGTCCAAGAGCAGAGGCCAAATGCACCTTGTTTACCATTTGTGGAAAGGATAAGAATGCCGCCCCACCCCAAAATATTCCTGTCCTAGTCGCCATATCTTGTGAATATGTTATTTTACATGGAAAAAAGGAATGCAGATTGCAGATGGAATTACGGTTGCTAATCAGCTAACCTTAAAAGGAGGGTATCCTAGATGATTTTAGGGAAATTATGATGGATTATCTTGGTGTTTCCAATAGAATGCCAAAGTCCTTAAAAGATGAGGAAGAAGGCAGAGCAGCATTCAGAGAAAGAGGTGTGGACAAGGAAGAAGGGTCTGAGTGATGCCGTGTGAGAGGCGTGACCAGCCTTTGTGGACTTTGAGGGAGGAAGACGGGGACCAGGAGCCAAGGAATGTGGGAGCCTCTAGGAGCTGGGAAAAGTGAGGAAGCAGATTCTTGCCTGGAACATTCAGAGGGAAGGCAGCCTTGCTGTCACCTTGATTTTAGCCCAGTGAGATGATGCATTTCATACTTCTGAGCTACAGCACCATGAGATATTTTTTAAAAATGTGGTTTCCATCCACGAAGCTTGTGGAAATTTGTTATGGCAACATAGGAAAAGGTTCCACACTGCACAGTCTGAGCATGGGGCAGTGGCTGAACGAGTAAGTGGAAGTGTCATGTGCACGGATGAACTACGTTCTCTCTTACCGCAAAGCTCTTGTTCCACTAAGTCAACCAGGGTTGGATCATGACAGACAGGAGCTCATTCCTTGGCAAGTAGAACTTCTCTACAAATACACCACCCTCAAAAATGTTCCCCTTCCTTCCCCTTCTCAAGCCCCCAGGCATTTGTCCTCCCAGTTAGGAATGCAGGCAGAACAAACACAGCATTTTTCCTGAGAAGAATGTCTGATTTGCACTCATCCTTCTACCCTGAGGTCTCAGCAGCAGAAAATTAGAGATTAAGAGATTTCACTGAGCCCTGTGCTGGGCCCAGATCCCTTTCGCTGTTGGAGTGTCTGGGGTTCAGAGACAATGGAAGACAGGCCCACAATCACAGAGCTGGCAGGTGCTGAGCCAACGCTTGAATCCAAGGCTTCTACCTCCCCAGGTTTCCAAAAGCAGAGATAAGAGGGGTCCTTCACTTACCAGTTTTGAAGCTTGGTTCAGTGGGTGAAGGCCAACTACTAGAAGGGTTTCCTAGAACACGGGACAGGAGAGAGGTGTGGCAATGAGGATGCCTGTCTTCTACTCAATGGAAATCTTTGAGGTTGGTTCATGGCCAACATTCTATTATCTAATGTTGGGCCCTGGGAGTCCTGGCATCCCATTCTCCATAATCATTGTAGGTGACACCAACTATCTTGAGACTTCAAGGTATAAGGAGAAAACAGGAGCATCACACTACCTGACTTAAAAATATGTTACAGAGCTGTAGTAAGCAAAACAACATGACATTGGCATAAAGAAAAGCACATAAAACAATGGAGCAGAATGAAGAACACGGATGTAATCCACCCATTTACATCCAATGGACTTTGACAAAGGTTCGAAGAATCTACAATCTGGAAAGGACAGTCATTTCAATAAATGGTGCAGGGAAAACTGGATATCTACATGCAGAGGGATGAAACTGCACCTCTACCTCTCACCATACACAAAAATCAGATGAAAATGGATTAATGACTTAAGACCTGAATCCATTAAATGTCTAAAAGGAAACACTGGAGAAATGCTCCAGGACATTTGTCTGAGGGAAGACATTTTGTTTAAAACCTCAAAAACACAAGTAATCACAACAACAACAAAAAAATAGACCATTGGGATTATATCAAATCAAGCAGCTTCTGCACCGCAAAGGAAGCAACCAATGAAGTGAAGAAGAGACAACCCACAGAATGGGAGCAAATATTTGCAAACTATGCATCTGAGATGGGATTAATAACTAGAATATAAAAGAAGCTCAAACACCTCAATAAAACTAATAATTTAATTATAAAATTAGTAAAAGACCTGAACAGACATTTCTCAATGAACAAAACATACAAATGAACATATATACATTGCATATATGAAAAAGTGCTCAGTATCACTAATCATCAGAGAAATGCAAATGAAGTCACAATGAGCTATCATCTCACCCCATTACAATGGGTTTTATCTCAGAGACAGACAAAACAAATGTTGGCAAGGTGGTGGAGAAAGGAGAACCCTAATACACTGTTGATAGGAATGTAAATTAATACAGCCATTACAGAGGAGAAGAATATGGAAGTTCCTTAAAAACTAAAAAGAGATTAGGCACTGTGTCTCACGCTTGTAATCCCAGCACCTTGGGAGGCTGAAGTGGGCAGATCACTGGAGGTCAAGAGTTCGAGACCAGCCTGGCTAACATGGTGAAACCCCGTCTCTACTAAAAATACAAAAATCAGCCAGGCGTGGTGGCGGGCACCAGTAATCCCAACTACTCGGGAGGCTGAGGCTGGAGAATCACTTGAATCCTGGAGGTAGAGGTTGCAGTGAGCCCAGGTGGTGCCATTGCACTCCAGCTTGGGCAACAAGAGTGAAACGCTATGTCAAAAAAACAAAAAGCATAAAACAAAACCTAAAAAGAGAACATCCAGAGGATCTAGCAATTCCACTAGTGGGTGTAAATGCAAAGAAAAGGACTTCAGTGTATTGAAGTGACATCTGCACTCCCATGACTGTTCCAGCACTGTTCACAGTAGCCAAGATGTGGAGTCAACCTACCTGCCCATCAGTGGATGAATGGATAGAGAGAAAGTAGTACATACACACAATGGAGACAACTCATCCATACAAAGAGTAACGTCCTGTCATTTGCAGCCACATGGATGGACTGGAGGTCATTACAAGGATTGCCATTTCTTACTCACATGCAGGATGTAAAAGGTGGACCTCATGAAGGTAGAGAGTAGAATGGTGGATACCAGAGGTTAGGAAGGAAGGGGTGGAGGGTAACAAAAGAAGAATATAAAAGTATTTATTTATTTATTTAGAGACAGAGTCTCTCTGTGTCACCAGGCTGCAGTGCAGTGGCATGATCTCAGCTCACTGCAACCTCCTCCTCCTGGGTTTAAGCCACTCTCCCGCCTCAGCCTCCCAAGTTGCTGGGATTATAGGCGCCTGGCACCATGCCTGGCTAATTTTATTTTTTTTGTCTTTTTAGTAAAGATTGGTTCCCCCATGTTGGCCAGGCTGGTCTCCAGCCCCTGATTTTAAATGATCCACCTGCCTTGGCGTCTCAAAATGCTGAGATTACAGGCATGAGCCACCGCACACAGCATATAAAGGTATTTATGATCCCTAGATTTTACACTTAAAAATGGTAAAGTTGATAAATTATATAGGTATATTTAACCTCAATCAGCATTTTTTCAAAGGAAAAGAAAAAGTGTAGGGGTTGCTGGTGATGACATCTCTGTGTAGGTGAGAGGCCAGGGTGGGCTTCTGGGAAATGGGTAAGGTTGAGGGGCTGAGGGAACCTCTGATCTCCCCAAACTGAGCCCAGTCTCCCTCCTCTGGGTCTGTCCTGACCACTTTCTCCATCTGCCTGGGTACCCGGAGCCCTTACTGCAAGCTTCCATGCAGGCCATGCAGGAGGGTTTGGAGGTGCCCTGTCTGCCATCCTGTGCCCTGATCCCACCCTCACACCATGCTGCATCTTCTCTCCACATCTGTCCATGCTTCTCTCCATCATCAGCAGGAAGCTCCTCAGCTAAGGCTCTAGGACCATAGGACATGGGACAGACATTGGCTTTCCTCACCTGTGACAGAAACAGGCAGTGGGTCACTCGGGTCTGACCACTCGTAGGGAGATCCATGGAAAGAGCCGAAGCATCTGTAGGTCTCTCCGTGGGTGGCAGGACCCAGAGGGAAGTCGGCCTGGAATGTTCCATTGATGCTGGGCACTGCAGGGAGCCTAAGTTCATGGGCTTCCCCCTCCCTGGATAGATGGTAGATGTCAAAGGAGCTCTGGGAGCTGCAGGACAAGGTCACGTTCTCTCCTGCGCGAACCGTGGGGCCCGGCCGGGCTGTAAGCGAAGGTTTCTCATATAGACCTGGAAGGAGAAGAGGCAGTTTCCTCAGGGAGGTTCTTCCTTGTCACAGCTCCCCTCCCACCTGAGCTGAGAACTCACTGCCCTGCTCTATGGCCTAGTGCTCTCTCTCTCTCTCTCACCCTCCACCCCCAACTCTTCCTGTCGATCCCTCCCTATGTGGTTCCAGCCTGGTGGTGGCATCAGCAGTGCACCCTTGCTGATCTCAGGGTAGCCAACCTTCTTGTTTGGTTTTTTAACTTGTCCTTCACCTGGGTTCCTGTGTTGGTTTCCTGTTGTTGCTGGAGAAAATTATCACAAACATGGCGGCAGGAGAGAACACACTGACCCCTTCCACTTCTGGAGACAGAAATCAGACCCTGTTCTTCCTGGGCTACAATCAAGGCATCTGCAGGGCTGCATTCCCTCTGGAGACTCGGGAGAATCAGTTCCATTGATTTCTCCAGCCCCTTCGTGGCTCGTGGTCTTCCTCCACCTTCAAAGCCCACAGTGGCTGGTGGAGTATCCCACGATGCTGCTCTAATCCCCATTCTCCTCTTCCTTCTCCACTCATATGGACCCTTGTGATTACACTGAGCCCAGTGGGAGAGTCCAGGCCATCTCCCCATCTCAAGGTCAACTCATCAACAACCTGAGCTCCATCTTCCCCTTCAGTCCCCTGCCCTATAACATAGTCACAGGCTCCAAGGATTACAATGTGGCCATCGATGGGGACAGTTATTCTTTCCAACACAGCACCCATTCCCCTGTATTCAATCCCCCTTTACCCCAAATATAGTTGGGGCCTGGATGATCGGACTCTGGTGGACACCCCCACCAGAAGCTCTGGGACTCAGGAGGTGGGACAAGGAGAAGCCCAGACAGGAGCCCTCTGACCTGTGACCATGATCACCAGGGGGTTGCTGGGTGCCGACCACTCAGTGGGGGAGTGCGGGTGAAAACCTCGACATCTGTAGGTCCCTGCGTGTGCTGGGGTCACAGGGCTAATGAGGAAACTGTTCCAGAATATTCTGTTGTAGAGCTCAGGGACAGGGACCCCATCTTTCTTGTACAGCGTGAAGATGTTAAACCCACGACGATAGTGACACCGAAGAGTCACGTGTCCTCCTTGAGGCACCACAGCGCTGGGCCAGGCAGAGCAGAAGGGCTTGTCCTGACCACCTTGGGGAGAAGGAGATGCCGCCTCAGAGAGGAGTATGTTGAGCTGCCCCTCCCTCCCTGTGCTCAGAAGATTCTCCCCATTTCTTCTTTCTAAGGCTCCTACCACACCTGGGTGCCTGGGGCTACAGGAAGGACCCATCCCGCATAGACGTGGCGTCTCCCTACAACAAAAGTGTCAGTTGAGAACTGAGCAGGTGCTGAGTAAGGGACTCTTACTAGATTTTAATACTGCAAGATTAGTTACACCAAAGAACACAAAGTAGACATGGGGTGGAGGGTATGACCTTTGTGAATGGAATATTAGCTAATGCCTGAACCACAATAAACAACTGAGCTCCATCAGAGGATTTGGAATGGCAGGGTCGTGGCTGTGGTTCCCCCACCTCTTCTGGCAGAATGACAGCAGCCACACTGCAGCCCCTACCGTCATGGAAACGCTGGAGGGTGTGAGTTACCCTCTTGTCCTCAGAGGACCTGCTGTTCCTAACACTGCTACCCTTCCCTCCTCTGTCGGTGACACCACATCCCCCCACACACCCCAGCTTTGAGCACCTCAGTATCCCGCCTGGGCCACACAGAGCTCAACTCAGCCATGGGGAAGAAAGGCTGGGGAGGGCTAAGACAAAACAGAGGGCTGAGCATACCAGGATCTCCTCTTACTAGTTCATGAGAGACTCCCAGGATCTCCTCTTACTAGTTCATGAGAGACTCCCAGGATCTCCTCTTACTAGTTCATGAGAGACTCCCCCCAGGCCTTCCCATGGTCAGCCCATCAGCCCACCCTCTGTGCTGCCTCCCTCCCATTTCTGGAAAATTCACTTGTATTGGGGTGAAGATGGCAACCCATCATTTGGGGAAGGACTCACCCACGTGTGCCCACACACTCTGGTCCAAGAAGAACCCTGCAAAGAAAGATCATGATGAACTATTCATCTCGGCAGCAACCTACCCTTTCCTCCTGAGCCACTGGGCGCCACGCTGGACTGAAAATTAACTCATCCTCACCACTCACTTGCTTCAGAACATGGCTCTCTGCTGGGGAGACACCCAATCTGCAGGCCCATAGTGTAACCCTGGTGCTCCTTCCCTTCCAGGACTCACCAAGACATGCCAGGATGATGACCGTGGGTGACATGGACATGGTGCAGCTTCTGCTGCCAGGACGCAGTGACTCGGCTCGACTGACCGGTGCAGAGGATGTGGTGAGGGGCCCGGATCGTGCAGTTGACACATTGACCACAACATGTGAAGGGGACATAGGTAGGCTTCTTCTACGTCATATGAGGTTCAAGTGGTGAATCAGTCAAGGGAGGAATGAGGGTTTCTGAAAACTGCAGACTAGACTTGTCACTTCACATCATGCGCAACGGCCAGGCTCAAAACACATCTCAGACTCACTTACCCCTGCACGGGACGATTGAATTCTGCACTCACATGAGGAAATTTGATGTATTTTTTTTTGTTTCTACCTGAGATTCAAACTCTCCTTGATATGTAATATGCAAAATACCTAATAGGTTTTATTAACACTATAGAGCAATCGTATTAAATAAATCATCATAATTTTCCATGGTTGTATTTTTCCTGTTAAGCCAGAAACAGATAAAATGATTTAAATCCCAGTAGAAAAGACTATATAGTTATTTCGCATCATAGAATTCCACCTTATTAGCAAAAACACAATATGTCAATTGAAGGTCTGGTCGTGTTATCTAGAATTTGTCTTATGACACAAGAGTCCAAATTCACAGTTCCCTGTCTCCCTTTTTGTCTCTCTGTAACGTGTGCTTTTTTTCTCCCTGTGTTGTTTGTGTGTCTTTCTTTCTCTCTCTCATTTGAGGAAAAAATATCAGACTGATAACATCCTCCAACTTGATACTGGAATATTGCAATAACTGAAGGTTGAAATCTACACATTTAATGTGCTGTCATTCTTACAAATGTCTCTTATTTACACCTATCTTTCTGGAGTTTGTAAGAACTTTTTCACTATGCATTTTAAATTTGTAAAACTCATAATTTTTAAAAAGGGATGGGTCTCACTGTTTGCCCAGGGTGGCCTTTACTCATTCTATAAGGCTGGCATCACCCTGATACTAAAGACAGAAAAGAACATTAAACAAAAGAAAACTACATGCCAATATTCCTGATGAACATAGAGGCAAAAATCCACAAAAAATACTAAGAACTGAATCCCGCAGCATATCAAAAAGTGAATCCACCATGATCAAGTCAACTTTATTCTTAGGGTGCAAGGTTGGTTGAACATACACAATCAATACATGTGATTCATCACCTAAACAAAACTAAAAACAAAAACCACATGATCTTCTCAACACACATGTAGAACATACTTTTTACTAAGCATTTCTTCATGTTAAAAGCCCTCAACAAGCTAAGCATTGAAGAAACATAACTCAATATAATAAGAGCCGCCTGTGACAAACCCACAACCAACATCATACTGAATGAGTAAAAGCTGGAAGAAGTTCCCTTCATAAGTGAAACAAGACAAGAATGCCCACTCTCACCATCCTATTCAACATAGTACTTGAAGTCCTAGACAGAGCCATCAGGAAAGAGAAAGAATTATAAGGCATCCAAGTAAGAAGAGAGTAGCAGAGAGAGGTAGTCAAATTACCTCTGTTTGAAGATGAGATAATTTCTATACCTAGAAACCCCATAGTCTCTGCCCAAAGGCTCCTACATCTGAGAAACAAACTTCAGCACAGTTTAAGGGCAGAAAGTCAATGTACAGGCTGGGTGTGGTGTCTCAGCCTGAAATCTAGCACTTTGGGAGGGCGAAGCGGGTGGATCACCTGAGGTCTGGAGTTCGAGACCAGCCTGGCCAACATGGCGAAACCCTGTCTCTACTAGAAACACAAATATAGCCGGACGGGGTGGTACGCAACTGTAGTCCCAGCTGCTTGGGAGGCTGAGTCAGGAGAACCGCTTGAACCTGGGAGGCAGAGGTTGCAGTGAGCGGAGATCACGCCATTGCACCTCAGCTTGGGCAACAACAGTGAAACTGCATCTCAAAAAAAAAACCAAAACAAATTTAATTAATGAGGAAAAGGGTATTTGTGGTGTCCATCATGATGTTTTCATATAGGTACACATTGTGGAATGGATGAAACAACCTCTTTATCATATTTATTTTTTCACATACTTGTATGTTTTGTGTGTGTGGTGAGAACATGTAAAATCTAATCTCTTAGTAATGTTCAATACACCATATGTTGCTATTAACTGGAGTCACCAAGACATACAATAGATCTCTTGAACCGATTTCTTCTAACTGAAATTTTGCATCCTTTGACCAACATCTCTTCAATCTCTCTCCATCCCAGGTTCTTTCGACGACCATTTTACTGTTCCTCTAGGTTCCACTTCTTACACTCCACACATGAGATCATGTGGCATTTGTCTTTCTGTGCCTGGATTGTTTCCCTTAACATAATGTCCTCTAAGTTTTTTCACATTGTCACAAATGAGAGGACTTCCTTCTTTGTTGTAAAGGTTGTATAGTACTTCATTACGTTCCTATCGTATACCACGTTTTCTTTGTCCATGCACCCATAGATGGGCAGTAAGGGTGATTCCACATCTTGGCTGTTATGAATAATGCGGCTGTAAACATGGGAATGCAGATATCTCTTCAACATACTGATTCCACTTCCTTTGGATACATGCGCAGTAGTTGGATTGCAGACACATATGGGAATTCTATGTTTAATTTTTTCAGGAACTTCCAGACTGTTTTCCATAATGGTTGTGCTAATTTACATTCCCATCAACTGCATACAAATGTTCCCTTTTCTCCACATCCTCGTTAACCCTTGTTATTTTTTATGTTTTTGATAATGGTCTTTTTTTTTTTTTTTTTTTTGAGACTCAGTCTTGCTCTGTCACCCAGGCTGGAGTGCAGTGGCACAATCTCGGTGTACTGCAACCTCTGCCTCCTGGGTTCAAGCGATTCCCCTGCCTCAGTCTCCAGAGTAGCTGGGACTACAAGTGTGCGCCACCAAACTCTGCTAATTTTTGTATTTTTAGTAGGGATGGGGTTTCACCATATTGGCCAGGCTGGTTTCGAACTGCTGACCTCAGGTAATCTCCCTGCCTCGGCCTCCCAAAGTGCCTGAATTACAGGCATGAGCCACCATGCCCAGACTGTTAATGGTCATTCTAAGAGGTGTGAGGTGATATCTCATTCTAGTTTTAATTTTTATTTAGCTGATGTTTAGTAATGCTAATCATTTTTTCATATACCTTTTGGTGATTTGTCTTATTCTTAGAAATGTTTATTCAGATACTTTGCCCATTTTTTTAAGTTGGGTTATTTGATTTCTTACCATTGAGTTGTTTGAGTTTCTTATATATTTTGGATATTAATTCCTTATTAGATGTATGGGTGCAAATATATTCTCCCATTCCATAGGTTGTCTTTCCACTTGTTGAGTTTTTTTTTTCTTTGCAGAAACTTTCAATTTGATATAATGTTATTTGTCTACTTTTGCTTTTGTTGCCTGGGCCTTTGGGTTAATATCCAAAATGGTTTTGCCCAAGCCAGTGGAGTTTTCCCTTGATTTCTTTTAGTAGTTTTTTTTTTTTTTTTAAGATGGAGTCTCACTGTGTTGCCCCGGCTGGAGTGCAGTGGTGCGATCTCGGCTCACTGCAACCTCTACCTCCTGGGTTCAAGTGATTCTCCTGTCTCAACCTCCCGAGTAGCTGAGATTACAGGCACCCACAACCACACCCAGCTGTTTTTGTATTTTTAGTAGAGGCGGGATTTCACCATGTTGGCCATGCTGGTCTTGGAATCCTGACCTTAGGTGATCTGCCCACCTTGGCCTCCCAAATTGCTGGGATTATAGTCTTTCATCTTACATTTAAGTCATTAATCTATCTTGAGTTGACTTTGTATGTTTTGTGAGGCAAATGTCCACTTCCATTCTTCTGCATGTGGACATGCAGTCTCCCAATCCCATTTATTAAAGAGACTGTTCCTTCTCCATTGTGTGTTCTTGACACATCCCAAAAATTGTTTGACCCTAAATGCATGCATTTTTTTCCTGGGCTATGAATCACTTCCATTGGTCTATGTGTCTGTTTTTATGCAAGTACTGTGTTGTTTTAATTACTGTAATTTTGTAATGTAGTTTGTGTTTAGGTAATGTGATGCTTCCAACTTTGTTCCTTTCCCTCTAGATGGCTTTGGTTATTTGAGATCTTTTGTGGTTCCACATGAATTTTAGGACTGTTTTTTCTATTTCTGTAAAAAAAATGTCATTGGATTTTTGATAATGGTTGCATTGAATCACTTTGGATAGAATGGACATTTTAACAACATTAATCCTTCTGATCCGTGAACATGGAATATCTTTCGATTTATTTGTTTATTTCTTGAGTTTTTTCATCAATGTTTTATAGCTTTTGCATACAGATCTTTCTACTCCTTGGGTGAATTTATTCCTGCATGTTTTGTTTTCTGTAGTTATTGCAAATGGGCTTATTTTCTTGTAAACTTTTTTGGATAGTTTGTTGTTAATGTATAGAAACTTTGTTGTTGTTGTTGTTGTTGTTTTGATGATACCCATCCTAAGGGGTATGAAATGGCATCTGGTGTAGTTTTAGTTAGTATTTCCCTAATGATTCGTGATGCTGAATATCTTTTCATGCGTATGTTCTTTGGAGAAATGTCTGTTTCAGTACTTTGCCCATTTTTGAATTGAGTTTATTGTGATTGAGTTTTAGGAGTTGTCTGTATATTCTGGATGTTAATCCCTTACAGGTGGTGTGGTTTGAAAACATTTTCTCCCATTCTGTGGGTTGTCTTTTTACTTTGATAATATCGTCTTAAAAGTTCTTTTTCCTTGCCATGTGAAGTAACTGATGTTGTCTTTTGAGTCACAATATTTCAAAATTTTCATAAAGTCTAACTTGTTTATTTTTTCTGTAGTAGCCTGTGCCGTTGTTGTCACATCTAAAGAATCACTGCCAAATCCGATGTTGTGAAGTTTTCCTTTGTGTTTTCTTCTAAGACTTTAATTAAATTTTATTTGTCAATATTTAGGACTGACAAAAGCTTTTTAACATTCCTGGCACCATCTCAGTTATTGATCTACTCCCAAGATGGATCATTTCAATTAAAACATGTAAAGCATGACCTCACCTGAATGTGTTTGAACTTGCTCTTCTCCCTTTCAAATCGACTCCCTCACTTACATAGTTTGTGTTCAAATGTCAACAAATAAAACATAAAAAGAAATCAATCTTTTCATAGACCCTTTATCTAAAATAGAATAGTAGGTGCCATGACATTTCATCCTTTCATCTTGAATTATTTACTTTTCTACATGAAACAATCCATTCTTCTGTGTGCATGTGTGTGTGTGTGTGTGTGTGTGTAGTTTATCTGTCTACATATAATGTAAACACCAAAAAATAACAGACATTTAGTAATTTTCAAATGAGACTTCAGGAATTAACAATGGCTTGCCATTTTTAGTGTGTTATTATTATTATATTTAGATGAACAGAATTGCCTCAGGAACATGGCCAGGGGCTCATAGTCCAGGAGAACTGTGGCCTGACTCAGGTACATTTTACCTGCAATAACAGCAATTGCAGGTCACTGGAGTCCATCACAATTGGCTGGAGACAAATGTAAGACAAGAATATTTGCAGTTTCCCCAGACTGACACAGTTGCAGGTTCCCCGAAGTAATGAGTCCTGAGACACCTCCAACAAGAGCTAGAAAAGGTATCACTTCAAGAGGAGTTGCAGCCTACTCATTTTAGACAAATGGAGCAAAATTACAGTATCACATCTTTTCCTTTCT
This sequence comes from Homo sapiens, assembly GCF_000001405.40. Taxonomy (NCBI): domain Eukaryota; kingdom Metazoa; phylum Chordata; class Mammalia; order Primates; family Hominidae; genus Homo; species Homo sapiens. The sequence goes on along the minus strand of NT_187693.1, from coordinate 780,520 downwards.
CCTTCATAGAATCTGGATGAACAGAACAGAAAGAGTTAATGGAATATAAGATTCCAATTCTCTGGCATGAGAAAATAGACAAGGAAAGGAAGATTCATCTTCATCACATCTCAGACATGCTTGGACACAGGGTCCAAGCACAAAAGAGAAACACATACTTCTTCCCATCCACACTGGGATCCAGGGTCTTCTCCCTCCTGTCAGGCCAGAACTGAGTCTCCACTCCCCAATTTAGTTCCCAGAGATGAAGCCCAATTTTCCTCTGTCTCAAGCTTTGAAGGCCAGCTTTAGCGTGTTCACCATGGATGAATGAAGGTGAGGTCAGAGGTTTGGGAAATGGTCAAGAATGAGGTGAGAAGAGAGCTGTGGAGGCATGGCCCCGGGGAGCTTGGTACCCCCCCATATCCAGAGCCTGTCTGGTCCAGGAGAGTTCCCAACCCTGTGAGCACCAACTCCGGATATTCTGGGCAGTGACCCGAGGGACAGCCTCTTATGAATACAGGCTGTTTTCCTCCAGTGTCTGCTGTGAAACCAGGATGTACAACATGGCCGTGTTCAACCCAACAATGGACTTAGGATTTTGCTGTACGCCAAAACTCAGTGTCCAACTTCCACTCTGTTTAGCTGGAAAAAGAAGGGGTTTGTTCCCATACATCTCACTCCTGTGTTCCTCTTTCAGTCTCAAAGCTCAGATGAAAACAATGAGTGTCACTTATTGTCAATCCTCTTCCCTGCCTTTTCCACACTCATCAGTATTACCGTTTACATTGAGACTAAAGATGGCCAATCACCACTTTTCTTCGGAAAAATCAACCTGATGTTGTACCTACTTTTTTAGAGGTGGAATCAACCTACCCTAAGATGCCAACTACATTTTACTGAATGGACTTTTGTGGATCCCCTCGATGTATATAGTGGCACCTTGAGGTATCATCCCTGTCTTTAGCAAATGAATATTATCCCAAGGACAATATTTCATCACAATTATTCGGGATGGACGAGTGGATATTGTGGTAGCAAGAACATTACTAAAAGTCACAGCTGATACAACACACTTGAAACCCATCTGGCCAATCTCCCACAGACAGAATGTCGCGCCATTCACTCCAGCCAGCTTCAGTCATGTTTCTTCCATTTCCACCTGTGGCCCCTCATGTCTCCACCAGGTCTTAGCCAGCATTGCCAAAAGAGCCAGGAAGACCAGACCAGCCACAACAATCCTGATGGAACTCTCCACAGTATAGTTCTGGAGAACAGGGGCTGGAGGGTGGGGGTAAGATCAGAGACCTTTCCATGTGGGCCAGGCCCCTCTCTCCCCAGAAGCTCTGAAATGGAGCTATTTCCCCATCTCACCTTCATAAAATTCTTCCTGTCCAGAACCCCTCTTCTCCCTATATCATCATGAGCACCTTCAGAAGTCTTTTGCCACAAAAAGAAATTTCTTTTGAAGATATACATTTTTTTGTACATTTCAAAAATGTTCCCAAACTAATTCTCCAAAGCAATAAATGTTTGTGTGTATTGCTGGGTAGGTTATGTATACAAGGAAAGGAAGCATAGTGAGTCTGATTTGGCAGAGGAAACATATGTGGAAATTATATCATTTACTCTCTTTACAAAATTAAGTACAAAATTGAAAACACTGGTAAGAAAGAATGAGCTATAGAGAAAGAAAACATCTGAGATGCTTGTTTCCAAGATGGCTGACTAAATGCTTTTCTGGCATGTCTCATCCACTTAGAAGAACGAGCAGAATCCAGAACAAAAACCATATGATCATCTCAATAGACATAAAGAAAAGCATCTGAAAAGAAATTCAACATCCTTACCTGATGAAAACCCTCAAAAACTTAGGCATAGAAAGAACATACCTCAAAATAATAAAAGCCATAGATGACATATCTAGAGTCAACATCATACTGAACAGGAAAAGTTAAAAGCACTCCTCTGAGAACTGGCACAAGACAAGGACACGGACATCCACCACTTCCTATCAACATAGTACTGGAAGCCTTGTCAGAGCTATTGGGCAACAGGAAGAATTAAAAATCCAAATTAGAAAAGAGGAAGTAAAATTATTTTTATTTCTGATGCTATGATCTTAAATCTAGAAAATCCTAAAGACCCTGCCAAAAATTCTTATGATTGATAAATGAACTAAGTAAAGTTTCAGAATACAAAATCAATATGTAAAAGCCGGTAGCATTTCTCTACACCTATAATGATCTAGCTGAGAACCAAATCAAGAAGGCAATGCCGTTTACAATAGATACGCAAAATTAAAACACTCAGGAATACATTTAACCAAGGTGGTGAAAGATCTGTACCAGGAAAGGTGTAAGACACCAATGAAAGCAATTATAGATAATACAAAAAAAAAAAAAAGAAAAAAAATCCCACGCTCATGGATCATAAGAATTAATATTGTTAAAATGACCATACTGCCTAAAGCAATCTACAGATTCAGTGCAATTCTTATATGAAAATAGTAACACCAGTTTTCACAGAATTAGAAAAAGCAATCCTAAAATTCATACAGAACCAAAAAAGATCCTAATAGAGAAAGCAATTCTAGGTGAATGTAGAAACCTGGAGGCATCACGCTATCTGACTTCAAACTATGCTCTAAGGCTATAGTAACTTAAATAGCACAGTGCTGGTATAGACACAGAAACAGAGATCAATAGACCAGAATAGAGAGCCCAGAAATACAGCCTCATATCTACAGTGAATAATCATTGACGACGTTAACAAAACATACACTGGAGAAAGATTTCCTTTTCAATAAAAGGTGCTGGGAAAACTAAATAGCCATATGCAGAAGAATAAAACTGGACCTGTATCTGTAATCATACACATAAATTAACTTAAGGTAATTAGCAGCTTAAATGTAAATCCAGAACTATAAAATCACCGGTGGAAACCCAAAGAGAAACTCTTCTGGGCATTGGTCTGGGCAAAGAATTCATCACTAAGACCTCAAAAGCACAGGCAATAAAAATAAAACTAGACCAATGGGACTTAATAAACGAAAGAGCTTCTGCCAAGCAAAGGAAATAGTAGCAGGGTGAACAGACAACCCACAGAATGAATGGAAATGTTTGCAAACTATGCACCCAACAGAGGACTAACATCCAGAATTTCTAGGCAACTCAAACAACTAAACATAACCCCTCAAATAATAGCATTAAAAAGTGGGCAAAGGGATATACATAGACATTTTTCAAAAGAAGACATACGAATGGCCAAACAGCGTATGAACATCACTAATCATCAGAGAAATGCAAATTGAAACCACAATGAGATATCATCTTACAGTAGTCAGAATGGCTATTACTAAAAATGCTGGTGGGGAGTGGTGGCTCACGCTTGTAATCCCAGCACTTTGGGAAGCTGAGGCGGGTGGATCATGAGGTCAGGAGTTTGAGACCAGCCTGACCAACATAGTGAAACCCCATCTCTACTAAATATACAAAAGATTAGCTGGGCATGGTGGTGTGGTTCTGTAATCCCAGCTACTCAGGAGGCTGAGGCAGGAGAATCATTTGAACCTGGTTGGTGGAGGTTGCAGCGCGTGGAGATGGCGGCACTGCACTCCAGCCTGGGTGACAGTGGAAGACTCCATCTCAAAAAGAAAAAAAGAAAAAGTGAAACATATAACAGGTGTTGGCAAGGATGCAGAGAAAAGGAAACTCTTATACACTGTTGGCCGGTATGTAAATTAGTATAGCCTCTATGGAAGACAGTATGGAAATTTGGCAGAGAACCAAAAATAGAAGCACCATTCGATCTAGGGGTCCCGCTGCTGGGTATCTACTCAAAAAATACCTGCACCTGTATGTTTATTGCAGCACTGTTTGCAATAGCAAAGATATGAAATCAATCTAAGTGTCTGTGAATGAATGATTGGATTAAAAAAAGGATGCGTGTATACACAACGAAATACTATTTGGTCATAAAAATAAAACCATGTCTTTTGCAGCAACATAGATGGAGCTGGACGCCATTATTTTACATAAAACCACTCAGAAAGACAAATACCACATCTTCTCACTCTACATGGGAGGGGAGTAATGTGTACATATGGACGTAGAGTGTGGAATGACGGACAGCGGAGGCTAGAAGGCTGGAGGGTGGCGGGACGTGGGTGAGTGATGAGAATTTGCTTAATGAGTACAATGTACGGTATTTGGGTGATGGATATAGTAAAAGTCCTGACTTCACTACTCTGCAACATACTCATGTCACAAAATTACAAGTGTACCTCATAAATTTATACTAATAGAAAAGAAAGTCTGTACACAGTAATCAATTGTGATATGTAGATAAAGTCAATATTAAATTTAAACCAGAATAACTAGTTAAAATGTTGTGTACACAACAGTGAAGAGAGTATTTATCCTCTATGACAGAGGAAACCATCAATATTAATGCACAGAAAAAGCAAATAACTGAAACAAGAAAGAGCAGTTTTGTGACAGGGTAAAAATTGACAACAGTTTTAGAATGCTCCTAACTTGAGTTCCAAAAAGAAAGAACGAGAAAACAGGTCAGAAGCAATCTTTAAAGAGGCAATTGTTGATTATTTGGAGGAAGTAGACACATCCATCAATCCACAGGTTCAAGAAATCCAGTGAATGCCAGGCAGAATGAAGTAAACACACCTCACGTTCAACATTACAGAAAAGCAGCATAAAAGCACAACCAACCCTTAAAATTAGCCAGAGGAAAAGGATCAGCTGGTAAGGATTTATAGGGAGCCAAGCATTGTCTTCCCCACAGAAAAAAGGAAAACATAAGCCAGTAGAATAGCATCTTTACCCAGCTAAGATACCGTCGCCAGCCACCGACAATTCCTTACATAGTACAGTTACTGTCCAAGATCAACGCAGGAAAGAAACAGAACTGAAAGACAAAAGGGCAAAGAAAGCTTTTCTCACTGACCCTAAAGGAAATTCTGATGACCGTGCCTCAAAGATAAAGAAAGTGAAACCAGATGGGGTGTCGAAGATTCTGACAATAACTAAGAGCAGAGGAAGAACTAAAAATATGGCTATGCCAAAAATGAATATGGACCATACGATAGTGTATGAAAACACGCCCCTGTGTAATTTCTGAAAAAGATAGAATTATGTATACCACAAAACAAAACATCATATAAGTAAATACAAACATATGTACTAAATATGCTCTAAAATCCTGTTCTTACACAGGAAGAGTGGAAATATGTTTTTATATTTGCAGTTTAATCTCTGAAATGATTAATTTCAATTTTAAAAATATGTAACAACTTCAGGATGAGTACACCATATATGTATTCCTAAACGACATAGATCAAAAATAGAATGTTTGAAATAGAAAACCACAGAAGTCAGTGGGAAAAAAAGGGAATCAGGAAAACACAACGTAATAATAACAAAAATATGATTGGAAGAACTGCTCAAACATGAACAAAAGATTGTCAGAAAGTCTTACTTTCTAAGGCGAATTGTTTGAAATTTACAAAGGACACATCTCAATGTTAACAATTCATGGAGTTTGAAATTAAACAATGTAGAAATATACCAAGCAATCACTGTTAGAAATGTGGTATAACTATATTAAAATTAGACAAAATTAGTCTTTGGGAAAAATCAGCGGAAAACATTAAGCATAAAATGTAGGAAAAAAGCAGGTAAATTTATAGCATTTTAAATTTACCAGGAATATATAATCAGTTTACACTTAACCACTCCCAGTAATATTCCTGCAAATATACATGGAGGAAGAGTCGCGGAAATAAATGGACAGGTAGGCAAATCCACGGCCACAGTGGGGTGTTTAACACTCCTCTTTTCTCAGTTGTTGATAGAAGTGGTTCAGGCAATTAGAGAGGATTTAGAAAGATAATTGCTGGACCTGACCCAAGGTATAAGTCCACTCCCAACCACAGGACTCACTTTCCTTACAAGCACAAGGGCATTTAGAAATCTCTCTGGATTCTGACCAGCCCTCACCATATGGCAGGTCCATGGACTTCTTGGAACACACCAAGCTCATTCTCACATTAGGGTCATCCCCAATGTCCTAAGTCCATGAAAGTTCCTTTCAACACACTCCCCAGGGCTCACTCCCTCTTGTCTCTAAGATCGGAGTTTAAATGTGATCTCTCTGATGAGGTCTCAGTGAGACGTTCCCTCCTGTACACTCCAAATGACAACGTTCCACGTTCATTCATTTCATTCTGTGCATGGCACTTTCACCAAGTGCTAAGGATTCACTCACTAATTCATACATTCATTCATTCATTCATTCACTCATTCCATCATTCACTCATTCATTCATTCTCTCATTCATTCATTCATGTTCTGCCTCTCTCTCCCACCCCACAGCAATGTGAGCATCATGAACCCAGGAGCTTGGCCGTGCTGTCTACTCCTGGCCGTGAAACAGAGAGAACTGATGGTAGGTGTGAAATAAATATTAGATGAATGAGTTAGTGAAGGGGTCATTTACTGGGTGAGCTCAGTTCTCTCTACTCTAATGCCCTCCCTCGGCTGACTTCCCTGAGTTGCCCCCTCGGCTGAGTGAAGTCCCTTCACTGGCAAATGGAACCTCAACCAGTAGCACCTAGGTGGTCTCATACTTTGTTCTTTCCCTCTCCTCTTGCTCCCTAAGGATTATCAATCTCCATGACAGGGCTGGAGAGCAGACAAGCCACACATTCTTTCTGGGGAGAGAGTAACATGGAGTACAAGGCATTCCACATTTAGGAAGAGAACTCAGTTATGGAAGGTCAGAAATGAAAAGTTCCTACAGACCAACACCCAGGTTGGTGGCCACAGCCCTAAATGCTGATGGAGAATCACTGCAAGTCTGTAGGGAAGATGTCTGGCTTGAGGCCACTGAGCGAAGTGGCAGATCCTTCTCAGCCTTCAGTGCTGAGCCTCTGTCCCCTCAGGGATCCACTGACCAATGAGAAGAGCCTCTTCTCATCTCCTGGGATGGAGCTTGGGGCCCCTGGCGAAGGAATGGGCCTGTTTCCACCTGTCATGTTGTCATCTAGCTTGGAAATCCTGCGAGTCCCAGGGAGGCCCTCCCCGAGTCCCCAGAGAAGACTCCCCCACTGAGTCTCCAAGGTGTGGAGAGAGCAAAAAACATCTAGGGTGGAAAATGCCTCCCATCAAGAGACATTGGGGCTCCCCCAACGATGGTTGCATCTGTGCCCCCCATGTGGAAATCACTCTTTGGTGAGAGGTGGGGGCTTCTGGAAATGGGCAATGGCGGGCGGCCAATGCTACCTCTAGTCTTTCCAATCTGAGCCCGGCCTTTCATGCTCCTGAGTCAGCATTGATGCTGTTTACATGTGTCCCAGGTGGGCTTCTGTACAAAGACTGGGAAGTGGTTTATGTGGCCTGTGCTCTATCTGCAAGCTTCAGGTAGGGTTGCAGTTACCACCCCAAACCCTAATGTGATCTGTCTGCCTCGCTCTGTCTGTCTGTCTATGCCTCTTTCTGTATGTTTGCTTTGTGTCTCTTCTGTCCAGCATCTCTGGCTGACACCCCCATGGCCACCCCCTCCATCTGAGGCTCCCCTGAATGTGGCCATTGTAGTCCATCTGAGTCCCACTATTTGGGGAACAGACTGGTTTCCTCACCTGTGACAGAAACAAGCAGTGGGTCACTAAGGTCTGACCACTCGTAGGGAGAGTCACGGAAAGAGCCGAAGCATCTGTAGGTCCCTCCGTGGGTGGCAGGGCCCAGAGGAAAGTTGGCCTGGAAGGTTCCATTGACCTTGGGCACTGCAGGGAACCTAAGTTCATGAGCCTCCCCCTCCCTTGATAGATGGTAGATGTCATAGGAGCTCCGGGAGCTGCAGGACAAGGTCACGCTCTCTCCTGCCTTAACCATGGGGCGCGGCTGGGCTGAGAGAGAAGGTTTCCCACATAGACCTGGAAGGAGAAGAGGCAGTTTCCTCAGGGAGGTTCTTCCTTGTCACAACTCCCCTCCCACCTGAGCTGAGAACTCACTCCCCTGCTCTATGGCCTAATGCTCTCTCTCTCTGTCTCACCCTCCACACCATCTCTCTTTATGTCTATTTCCTCTTTCCACCTTCTCTGTCTCTCTAGGTCTCTGACCTCACTTTCTCACCTCTAGATATGTTTTCCCTTTTTGGATTGTTTTATTCTCTCTGACTCTCCTTGGACTAGTTGACTTGATGTTACTTTTTTTAAATTCTGAGTTTCTCACTTTGTGTCCTGTTCATAACTTTCTGCATATTTCTATCTATTATCTATCGATATATCTATTTATCTATTTGGTGCCTATCTACAAATTCTCTACCTGTCATCTATATCTATATATAATCTATTTATCTATCAATTGTCTATCCAAAAATCATCTATTATCTATATCTATGTATCGTCTCTCTCTCTCTATGATTTCTCTTTGTCTGCCTCTCTATCTCTATGTATTATCTATCTATCTTCATCTTCATCATCTCTATGTATCATCGATTAATCAATGAATGAATCAATCATCATCTATGTATCTATAACCTATTATCTATCATCTACCTATTTATCATCTATCTATATCTATCCATCTATCATCTGTCTTGCTCTGCCTCTCGGTCTCTCTAGTTCTCTTTGGAATCTCTGCAATTCATCCCCACATCTCCATCTTTCTATGTCCTTGTGTCTCTCCCTCAGGACTCTAATTTTAGTGCTTTTCTCTGTTCCCTTCCATTGTTCTCTCCACTTCTCTGCCCTCTTTTCTCCCTCTTTATGTGTCTGTGAGTCTCTCAATCTCCTTCCTCTGGCTCATTCTCTGTGTGTTTATGTCTTTGCTTTTTGGTGTCCCTGATTTCTCTCTGTGTCTCTCAGTGATCCTCTCATATGTGGGGTTATTTGGAATGTGAGCCTCAGAATCCAGTCTGGGGACCGCAAGTTCACACAGTATACAGGGGTTGATGTTCTGGGGCCATGATATCCTGGGACGATTACTCTCCATTGCATGGAAGGCAGAGGTGTCAGAATAAACACGGCATCTGTAGGTGCCAGAAGGCCTGAGGCCACAGGGCCCAACTCAGGCCAGAAATATGGGTGTCCTTGGGTTCTTCTGGTAGAGAACACTTTGTGGAAGTAAAACAGAAATGAAACTTCTAACCTGTGCCAGGTCTCTGAGCAAAGTCAGCATGGAAGGACACCTCTCTCTGGCACATGTCTGTCTGTGTCTCCTTTAACTCTTTCTGTCTTTTCTAACTCCCTGTATGGCCCCTGTGTCTGTCCTCTGTTATGACACCTGGTCTGTACTTGTGTCTCCTGTTTCTCTGTCTCTGTTGGTACAGACCTCACCAAGTTAGTCTCTCTCCATAAGAATACCAAGCTCATCTTCCTTATAACCACCTGGGCCTCCAAGTCGTGGATCATTCACTCTGTGTCCCAGTGACAATGAGAATAATGTCCAGACACTCTCACCTGTAATCACGATGTCCAGAGGGTCACTGGGAGCTGACAACTGATAGGGGGAATGAGGAACAGAACCGTAGCATCTGTAGGTCCCTGCAAGGTCTTGCGTCATGCGACCGATGGAGAAGTTGGCCTTGGAGACCCCATCATGGAGCTCTCCAGTGAGGCGCAAAGTGTCATTAAACTTCCCCTCTCTGTGCAGAAGGAAGTGCTCAAACATGACATCTGACCAACATTGCAGGATGACTGTCTCTTCTGATTTCACCAGGGGACCTGGGTGGGCCAGGAGGGAAGGTTTTCTGTGGACTCCTAGGAAGAGAGGTTGTGACTTTAGAAGGCATCTCTCTTTATCATCCCATCCATGGCACCTAGAATGAGTGAGGCTTCCCCTCGCTGGTGTCTTATCTCTCTCCTTCCTCTCTGTGTCTTCATGTTCTTTTCTGTGCCCATAACTCCTGGTACAGGTCCTTCCATCTGTCTCCCTCCCTCTTCTCTGTCCCTCTGTCTCTAGTAGCTCCTGATTCCCTTGCCGCTGGGCTCAGCCTCATCTCTTGGGCTGTTGTATCTATTTCGAACTAATGTCTTTCCTGCTTCTATGTGGGGGTGGAAGAGGAACCAGGATAGGCTGCACGTCCAGGCTCTTAGCAGACTGGTTCAATCTCTTTTGGACGAATTGGAATCCTTGGCAGAAGGTATGAACTGATCAGTAAGGCAGGCACCAGTGTCCACACACCCTGTTCCTGGTGGGGACTGGGAGCCACTCTTGCCATGCCTGTGCCTTCTCCATGGTGCCAGCTTCCATAGGCTGGCTTCTGGTGCTGGTTTGAGGAGTATCAACCCCTCCCTATGTGGATGGAGCCTGGTGGTGGCATCATCATCCCACCCTTGCTGATCTCGGTGTAGCCAACCTTCTCTTTGTTTGGTTTCTTTAATTAATAAATTAATTTTGGAGTCAGAGTCTCACTCCTTCACCCAGGCTGGAGTGAAGTGGTGTGGTCTAGGCTCACTGCAACCTCTGTCTCCTGGGTTCAAGTGATTCTCCTGCCCTCAGCCTCCTGAGTTGCTAGGATTACATGCACCTGCCACCACGCCCGGCTATCCTTGTGTCCTTTCTTATCTTGTCCTTGACCTGGGTTCCAGTGTTGGTTTCCTGTTGGTGCTGTGGAAAATTATCAGAAGCATGGCAGCAGGAGAGAGCACACTGACCCCTTCCGTTTCTGGAGACAGAAATCGGACCCTGTTTTTTGAGGGCTAAAATCAAGGCATCTGCAGGGCTGCGTTCCCTCTGGAGACCCAGGAGAATCAGTTCCTTGACTTTTCCAGCCTCTATAGGCCACCTGCATTCATGGCTCATGGCCTTCCTCCACCTTCAAAGCTGATGGAGACTTCCATTGCACTGCTCTAATCGCCACTCCCCTCTTCCTTCTCCTCTCATGTGCACCCTTGTGATTACACTGAGCCCAGCAGGACAGTCCAGGCTGTCTCCCCATCTCAAGGTCAACTCAACAACCTGAGCTCCATCTTCCCCTTCAGTGCCTTCCCCTATAACATAAATAGTCACAGACTGCAGGGATTAGAATGCAGTCATCATTGGGGACAATTATTCTTTCCACCACAGCACCCATTTCCCTGTATTCAATCCCCTTTTACCCCAAATACAGTTAGGGTCTGGATGATGGGACGCTGGTGGACACTCCCACCAGAAGCTCTGGGACTCAGGAGGTGGGACAAGGAGAATCCCAGACAGGAGCCCTCTGACCTGTGACCATGATCACCAGGGGGTTGCTGGGTGCTGACCACCCAGTGAGGAAGTGTGGGTGTGAACCCCGACATCTGTAGGTCCCTGCATGTGCTGGGGTCACAGGGCCTATGAAAACGGTGTTTCGGAATACTCTGTTGTAGAGCTCAGGGACAGGCATCCCGTCTTCTTTGGACAGACTGAATTCGTTAAACCCAAGACGAGAGCGACACTGAAGAGCCACATGTTCTCCTTCAGACACCACAGGGCTGGGCCAGGCAGAGAGGAAGGGCTTGTCCTGACCACCTGGGGGAGAAGGAGGCGCCACCTTAGAGAGGAGGATGTGGCACTCCCTCCCTCTATTCCTTTCCAGGACTCACCAACACACGCCATGCTGACGACCATGAGCGACATGGTGCTGCCGGTGCAGACAGGCGGCCGCGCCCCAGCTCAGCTCAGCAGCGCACAGGATGTTATTTGGCGCCCTGCCCATGCAGCTTACATGTTGACTACATCATGGGAGGGTGACGTACGCAGGCTCTTTCTACCTTGCATGAGGCCCAGTGGATGCTTGCTCAAGAGCGGAACACGGCTTCCTGGAAATTGTTCTCACTAGAATTGGCACCTCACGTCCTTCACTATGACCAACTCACAACACGTCTCAGATCCAACCTCCCGAACACAAGATGCCTAAAATCTGTGCTAACGTGAAAGACTTTTCATGTATTTTTATCCGAACACGAGATGCCTAAAATCTGTGCTAACATGAAAGACTTTTCATGTATTTTTTTTGTTTTTATCTGAGATTCAAACTCTTCTTCCTGTGTAATATGCAAAGTATCTAATAGGTATTATTAATGTTTTCGGAGTCATTGTGACTAATAAACCATTAGAATTTTTCATGCTTGTATTTCTAGTATTACAGCAGAACCAGCTAAAATGATTTAAATTCCCAGGGAAGGATTATGCAATTATTTACAATCTTAGAATTGTACTTTATCAGCAAAAACCACACCTGTAAATTCTGGAGTTTTGTAGTTTAATCTAAAATTTGTCTCATGACCCAAGATTCCAGAGTCCCAACTCTGGAGTTTGCTCTCTGTCTGTCTCTCTCCCTCCCTCGTTTTAAATTTTACAGAAATATCCAGTAACATAATGCTATAGAAAATCAAGTTTTCCCCAGCACGTTGGGAAGCCGAGGTGGGCGGATCAACTGAGATAAGGAGTTTGAGAGCAGCCTGGCCAATATAGTGAAACCGTGTCTCTGTTAAAAATCCAAAAATTAGCCGTGCCTGGTGGCAGGCACCTGTAACGCCAGCTACTCAAGAGGCTGAGGCACGAGAATCGCTTGAACCTGGGAGGCGGAGGTTGCAGTGAGCTGAGATTGTGCCACTGCAGTCCAGCCTGGGCGACAGAGCAAGACTCCGCCTCAAGAAAAAAAAAGCAAACAGCCTATAATAACAAATTAGAGGGCTCTGGCTACTAAATTTAAAGGGTTCTATAAGGCTACATAAAGTGCAGCATCATCAAGAGTGTGGACACAGAGAGCCCCTTAGCAGAAACAGTGTCTAAAATACATCCATGTACACACAGTCCCTTTAGAGTTGACAAAGGCTGCCGTGTGGTTTAAGGTGGCATAGAATGTCTTCTCAATAAATAATATTAAACCAATTGGTTACACCTAGGAAAAAATAAATCTAACTCACACTATAAAAACACTTCTTAGTTTTTATCTAGTTGTACATTTTTTATGATTTATATTTAAATTTGAGAAATAAAAGTCATATACGGTCATCCTTCACTATTCGTGGGTGATTGGTTTTGAGATCTCCACTCAGATACCAAAATCTGTAGATGCTCAAGCCTCTTATATGAAATGGCACAGCGTTTGCAAATAACCTATGCACATCCTCCTGTATACATGAAATCATCTCTAGATTACTTATAATTCCTGATACAGCCTACACACAGCTTCATTTGTGTCCATTCAACATAGTTATGCTTTTTGAAACTCTGTGGATACTTTCTCTCAATATTTTTGATTTATACTTGGTTCAATAAACACCTGTAAACCCCGCAGATATGGAGGAGTGACCGTATATTTATATTATGAAAGATGATGTGTTGATATGTGTCCCCATGGAGATGAGACTAACAAGGCCTATGATTCTACAAATGTTTCATTGTGGAATGACTCTGCCAGCTTTCCAGGTCTGCAGAGAGTAAGAGTATCACTTGTTCATATGATTCGTGATCCTTGGAACCTCCTATGTGCTACATCTTTGGATGGAAATTGGAGTCCCAGAGACAAATGAGGCTCCACCCTGCTTCCAGAAACTCAGAGTCCGGGGATGAGAACTCAGTGGGGAACAGATGGGATTATATGGACATGGTACTGATAACACCGGAAGCCTTAGGCAAGAAAAGAGTCCCATTACCGAAACCATGGGGGCAGACATGTTTATTTGAAGGATGGAAAACTACATTGAAGTTATTTTAAAAAATATATAAGTTTTACTGCTGACAGAAGACTGAAAGCTAGTCTGAGGGGAGGTGGAACAGCATGAGGGAAGGTGGAACAACACGTGTCTAAGTGCTGCGTTAAGAGGGAGCCTCTTGTATGTTTGGAATTGTGAGTTCCTCAGTGTGATTGCAGCCTCAAGTAGACTAGGAAGTAAGCCAGTTAGGTTGGAGAGGTGGGCAGGGGTCAAGTGAAATGGAGAACTGTGGGTTAAGCAAAGGAGTGTGTTTTTTCTCCAGCAGGCAGTGGGGACCTTAGACATTTGTAAGCAAGAGAGAGGCACATTCAGATTTGTGGTGTGAGGAAGATCGATGCCCTAAGATGCAGACTCACGCCTTCAGATTCCAGCTGCTGGTACATGGGAGCTGGCAACCCGGTTTTGAGACAGGGCTGTTGTCTCCCTAGAAGACGCCCTCAAGGCCTGACTGTGGTGCTCATGGGCAGGAGACAACTTTGGATCTGGACTCAGCATTTGGAAGTTCCGTGTACACGATGATATCTGTTGGGGGTGTCTTGGGCCTCTGAGAAGGGCGAGTGATTTTTCTCTGTGTGAAAACGCAGTGATTCAACTGTGTGTATGTCACCTCCTGAGGGTCTTGTTCATCAGAGTCCTGGAGAGAGGGAAATGCTGAGTGAGGGAGGGTGCTCACATTTTCCAGGACTCTTTGGGAATAACAGTAGCCACGAGCCCGGGCCGAGGAGTACCTACCTCGCTATTCGCTGTTCTGTTTCCTGCAGACTCTTGGTCCATTACCGCAGCATCTGTAGAAGATGGAAGTCAACAAAACAGCTCGGAGGGCACTTCTGGGTCCTCATTTCATAAGCAGATACCAACATACAGGGGGAGACCATAGGTGGCTGAGGTCCCTCAGTTGCCAACAGCAGACTCAGACATTCTATCTCTCTGAGCTCAAGGACCCATCCCATGAATAGCTCTGAGTTCCCATCCCATTGATTCTGTCTCCCACTTTCTGCCTGTCATGGAACCTTCTCCTGGATGTGAGTGGCTGCAGGGGACATGGGGATACAGTTCAGAATCAGGCAACGGTCTGTGAGTTGAAGGCAGGGACAGGGAGTCTGGTGCCCTCTCTAGAAAGTCCTGCCTCTGTGGCTGCTGCCTTGGGCCAGGGACCATCCTGTTTGTGAGGAACACACACCTGAGTGCTCCCATCCTGCTTCCCCACATGGCCCTGAGCTCTCTGGCCTCTGCTTCGTAAGACTTACTTTTTTTGTTGGAGCACCAGCGATGAAGGAGAAAGAAGAGGAGGATGAAGAGGATGATGACCACTGAGGTCCCAATCAGAATGTGCAGGTGTCGGGGGTTACCTGGAAGAAGATGAGACACCAATAAGAAGCTAATCTTAGCAGTTCCTCTTTATGAATTGTCTCGCATTTCTTGATTGACAGGTAACCACATAAAACACCTCTTTAGGACAAGCACCCAGATGGCAGGAGACCCAGCTTTCTCCTGCTTTTTCAGTTATAGCTCTCATAGTAACCATAGAACGTGCTGAGGATACGACTACTTTAGTTGAGATGTTTGACCCCTTCAAACCTCACATTGAAATTTCACCCCCACTGTGGGAGGTTGGGCCTCTTGAGAGGTGTTTGGGTCATGGAGGTGGATCCATCATGAACACATCAATGCTGTCCCAAGGAGACGGGGTTAGCAAGTTCCCCCTCTATTAGTTCCCGGAGAGCTGGTTGTTAAAAAGAGCTTGGAAGCTCCATCACTCCCCCTCCCCCTTGCTCCCTCTCTTGCCGTGTGATCTCTGTGGTCTCTGCACAGACAGACCCTCCTTCCCTTCTGCCAGAGTGGGAGCAGCCTGAGGCCGTCACGAGAAATAGATGCTGGTGCCATGCTTCCAGTACAGCCTGCAGAACGGTGAGGCAAACCAATCTCTTTTCTTTAGAAGTTACCGAGGCTCAAGTGTTCCTTTAGAGCAACAAAAATGGCCTAAGACAGCAACTTCCTGAGATCAGGAGGAACGTCTCAGAACACCCTGGGCTGTCTTCCTGTTCTTCCTGGAGGACGTCATGCAGTGCTTTAGCTGAGTGCTTCCTGTGGCTCCAGGGTACAAAACCCAGGCTGGGCTGCTTTCTGGCTTCCCGCAGCTACACTGCAAATGGGGTGACTCCATATGTCCCGAGGAGCTTTTCTGAGCCTTGAGGGACTGGGTCACATTGAAATATAGGTTTCTGTTGTCACTCGCTGCTTATCTGTTAGTAATGAACCTGCCTATGTAACGTATTCTCTGTGTGTTCTGTCTCCCTGGAGTGACGGTGAGTGATAGGAATTGGCATAGGCCCAGGTGCAGTCCAGGAGGTGTTTAGAGTCTTCTCTGGGAAGACTGGACTGGGATTGATTCACAGCGAATGTGCTTTAGGGTTTCTACATCCACAGCATTCTTGAATCAAACAACTTGCATTCTCCAAGGAAAGAAAACAAAAGTGAAATCAAGATAAAAAAAGCGAAATAGAATTCTCTTATGTCAAACGGCCAGGAAATAGTGTTGAAGCCCGTGTGAAACCTGCTGCTCTTTGTGATCTCGGGAGACACATATTAGGCTGCTGTTCTACCCGAGAGGCTGGGGGGAGGACCACCCCCTCGGCCATCTATTGCTTCAAAACCACCTGTCCTCCTGTGAATTAGTAGGAAAGGGGAGCAGGAGCTAGTGCTGTCGCTGATCTCTGATTCCAAGATCTGGACTCACTCCAAGGAGTGTTAATGTTTACCTCCCCATGGTCTATCTGAATCTCCACAGGTGATTGGAAGTAGGGGTGAGGTGGGGGATTTGGGTGAGTGGGCAAGTTTTTTTTGTGATGACCAGAGCACTTTCTCTATTCCAGGATCTGTGCTGGAGGATTCAGCGGGCTTTCACATTTTCTATATGATCTCATGCTCACAGAAAGCCAAATAGGGAAGAGGTTTTAGGCTCATTGCCTAATGGATAAGATAAAGGATCAAAGAAGTAATTATAGAGAAATAGAAAAACGATGATTGGAATTCAGGTGCCTTTGTCATTCGTGTGTGTTTTATTATATTTATGTATTTCTTATTTTTATTTTTTGAGATAGAGTCTCCTTGTGTCCCCCAGGCTGGAGTGCAGTGATGCAATCTCCACTCACTGCAACCTCCACCTACTGGGTTGAAGTCATTCTCCTGCTTCATCCTCCAGAATAGGAGCTGGGATTACAGGGATGCACCATCGTGCTCGGCTAATTTTTGTATTTTTAGTAGAGATAGGGTTTCACCACGTTGGCCAGGCTGGTCTGGAACTCCTGACTTCATGGAATCCACCCACCTTGGCCTCCTGCAGTGCTAGGTTACAGGCGTGAGCCACTGTTCACAGACTTGTATATTATGCTATAATAAGTCTCTTCATTTCCACCACCACTCATATATCTGTCACTCCTTTGCCAGGTATTGATTTATGTGTAGGATGAATAAATCTCAGAAAGAAATTAATTAAGCGAGGATTAAACAAGTAGGAAAATCAAACCCAGTAAGCCTTTCCAGTCAATGATTCTACCTCACAAACATATCTTATATCCATCTACTTCATTCATTTAGTGTCTAAATCAGCACCACATTTCACCAGTGGGGCGGCAATTGCCTTTTCCACGGTCTCCTAGATTCCAGTTATGCACCTGGGCCTCCCTTATTTTCATGTCAGTCATATTAATCATGTAGGGATTCCTGGTTACCCCGAGGTGAATCCAATGGCTGTGAGTGTCAAACACACACTCCTTGTTGCTCCTTAGTTTCCTGTGTACCCAGTGTGCTCTCCGTCTCTCTACAGTCGTCTTGTCATTCTCCCCACCTCATTCCCAGCATTTGAGTCAGAGCCTCTTCCTTCCACATCAGATTGTTTTCACCTTTGTGCCTTCATGGCTGACAGCTGTGTGTGCAAAATCCTTCCGCCAATCTTTCAGGGGTTCATTCCGTGTTTTTCATTAATGTCACAAATATCTGAATAGTGAGACCTTCTTTGTCACCTGAAATCATACACTCAGCATTATCTATTATTGATTTTGAATTCTGGCTGGGCACAGTGGCTCACGCCTGTAGTCCCATTACTTTGGCATGCTGAGACGGTCGGATCACTTGAGGTTGGGAGTTTCAGACAAGCTTGGCCAACGTGGTGAAACATCCTCTCTACAAAAAATATACAAAAAGAATTAGCCGGGCACGGTGGCAGTTGCCTGTAATCCCAGCTACTCGAGAGGCGGAGGCAGGAGAATCACTTGAATCCAGGAGACGCAGGTTGCAGTGAGCCAAGATCGTGACACTGCACTGTAGCCTGGAAGACAGAGGGCGACTCTGTCTCAATAAACAAAAGAACAAACAAAAAATAGATTTCATGCACAGATGCTTCCCAATGGACCATTCATTTATAGATCCACTTGTGCGTTCATTTTCTGCCCTCCCATTTAACCATCTGCAATATCAGTGTCCCAAGGGCAGAGGCCAAATGCATCTTGTTCACTGTTTGTGGAAGGCAGGAGAATGCTGTCCCACCCCAAAATGTCCCTGTCCTAGCCTCCATAGCTTGTGAATATGTTATTTTACATGGAAAGGAGGAATGAAGATTGCAGATGGAATTATGGTTGCTAATCAGCTGAACTTAAAACAAGGGTATCCTGGATGATTTCCAGGAGATTATGAGGGATTTTCATCTTGGTGAACCCAATAGAATCCCCAAGTTTTCAAAAGATGAGGAAGAAGGGAGAGCAGCACTCAGAGAAAGAGGTGTGGTAAGGAAGAAGGCACTGAGTGATGCCATGTGAGATGTGACCAGTCTTTGTGGGCTTTGAGGAAGGAGGAAGGGGACCAGGAGCCAAGGAACTGGGAGCCTTTAGAAGCTGGGACAAGTGAGAAGCAGATTCGTGCCTGGAATCCTCAGAGGGAAGGCAGCCTTGCTGTCACCTTGATTTTAGCCCAGTAAGATGCACTTCCTACTTTGAGCTACAGCACTGTAAGATAATTAAAAAACCGTTTTGTTTTCACCCACGAATCTTGTGGAAATTTGTTATGGCAACAATAGGAAAAGGTTCCACACTGCACAGCCTGAGCATGGGGCCGTGGCTGAATGAGTCAGTGAGTCGAAGTGTGCGTGCATGAGCTCTGTTCTCTGTTACGGCAAGGCTCTTTCTCTGCGGAGTCAGCCAGGGTTGCTTCATGACCTACAGGAGCTCATTCCTTGGCAAGTGGAACTTCTCTAAAACACCTTGCCCTCATCAGATGTTCCCTTCCCTTCCCTCTCTCAAGTCTCCAGGAATTTATCCTCCAGTTAGGAATGCAGGTAGAACAAACATTGCATTTTTCCTGAGAAGGATGTCAGATTGGCAATCATTCTTCTAGCTTGTAGGAGGTCTCAGCTCCATAAAATGAGAGATGAAGAGATTTCACTGAGCCCTGTGTTGGGCCCAGATCCCTTTCGCTGTAGGAGTATCTGGAGTTCGGAGATGGTGGAAGACAAGTGTACAATGTCAGAGCTGTGAGATGCTGAGTCAACGCCTGAATCCAAGGTTCCCACCTCCCCAGGGTTCCAAAAGCGGATATAAGAGGGTTCTGTACTCACCGGTTTTGGAGCTTGGTTCAGTGGGTGAAGGCCAACTATTTGAAGGGTTTCCTAGAACATGAGACAGGAGAGAGGTGAGGAAATGAGGGTGTCTGTCCTCCACTCAGTGGAAATCTTTGAGGATGGTTCATGGCCAACACTCTCTTATCTAATATTGAGCCCTGGGAGTCCTGGGATCCTTTTTTCCATAATTTTTTTATATGACACCCACTGTCTTGAGACTTCAAGATATAAAGAGAAAACAGGAGCATCACACTACCTGATCTCAAAATATGTTACAGAGCTGTAGTAAGCAAAATAGCATGACATTGGCATAAAGAAAGGCACATAGAACAACGGAGCAGAATGAATAACACAGATATATTCCATGCATTTACATCCAATGGTTTTTTATTTTTTCTTTTGAGATGGAGTCTTGCTCTGTCACTCAGGCTGGAGTGCAGAGGTGCAATCTCGGTTCACTGCAACCTCAGCCTCCTGGGTTCAATCATTCTCTTGCCTCAAATTCCTGAGTAGTGGTATTACAGGTGCTGACCACCATGCTCAGCTAATTTTTATATTTTTAGTGGAGACGATGTTTCATCACGTTGGCCAGACTAATCTTGAACTCCTGGCCTCAGGTGATCCACCCACCTCGGGCTCCCAAAGTGCTGAAATTGCAGGTGTTAGCCACCAAGCCCAGCCCATCCAATGGACTTTGACAAAGATGCCAAGAACTCACAATCAGGAAAGGACAGTCTTTTCAATAAACAGTGCAGGGAAACCTGGACATCTACATGCAGAGGAATGAAACTGCAACTCTACCTGTCACCATACACAAAAATCAAATGAAAATGGATTAAAGATGTGAGTCTAAGGCCTGAACCTATGAAACACGTAGAACAAAATATTGGGGAAATGCTCCAGGACGTTTGTCTGAAGGAAGACATTTTGTTTTAAACCTTCAAAACACAAGTAATCGAAGCAAAAATAGACCATTGGGATTACCTCAAACTAAGCAACTTCAGCACTGCTAAAAATAAACCAACAAAGTGAAGAGACAACCCACAGATTGGGAGCAAATATGTGCAAACTATGCATCTGAGATGGGATTAATAACTAGAAATATAAGAAGCTCAAACAACTCAATAAAACAAATGATTTAATTGAAAAAGGAGCAAAAGACATGAAATTTCCCCACATACGAAAAAGTGCTCAGTATCACTCATCATCAGAGAAACGCAAATTAAAATCAAAGTGAGTTTTCATCTCACCCCATTAAAATGGCTTTTAGGCCGGGTGAGGTGGCTCACTTGTGTCATCCTAGAACTTTGAGAACCTGAGGTGGGTGAATCTCATAAGGTTGGGAGTTTGAGACCAGTCTGACCCACATAGAGAAACGCTGTCTCTACTAAAAATACAAAAATTAGTAGGGCGTGGTGGCGTGTGCCTGTAATTCCAGCTACTCGGGAGGCTGAGGCAGGAGAATCGCTTGAACCTGGGAGGTGGAGGTTGTGGTGAGCCGAGATAGCGCCACTGCACTCCAGCCTGGGTGAGAAGAGCAAAACTCCATCTCAAAATAAAATGAAATAAAATAAAATGGCTTTTAGCTGCAAGACAGGCAAAAGAAATGCTGGCAAGGTGGTAGAGAAAGGAGAACCCTGGTACCCTGTTGGGAGGAGTGTAAATTAGTACAGCCATTACGGAGAAAAGTATGGAAGTCCTTTAAAGAACTAAAAAGAGGTTGGGTGAGGTGGATCATGCCTGTAATCCCGGCACTTTGGGAGACTGAGGCGGGCACCTCAGTTGAGGTCATGAGTTTGAGAGCAGCCCAGCCAACATGGGGAAACCGCATCTATACTAAAAAAACCAAAAAGTAGCCAGGCATGGTGGTGTGCACCTGTAATCCCAGCTACTAGGGAGGCTGAGGCAGGAAAATCATTTGAACCCAGGAGGCGGAGGTTGCAATGAGCCAAGGTTGCACCACTTTGACTCCAGCTTGGGCTAAGGAGGGAAACTCTTTCTCAAAAAAGAAAAAAAAAAAAAAAAGAGAACTTTCATAGTATCCAGCAATTTCACTACTGGGTTTATATCCAAAGGAAAGTAAATCAACATATCGAAGTGATATCTGCACTCGTATGATTGGTGCAGCACTGTTCACAGTAGCCAAGATGAGGAGTCAACCTACCTGCCCATCAGTGGGTGAATGGATAGAGAGAATGTAGTACATACGCACAGTGGAGACTACTCATCCATAGAAAGAATAACATCCTGTCATTTGCAGCCACATGGATGGAACTGGAGGTCATTAAAAAGATTCCCATTTCTCACCCATATACAGGAGCTAAAAGGTGGATCTCATGAAGGTAGAGAGTAGAATGGTGGCTACTGGAGGACAGGAAGAAAAGGGTGGAGGGTAAAAAAAATGTATATATATATATATATAAAAATGTATTTATGACCACTAGACTTTACACTTAAAAATGGTAAATGTGGCTGGGCCTGGTGGCCCATGCCTGTAATCCCAGCACTTTGGGAGGCTGATGCGGGTGGATCACGTGGTCAGGAGTTCGAGACCAGCTCGACCAACATGGTGAAACCACCTCTCTACTAAAAATACAAAAAGTAGCCTGGCGTGGTGGTGCGTGCCTGTAGCACTAGCTACTCAGGTGGCTGAGGCAGGAGAATCGCTTGAACCCAGGAGGCGGAGGTTGCAGTGAGCTGAGATTGTGCCACTGCACTCCATCATAGGGGACAGAGCTAGACTCCACCTCAAAAAAAAATGTTAAAAGTGGTAAGCTATATAGGTATATTTATCCTCAATAAATATTTCTTCAAAGAAAAGTAAAGGGTGTAGGGGTTGCTGGTGATGACATCTCTGTGTGGGTGAGAGGCCAGGATGGGCTTCTGGGAAATGGGTAAGGTTGAGGGGCTGAGGGAACCTCTGATCTCCCCAAACTGAGCCCAGTCTCCCTCCTCTGGGTCTCTCCTGACCGCTTTCTCCATCTGCCTGGGTGCCTGGAGCCCTGGCCGTGGGCCTCCATGCAGGCCATGTAGGAGGGTTTGGAGGTGCCCTGTCGGCCATCCTGTGCCCTGATCCCTCCCTCACACCGAGGCTGCGTCTTCTCTCTGCATCTGTCCATGCTTCTCTCCATCCTCAGCAGGAAGCTCCTCAGCTAAGGCTCTAGGATCATAGGACATGGGACAGCCATGGGCTTTCCTCACCTGTGACAGAAACAAGCAGTGGGTCACTTGACTTTGACCACTCGTATGGAGAGTCATGGAAAGAGCCGAAGCATCTGTAGGTCCCTCCGTGGGTGGCAGGGCCCAGAGGAAAGTCAGCCTGGAATGTTCCGTTGACCTTGGGCCCTGCAGGGAGCCTACGTTCATGGGCCTCCCCTTCCCTGGATAGATGGTACATGTCATAGGAGCTCCGGGAGCTGCAGGACAAGGTCACATTCTCTCCTGCCAGAACCGTGGGGCCCAGCTGGGCTGAGAGAGAAGGTTTCTCATATAGACCTGGAAGGAGAAGAGGCAGTTTCCTCAGGGAGGATCTTCTTTGTCACAGCTCCCTTCACCTGAGCTGAGAACTCACTCCCCTGTTCTATGACCTAATGCTCTCTCTCTCTCTCTCTCACCCTCTACCCCATCGCTCTTCATGTCTATTTCCTCCTTCCACCTTCTCTGTCTCTCTAGGTCTCTGACCTCACTTCCCCACCTCTAGATATGTTTTCTCTTTTTGGATTGTTTTATTCTCTCTGACTCTCCTTGGATTGGTTGACTTGATGTTACTTTTTTTAATTCTGAGTTTCTCACTTTGTGTCCTGTTCATAACTTTCTGCATATTTCTATCTATTATCTATCGATCTATCTATTTATCTATTCGGTGCCTATCTACAAATTCTCTACCTGTCATCTATATCTATATATCATCTATTTATCCATCAATTGTCTATCTATCCATCAATCATCTATTATCTATATCTATGTATCATCTCTCTCTCTCTATGATTTCTCTATGTCTGCCTCTGTATCTCTATGTATTATCTATCTATCTGTCTTCATCATCATCATCTCTATGTCTCATCTATTAATGAATCAATCAATCATCATCTATGTATCTATAACCTATTATCTATCATCTACCTATTTATCATCTATCTATATCTATCCATCTATCATCTGTCTTGCTCTGCCTCTCGGTCTCTCTAGTTCTCTTTGGAATCTCTGCAATTCATCCCCACATCTCCATCTTTCAATGTCCTTGTGCCTCTCCCTCAGGAGTCTAATTTTAGTGCTTTTCTCTGCTCCCTTCCATCATTCTCACCACTCCTCTGCCCTCTTTTCTCTCTCTTTATGTGTCTGTGAGTCTCTCAATCTCCTTCCTCTGGCTCATTCTCTGTGTGTTTATGTCTTTGCTTTTTGGTGTCCCTGATTTCTCTCTGTGCCTCTCACTGATCCTCTCATAAGTGGGCTTATTTGGAATATGAGCCTCAGAATCCAGTCTGGAGACTACAAGTTCACACAGCATACAGGGGTTGGTGTTGTGGGGCCATGATATCCTGGGACGATTACTCTCCATTACATGGAAGGCAGAGGTGTCAGAATAAACATGGCATCTGTAGGTGCCACAAGGCCTGAGGCCACAGGGCCCAACTCAGGTCAGAAATATGGGTGTCCTTGGGTTCTCCTGGTAGAGAACACTTTGTGGAGGTAAAACAGAAATGAAACTTCTAACCTGTGCCAGGTCTCTGAGCAAAGTCAGCATGGAGGGACACCTCTCTCTGGGACATGTCTGTCTGTGTGTCTCCTTTAACTCTTTCTGTCTTTTCTAACTCCCGGTATGGCCCCTGTGTCTGTTCTCTGTTATGACACCTGGTCTCTACTTGTGTCTCCTGTTTCTCTGTCTCTGTTGGCACAGACCTCACCAAGTCAGTCTCTCTCCATAAGAATACCAAGCTCATCTTCCTTACAGCCACCTGGGTCTCCAATTCCTGGATCATTCACTCTGCATCCCAATGACAATGAGAAGAAAGTCTGGACACTCTCACCTATGATCACGATGTCCAGAGGGTCACTGGGAGCTGACACCTGATAGGGGGAGTGAGTAACAGAACCGTAGCATCTGTAGGTCCCTGCCAGGTCTTGCGTCATGCGACTGATGGAGAAGTTGGCCTTGGAGACCCCATCATGGTGTTCTCCAATGAGGCGCAAAGTGTCGTTAAACATCCCCTCTCTGTGCAGAAGGAAGTGTTCAAACATGACATCTGACCAACACTGCAGGATGACTGTCTCTTCTGATTTCACCAGGCGACCTGGGTGGGCCAGGAGGGAAGGTTTTCTGTGGACTCCTAGGAAGAGAGGTTGTGAGTTTAGAAGGTGTCTCTCTTTATCATCCCATCCATGGCACCTGGATTGAGTCAGGCTTCCCCTTCCTGGTGTCTTATCTCTCTCCTTCCTCTCTGTGTCTTCATGTTCTTTTCTGTGCCCATAACTCCTGGTGCAGGTCCTTCCATCTGTCTCCCTCACTCTTCTCTGTCCCTCTGTCTCTAGTAGCCTCTGATTCCCTTGCCGCTGGGCTCAGCCTCATCTCTTGGGCTGTTGTATCTATTTCGAACTAATGTCTTTCCTGCTGTCTATGTGGGGGTGGAAGAGGAACCAGGATAGGCTGCACATCCAGGCTCTTAGCAGCCTGGTTCAATCTCTTTTGGACGAATTGGAATCCTTGGCAGGAGGTATGAACTGATCAGTAAGGCAGGCACCAGTGGCCACACACCCTGTTCCTGGTAGGGACTGGGAGCCACTCTTGCCATGCCAGTGCCAGCTTCCATAGGCTGGCTCCTGGTGCTGGTTGGAGGAGTATCAACCCCTCCCTATGTGGATGGAGCCTGGTGGTGGCATCATCATCTGAGCCTTGCTGATCTCAGTGTAGCCAACCTTCTCCTTGTTTGGTTTCTTTAATTAATTAATTAATTTTGGCGACAGAGTCTCACTCCTTTGCCCAGGCTGGAGTGAAGTGGTGTGGTCTAGGCTCACTGCAACCTCTGTCTCCTGGGTTCAAGTGATTCTCCTGCCCTCAGCCTCCCAAGTCGCTAGGATTACATGCACCTGCCACCATGCCTGGCTATCCTTGTGTTGTTTCTTAACTTGTCCTTGACCTGGGTTCCAGTGTTGGTTTCCTGTTGCTGCTGTAGAAAATTATCAGAAGCATGGCACCAGGAGAGAGCACACTAACCCCTTCCAATTCTGGAGACAGAAATCGGACCCTGTTTGTCGTGGGTAAAATCAAGGCACCTGCAGGGCTTCGTTCCCTCTGGAGACTCAGGAGAATCAGTTCCTTGACTTTTCCAGCCTCTATAGGCCACCTGCATTCATGGCTCCTGGACTTCCTCCACCTTCAAAGCTGATGGAGACTCCCATTATGCTGCTGTAATCCCCACTCCCCTCTTCCTCCTCCTTTCATGTGGACCCCTGTGACTACACTGAGCCCATCAGGACAGTCCAGGCTGTCTCCCCATCTCAAGGTCAACTCATCAACAACCTGAGCTCCATCTTCTCCTTCAGTCCCTTCCCCTATATCATAAATAGTCACAGACTCCAGGGATTAGAATGTAGTCATCACTGGGGACAATTATTCTTCCCACCACAGCACCCATTTCCCTGTATTCAATCCCCCTTTACCCCAAATACAGTCAGGACTTGCATGATGGGACCCGCAAGGACACGCCCACCAGGAGCTCTGGGATTCAGGAGGTGGGACAAGGAGAATCCCAGACAGGAGCCCTCTGACCTGTGACCGTGATCTCCAGGGGGTTGCTGGGTGCCGACCACCCACTGGGGTAGTGTGGTTGTGAACCCCGACATGTATAGGTCCCTGCGTGTGCTGGGGTCACAGGGCCCATGAAAAGGCTGTTCCAGAATATTATGTTGTAGAGCTCAGGGACAGGCACCCCATCTTCCTTTTACAGACTGAAGTTGTTAAACCCAAGATAAGAATGACACTGAAGAATCACATGTCCTGGAGGCACCACAGGGCTTGGCCAGGCAGACAGCAAGGGCTTGTCCTGACCACCGTGGGGAGAAGGAGGCACCGCCTTAGAGAGGAGGATGTGGAGCCGCCCCTCCCTCCCTGTGCTCTGAAGATTCTCCTCGCTTTCCAAGTTTCTATGGCTGCTATCACACCTTGGTGCCCAGGGCTAAAGGAAGGACCCATCCCGCAAACACAAGGTGTCTCCCTACAACAAAAGTGTCAGCTGAGAACTTTGAGCAAGTGCTGAGTAAGAGACTCCTACTAGATTTTAATACTGTAAGATTACTCACATAAAACAACACAGGGTAGACATGGGGTGGAGGGCATGTCCTTTGAGAATGGAATATCAGCCGATGCCTGAACGAAAATAAACAACTGAGTCCCCATCAGAGGATTGGAATGTCAGGGCCATGGCTGTGGTTTTCCCACCTCTTCTGGTAGAATGACAGCAGCCACACTGCAGCCCCTACCGTCATGGAAACGCTGAAGTGTGTGAGTAACACCTTTGTCCTCAGAGGATCTGCTGTTCCTACCACTTCCCCACCACACACCCCAGCTTTGAGCACCGTAGTCTAACCCTGGTCCCCACAGAACTTGACTCTGCCAAGGGAATGAAAGGCCAGGGAGGCAAGGTCAGAAATGTGGGCCCAGCACCCCAGGGTCCCTTCTTCCTAGTTTATGAGAGACTCCCTGACAGGACTTCCCTCCCATTTCAGGAAAATCCTCTTATGTGGGGAGATGACACCCGAAGGTTGGGAGAAGGACTCACCCTCATGTGGCCAGGCCCCCTGCAGCAAGAAGAACCCTGGAAAGAAAGATCATGATGGATGACCCATCTGCAGGCAAACCAGGGCACCCTTGCTGCCCCCACTGGGCTGTGAGTCTTGGTAGCCAGGCCCTTCCTGGGCTGAAGGTAAACTCACCCTCAGTGCCTACCTGCACCCAAGAACAGGGCTGTCGGCTGTGCAGAGACCCAGCCTCCAGGTCCATATCCCCACCTCAAGCCCATATCTCCACTCCAGGCCCATATCTCCACTCCAGGCCGATATTTCCACCCTAAGCCCATATCGCCAATCCAGGCCCATATCTCCAATCCAGGCTCAGATCTCCACCCTGGGCCCATATCTCCAATCCAGGCCCTTATCTCCACTCCAGGTCCATATCTCCTCTCCAGTCCCATATCTCCACTCCAGGCCCATATATCCT
Organism: Homo sapiens; assembly: GCF_000001405.40. NCBI lineage: Eukaryota > Metazoa > Chordata > Mammalia > Primates > Hominidae > Homo > Homo sapiens. The sequence continues at coordinate 753,013 of NT_187693.1, read as the reverse complement.
CTCCAGTCCCATATCTCCACACCCAGGCCCGTATCTCCATCCTAGGCACATATCTCCTCTCCAGGCCCAGATATCGACCTCTAGGCCCATATCTCCACTCCTGGCCCATATCTCCACTCCAGGCCCAGATATCGACCTCTAGGCCCATATCTCCACTCCTGGCCCATATCTCCACTCCAGGCCCATGTCTCCACTTCAGGCCCATATCTCTACTGCAGGCCCATAACTCCACCTCCAGGCCCATGACTCCACTCCAGGCCCATATCTCCACCTCCAGGCCCATATCTCCCCTCCAGGTTCCTATCTCCCCTCCAGGTTCCTATCTCCACTCCAGGCCCAGATCTCCACTACAGTCCCATCACTCCACCTCCAGGCCTATATCTCGACCTCTGGGCCCAGATCTCCACTTCTAGGCCCATCACTCCATCTCTAGGCCCATATATCCACTCCAGGCCCAGATCTCCACTCCAGGCCCATAACTCCACCTCCAGGCCTATATCTCCACCTCTGGGCCCAGATCTCCATCCCCTCACTCCCTCCCTCTATTGCTTTCCAGGACTCACCAACACACGCCATGCTGACGACCAAGAGCGACATGGTGCTGCCGGAGCAGACAGGCAGCCGCGACCGAGCTCAGCTCAGCAGCGCACAGGATGTTATTTGGCGCCCTGCCCATGCAGTTTACATGTTGACCACATCATGGGAGGGTGACGTACGCAGGCTCTTTCTACCTTGCATGAGGCCCAGTGGGTGCTCGCTCAAGAGCGGAACACGGCTTCCTGGAAATTGTTCTCGCTAGAATTTGACACCTAGTGTCCTTCACTATGACCAACTCAAAACACGTCTGAGATCCAACCTCCCGAACACGAGATGCCTAAAATCTGTGCTAACATGAAAGACTTTTCATGTATTTCTATTGTTTTTATCTGAGATTCAAACTCTTCTTCCTGTGTAATATGCAAAATATCTAATAGGTATTATTAATGTTTTCAGAGTCATTGTCACTAATAAACCATTAGAATTTTTCATGCTTGTATTTCTAGTATTACAGCAGAACCAGTTAAAATGATTTAAATTCCCAGGGAAGGATTATGCAATTATTTACAATCTTAGAATTGTACTTTATCAGTAAAAACCCCACCTGTAAATTCTGGAGTTTTGTAGTTTAATCTAAAATTTGTCTCATGACCCAAGATTCCAGAGTCCCAACTCTGGAGTTTGTTTTCCGTCTGTCTCTCTCCCTCCCTCATTTTAAATTTTACAGAAATATCCAGTAACATAATGCTATAGAAAATCAAGTTTCCCCAGCACGTTGGGAAGCCGAGGTGGGCGGATCAACTGAGATAAGGAGTTTGAGAGCAGCCTGGCCAATATAGTGAAACCGTGTCTCTGCTAAAAATCCAAAAATTAGCCGTGCCTGGTGGCAGGCACCTGTAACGCCAGCTACTCAAGAGGCTGAGGCATGAGAATCGCTTGAACCTGGGAGGCAGAAGTTGCAGTGAGCTGAGATTGTGTCACTGCAGTCCAGCCTGGGCGACAGAGCAAGACTCCGCCTCAAGAAAAAAAAGCAAATAGCCTATAATAACAAATTAGAGAGCTCTGGCTACTAAATTTAAAGGGTTCTATAAGGCTACATAAAGTGCAGCATCATCAAGAGTGTGGACACAGAGAGCCCCTTAGCAGAAACAGTGTCTAAAGTACATCCGTGTACACACAGTCCCTTTAGAGTTGACAAAGGCTGCCGTGTGGTTTAAGGTGGCATAGAATGTCTTCTCAATAAATAATATTAAACCAATGGGTTATACCTAGGAAAAAATAAATCTAACTCACACTATAAAAACACTTCTTAGTTTTTATCTAGTTGTACATTTTTTATGATTTATATTTAAATTTGAGAAATAAAAGTCATATACGGTCATCCTTCACTATTCGTGGGTGATTGGTTTCGAGATCTCCACTCAGATACCAAAATCTGTAGATGCTCAAGCCTCTTATATGAAATGGCACAGAGTTTGCAAATAACCTATGCACATCCTCCTGTATACATGAAATCATCTCTAGATTACTTATAATTCCTGATGCAGCCTACACACAGCTTCATTTGTGTCCATTCAACACAGTTCTGCTTTTTGTAACTCTGTGGATACTTTCTCTGAATATTTTTGATTTATACTCGGTTCAATAAAGAACTGTAAACCCCACAGATATGGAGGAGTGACTGTATATTTATAGTGTGAAAGATGATGTGTTGATATGTGTCCCTGTGTAGATGAGACTAACAAGGCCTATGATTCTACAAATGTTTCATCTTGGAATGACTCTGCCAGATTTCCAGGTCTGCAGAGAGTAAGAATATCACTTGTTCATGTGATTCACGATCCTTGGAACCTCCTATGTGCTACATCTTTGGATGGAAATAGGAGTCCCAGAGACAAATGAGGCTCCACCCTGCTTCCAGAAACTCAGAGTCCGGGGGTGAGAACCCAGTGGAGAACAGATGGGGTTATGTGGACATGGTAATGATAATGGAAGTCTTAGGCAAGAAAAGAGTCCCATTACCGAAACCATGAGGGCAGACATGTTTATTTGAAGGAGGGAAAACTACATTGAAATTATTTTAAAAAATATATAAGTTTTACTGCTGACAGAAGGCTGAAAGATACTCTGAGGGGAGGTGGAACAGCATGAGGGAAGGTGGAACAGGACGTGTCTAAGTGCCGTGTTAAGAGGGAGCCTCTTGTATGTTTGGAACTGTGAGTTCCTCAGTGTGATTGCAGCCTCAAGTAGACTAGGAAGTAAGCCAGTAAGGTTGGAGAGGTGGGCAGGGGTCAAGTGAAATGGAGAATTGTGGGCTAAGCAAAGGAGTGTGTTTTCTCTCCAGCAGGCAGTGGGGACCTTAGACATTTGTAAGCAAGAGAGAGGCACATTCAGATTTGTGGTGTGAGGAAGAGCGATGCCCTAAGATGCAGACTCACGCCTTCAGATTCCAGCTGCTGGTACATGGGAGCTGGCAACCCGGTTTTGAGACAGGGCTGTTGTCTCCCTAGAAGATCCCCTCAAGGCCTGACTGTGGTGCTCATGGGCAGGAGACAACTTTGGATCTGGACTCAGCATTTGGAAGTTCCGTGTACACTCTGGTATCTGTTGGGGGTGTCTTGGGCCTCTGAGAAGGGCGAGTGATTTTTCTCTGTGTGAAAACGCAGTGATCCAACTGTACGTATGTCACCTCCTGAGGGTCTTGTTCATCAGAGTCCTGGAGAGAGGGAAATCCTGAGTGAGGGAGGGTGCTCACGTTTTCCAGGACTGTTTGGGAATAACACTAGCCACGAGGCTGGGCCGAGGAGCACCTACCTCGCTATTCGCTGTTCTGTTCCCTGCAGGCTCTTGGTCCATTACAGCAGCATGTGTAGGAGACGGAAGTCAACAAAAGAGCTCGGAGGGCACTTCTGGGTCCTCATTTCATAAGCAGATACCAACAAACAGGGGGAGGCCATAGGTGCCTGAGGTCCCTCAGTTGCCAACAGCAGACTCAGACATTCTATCTCTCTGAGCTCAAGGACCCATCCCATGAATAGCTCTGAGTTCCCATCCCATTGATTCTGTCTCCCACTTTCTGCCTGTCATGGAACCTTCTCCTGGATGTGAGTGGCTGCAGGGGACATGAGGATACAGTTCAGAATCAGGCAACGGTCTGTGAGCTGAAAGCAGGGACAGGGAGTCTGGTGCCCTCTCTAGAAAGTCCTGCCTCTGTGGCTGCTGCCTTGGGCCAGGGACCATCCTACCTGTGAGGAACACACACCTGAGTGCTCCCATCCTGCTTCCCCACATGGCCCTGAGCTCTCTGGCCTCTCCTTCGTGAGACTTACTTTTCTTGTTGGAGCACCAGCGATGAAGGAGAAAGAAGAGGAGGAGGATGAAGAGGATGATGACCACTGAGGTCCCAATCAGAACGTGCAGGTGTCTTGGGTTACCTGGAAGAAGATGAGACACCAATAAGAAGCTAATCATAGCAGTTCCTCTTTATGAATTGTCTCGCATTTCTTGATTGACAGGTAACCACGTAAAACACCTCTTTAGGACAAGCACCCAGATGGCGGGAGACCCAGCTTTCTCCTGCTTTCTCAGTTATAGCTCTCAAAGTAACCATAGAATGTGCTGAGGACACAACTACTTTAGTTGAGATGTTTGACCCCTTCAAACCTCACATTGAAATTTCACCCCCATTGTGGGAGGTTGGGCCTCTTGAGAGGTGTTTGGGTCATGGAGGTGGATCCATCATGAACAGATCAATGCTGTCCCAAGGAGACGGGGTTAGCTAGTTCCCCCTCTATTAGTTCCTGGAGAGCTGGTTGTTCAAAAGAACTTGGAAGCTCCATCGCTCCCCCTCCCCCTTGCTCCCTCTCTTGCCGTGTGATCTCTGTGGTCTCTGCACAGACAGACCCTCCTTCCCTTCTGCCAGAGTGGGAGCAGCCTGAGGCCATCACGAGAAATAGATGCTGGTGCCATGCTTCCAGTACAGCCTGCAGAACGGTGAGGCAAACCAATCTCTTTTCTTTAGAAGTTGCCCAGGCTCAAGTGTTCCTTTAGAGCAACAAAAATGGACTAAGACAGCAACGTCCTGAGATCAGGAGGAACGTCCCAGAGCAGCCTGGGCTGTCTTCCTGTTCTTCCTGGAGGAGGACGTCATGCAGTGCTTTAGCTGAGTGCTTCCTGTGGCTCCAGGGTACAAAACCCAGGCTGGGCTGCTTTCTGGCTTCCCCCAGCTACACTGCAAATGGGGTGACTCCATATGTCCCGAGCAGCTTTTCTGAGCCTTGAGGGACTGGCTCACATTGAAATGTAGGCTTCTGTTTTCACTCGCTGCTTATCTGTTAGTAATGAACCTGCCTATGTAACGTATTCTCTGTGTGTTCTGTCTCCCTGGAGTGACGGTGAGTGATAGGAATTGGCGTAGGCCCAGGTGCAGTCTAGGAGGTGTTTAGGGTCTTTTCTGGGAAGACTGCACTGGGATTGACACACAGCGAATGTGCTTTAGGATTTCTACATCCACAGCATTCTTGAGTCAAACAACTTGCGTTCTCCAAGGAAAGGAAACAAAAGTGAAATCAAGATAAAAAAGCGAAATAGAGTTATCTTATGTCCAACAGCCAGGAAATCGTGTTGAAGCCCCTGTGAAACGTCCTACTCTTTGTGATCTCGGGAGACACATGTTAGGCTGCTGTTCTACCTGAGAGGCTGGGGGAAGGACCACCCCCTCCACCATCTATTGCTTCAATACCACCTGTCCTCCTGTGAATTAGTAGGAAAGGGGAGCAGGAGCTAGTGCTGGTGCTGATCTCTCATTCCAAGATCTGGACTCACTCCAAGGAGTATTAATGTTTACCTCCCCATGGTCTATCTGAATCTCCACAGGTGATTGGAAGTAGGGGTGAAGTGGGGGATTTGAGTGAGAGGGCAAGTTTTTTTTGTGATGAACAGAGCACTTTCTCTATTCCACGATCTGTGCTGGAGGATTCAGCAGGCTTTCACATTTTCTATATGGTCTCATGCTCACAGAAAGCCAAATACGGAAGAGGTTTTAGGCTCATTGCCTAATGGATAAGACAAAGGATCAAAGAAGTAATTATAGAGAAATACAAAAATGATGATTGGAATTCAGGTGCCTTTGTCATTCGTGTGTGTTTTATTATATTTATGCATTTCTTATTTTTATTTTTTGAGACGGAGTCTCCTTGTGTCACCCAGGCTGGAGTGCAGTGATGCAATCTCCACTCACTGCAACCTCCACCTCCTGGGTTGAAGTCGTTCTCCTGCTTCATCCTCAAGAGTAGGAGCTGGGATTACAGGGATGCACCACCATGCTCGGCTAATTTTTGTATTTTTCATAGAGACAGGGTTTCACCATTTTGGCCAGGCTGGTCTGGAACTCCTGACTTCAAGTGATCCACCCGCCTTGGCCTCCTGCAGTGCTGGGAATTGCCTTTTCCACGGCCTGAGCATGGGGCCGTGGCTGAATGAGTCAGTGAGTCGAAGTGTGCGTGCATGAGCTCCGTTCTCTGTTAAGGCAAAGCTCTTGCTCTGCTGAGTCAGCCAGGGTTGCTTCATGACCAACAGTAATTCATTCCTGGGCAAGTGGAACTTCTCTAAAACACCTCGCCCTCATCAAATGTTCCCTACCCTTCCCTCTCTCAAGCCCCCAGGAATTTATCCTCCAGTTAGGAATGCAGGCAGAACAAACATTGCATTTTTCCTGAGAAGGATGTCAGATTGCCAATCATTTTTCTAGCTTGTAGGAGATCTCAGCTCCATAAAATGAGAGATTAAGAGATTTCACAGAGCCCTGTTTTGGGTCCAGATCCCTTTCGCTGTTGGAGTATCTGGAGTTTGGAGATGGTAGAAGACAGGCGTACAATGTCAGAGCTGTGAGATGCTGAGTCAACGCCTGAATCCAAGGTTTCCACCTCCCCAGGTTTCCAAAAGCGGATATAAGAGGGTTCTGTACTCACCGGTTTTGGAGCTTGGTTCAGTGGGTGAAGGCCAACTATTTGAAGGGTTTCCTAGAACATGAGACAGGAGAGAGGTGAGGAAATGAGGGTGTCTGTCCTCTACTCAGTGGAAATCTTTGAGGTTGGTTCATGGCCAACACTCTGTTATCTAATATTGGGCCCTGGGAGTCCTGGGATCCTTTTTTCCGTAATTTTTGTATGTGACGGCTACTGTCTTGAGACTTCAAGGTATAAAGAGAAAACAGGAGCATCACACTACCTGATCTCAAAATATGTTACAGAGCTGTAGTAAGCAAGACAGCATGACGTTGGCATGAAGAAAGGCACATAGAACAACGGAGCAGAATGAATAACACAGATATAATCCATGCATTTACCTCCAATGTATTTTTTGTTTTTCTTTTGAGATGGAGTCTTGCTCTGTCACCCAGGCTGGAGTGCAGAGGTGCAATCTCGGTTCACTGCCACCACAGCCTCCTGGGTTCAATCACTTCTCTTGCCTCAAACTCCTGAGTAGTGGTATTACAGGTGCTGACCACCATGCTCAGCTAATTTTTATATTTTTAGTGGAGACGATGTTTCATCACGTTGGCCAGACTAATCTTGAACTCTTGGCCTCAGGTGATCCACCCACCTCGGGCTCCCAAAGTGCTGAAATTGCAGGTGTCAGCCACCATGCCCAGCCCATCCAATGGACTTTGACAAAGGTGCCAAGAACTCACAATCAGGAAAGGACAGTCTTTTCAATAAACAGTGCAGGGAAACCTGGACATCGACATGCAGAGGAATGAAACTGCACCTCTGCCTGTCACTATACACAAAAATCAAATGAAAATGGATTAAAGATGTGAGTCTAAGGCCTGAACCTATGAAACACGTAGAAGAAAATATTGGGGAAATGCTCCAGGACGTTTGTCTGAAGGAAGACATTTTGTTTTAAACCTTCAAAACACAAGTAATCGAAGCAAAAATAGACCATTGGGATTACCTCAAACTAAGCAACTTCTGCACCGCTAAAAATAAACCAACAAAGTGAAGAGACAACCCACAGATTGGGAGCAAATATGTGCAAACTATGCATCTGAGATGGGATTAATAACTAGAAATATAAGAAGCTCAAACAACTCAATAAAACAAATGATTTAATTGAAACAGGAGCAAAAGACATGAAATTTCCCCACATACGAAAAAGTGCTCAGTATCACTCATCATCAGAGAAACACAAATTAAAATCAAAGTGAGTTTTCATCTCACCCCATTAAAATGGCTTTTAGGCCGGGCGTGGTGGCTCACGTCTGTCATCCTAGAACTTTGAGAGCCTGAGGTGGGTGAATCTCATAAGGTCGGGAGTTTGAGACCAGTCTGACCCACATGGAGAAACACTGTCTCTACTAAAAATACAAAAATTAGTCGGGCGTGGTGGCGTGTGCCTGTAATTCCAGCTACTCGGGAGGCTGAGGCAGGAGAATCGCTTGAACCTGGGAGGTGGAGGTTGTGGTGAGCCGAGATCGCACCACTGCACTCAGCCTGGGTGACAAGAGCGAAACTCCATCTCAAAATAAAATGAAATAAAATAAAATGGCTTTTAGCTGCAAGACAGGCAAAAGAAATGCTGGCAAGGTGTTAGAGAAAGGAGAATCCTGGTATCCTGTTGGTAGGAGTGTAAATTAGTACAGCCATTACGGAGAAAAGTGTGGAAGTCCTTTAAAGAACTAAAAAGAGGTTGGGTGAGGTGGATCATGCCTGTAATCCCGGCACTTTGGGAGACCGAGGCGGGCACCTCAGTTGAGGTCATGAGTTTGAGAGCAGCCCAGCCAACATGGGGAAACCGCATCTATACTAAAAAAAACAAAAAGTAGCCAGGCATGGTGGCGTGCGCCTATAATCCCTGATACTAGGGAGGCTGAGGCAGGAAAATCATTTGAACCCAGGAGGCAGAGGTTGCAATGAGCCAAGATGACATCACTTGTACTCCAGCCTGGGCACAGAGGGAAACTGTCTCAAAAACAAAAACAAAACAACAAACGAAAAACTAAAAAGAGAACTTTCATAGTATCCAGCAATTTCACTACTGGGTTTATATCCAAAGGAAAGTAAATCAATATATCGAAGTGATATCTGCACTCGTATGATTGGTGCAGCACTCTTCACAGTAGCCAAGATGAGGAGTCAACCTACCTGCCCATCAGTGGGTGAATGGATAGAGAGAATGTGGTACATTTGCATAGTGGAGACTACTCTTCCATAGAAAGAAAAACTTCCTGATATTTGCAGCCACATGGATGGAACTGGAGGTCATTACAAAGATTCCCATTTCTTACCCATATACAGGAGCTAAAAGGTGGATCTCATGAAGGTAGAGAGTAGAATGGTGGCTACCAGAGGCCAGGAAGAAAAGGGTGGAGGGTAAAAAAAAATATGTGTATATATATATATATTAATGTATTTATGACCACTAGACTTTACACTTAAAAATGGTAAATGTGGCTGGGCGTGGTGGCTCATGCCTGTAATCCCAGCACTTTGGGAGGCTGATGCGGGTGGATCACGTGGTCAGGAGTTCGAGACCAGCTTGACCAACATGGTGAAACCCCCTCTCTACTAAAAATACAAAAAGTAGCCTGGCATGGTGGTGCGCGCCTGTAGCACCAGCTACTCAGGTGGCTGAGGCAAGAGAATCGCTTGAACCCAGGAGGCGGAAGTTGCAGTGAGCTGAGATTGTGCCAATGCACTCCAGCATAGGGGACAGAGCTAGACTCCGCCTCAAAAAAAAAATGTTAAAGGTGGTAAGCTATATAGGTATATTTATCCTCAATAAATATTTCTCAAACAAAAGTAAAGGGTGTAGGGGTTGCAGGTGATGACATCCCTGTGTGGGTGGGAGGCCAGGATGGGCTTCTGGGAAATGGGTAATGTTGAGGGGCTGAGGGAACCTCTGATCTTCCCAAACTGAGCCCAGTCTCCCTCCTCTGGGTCTCTCCTGACCGCTTTCTCCATCTGCCTGGGTGCCTGGAGTCCTGGCCGCAGGCCTTCATGCAGGCCATGTAGGAGGGTTTGGAGGTGCCCTGTCTGCCATCCTGTGCCCTGATCCCTCCCTCACACCCAAGCTTCGTCTTCTCTCTGCATCTGTTCATCCTTCTCTCCATCCTCAGCAGGAAGCTCCTCAGCTAAGGCTCTAGGATCATAGGACATGGGACAGCCATGGGCTTTCCTCACCTGTGACAGAAACAAGCAGTGGGTCACTCGAGTTTGACCACTCGTAGGGAGAGTCACGGAAAGAGCCGAAGCATCTGTAGGTTCCTCCGTGGGTGGCAGGGCCCAGAGGAAAGTCAGCCTGGAATGTTCCGTTGACCTTGGGCCCTGCAGAGAACCTACGTTCATGGGCCTCCCCCTCCCTGGATAGATGGTACATGTCATAGGAGCTCCGGGAGCTGCAGGACAAGGTCACGCTCTCTCCTGCCAGAACCGTGGGGCCCGGCTGGGCTGAGAGAGAAGGTTTCTCATATAGACCTGGAAGGAGAAGAGGCATTTTCCTTACGGAGGATCTTCCTTGTCACAGCTCCCTTCACCTGAGCTGAGAACTCACTCCCCTGCTCTATGACCTAATGCTCTCTCTCTCTCTCTCTCTCACCCTCCACCCCATCTCTCTTCATGTCTATTTCCTCCTTCCACCTTCTCTGTCTCTCTAGGTCTCTGACCTCGCTTCCACACCTCTAGATATGTTTTCCCTTTTTGGATTGTTTTATTCTCTCTGACTCTCCTTGGATTGGTTGACTTGATGTTACTTTTTTAAATTCTAAGTTTCTCACTTTGTGTCCTGTTCATAACTTTCTGCATATTTCTATCTATTATCTATCGATCTATCTATTTATCTATTCGGTGCCTATCTACAAATTCTCTACCTGTCATCTATATCTATATATCATCTATGTATCTATCACTTGTCTATCTATCCATCAATCATCTGTTATCTATATCTATGTATCATCTCTCTCTCTATGACTTCTGTCTGCCTCTCTATCTCTATGTATTATCTATCTGTCTTCATCATCATCATCTCTATGTCTCATCTATTAATGAATCAATCAATCATCATCTATGTATCTTTAACCTATTATCTATCATCTACCTATTTATCATCTATCTATATCTATCCATCTATCATCTGTCTTGCTCTGCCTCTCGGTCTCTCTAGTTCTCTTTGGAATCTCTGCAATTCATCCCCACATCTCCATCTTTCTATGTCCTTGTGCCTCTCCCTCAGGAGTCTAATTTTAGTGCTTTTCTCTGCTCCCTTCCATCATTCTCACCACTCCTCTGCCCTCTTTTCTCTCTCTTTATGTGTCTGTGAGTCTCTCAATCTCCTTCCTCTGGCTCATTCTCTGTGTGTTTATGTCTTTGCTTTTTGGTGTCCCTGATTTCTCTCTGTGCCTCTCAGTGATCCTTTCATATGTGGGGTTATTTGGAATGTGAGCCTCAGAATCCAGTCTGGAGACCACAAGTTCACACAGCATACAGGAGTTGGTGTTCTGGGGCCATGATATCCTGGGACGGTTACTCTCCATTACATGGAAGGCAGAGGTGTCAGAATAAACACGGCATCTGTAGGTGCCACAAGGCCTGAGGCCACAGGGCCCAACTCAGGTCAGAAATATGGGTGTCCTTGGGTTCTCCTGGTAGAGAACACTTTGTGGAGGTAAAACAGAAATGAAACTTCTAACCTGTGCCAGGTCTCTGAGCAAAGTCAGCATGGAGGGACACCTCTCTCTGGGACATGTCTGTCTGTCTGTCTCCTTTAACTCCTTCTGTCTTTTCTAACTCCCGGTATGGCCCCTGTGTCTGTCCTCTGTTATGACACCTGGTCTGTACTTGTGTCTCCTGTTTCTCTGTCTCTGTTGGTACAGACCTCACCAAGTCAGTCTCTCTCCATAAGAATACCAAGCTCATCTTCCTTACAACTACCTGGGGGTTCCAAGTCGTGGATCATTCACTCTGCATCCCAATGACAATGAGAAGAATGTCCGGACACTCTCACCTGTGATGACGATGTCCAGAGGGTCACTGGGAGCTGACAACTGATGGGGGAGTGAGTAACAGAACCGTAGCATCTGTAGGTCCCTGCCAGGTCTTCCATCATGGGACCGATGGAGAAGTTGGCCTTGGAAACCCCATCATGGTGCTCTCCAGTGAGGTGCAAAGTGTCGTTAAACTTCCCTTCTCTGTGCAGAAGGAAGTGCTGAAACCTGACATCTGACCAACATTGCAGGATGACTGTCTCTTCTGATTTCACCAGGGGACCTGGGTGGGCCAGGAGGGAAGGTTTTCTGTGGACTCCTAGGAAGAGAGGTTGTGAGTTTAGAAGGTGTCTCTCTTTATCATCCCATCCATGGCACCTAGAATGAGTGAGGCTTCCCCTTGCTGGTGTCTGTCTCTCTCCTTCCTCTCTGTGTCTTCATGTTCTTTTCTGTGCCCATAACTCCTGGTGCAGGTCCTTCCATCTGTCTCCCTCCCTCTTCTCTGTCCCTCTGTCTCTAGTCGCCTCTGATTCCCTTCCCACTGGGCTTAGCCTCATCTCTTGGGGTGTTGTATCTATTTCACACTAATGTCTTTCCTGCTGTTTATGTGGGGGTGAAAGAGGAACCAGGATAGGCTGCACATCCAGCCTCTTATCAGCCTGGTTCAATCTCTTTTGGATGAATTGGAATCCTTGGCAGTAGGTATGAACTGATGAATAAGGCAGGCACCAGTGTCCACACACCCTGTTCCTGGTCGGGACTGGGAGCCACTCTTGCCATGCCTGTGCCTTCTCCATGGTGCCAGCTTCCATAGGCTGGCTCCTGGTGCTGGTTTGAGGAGTATCAACCCCTCCCTATGTGGATGGAGCCTGGTGGTGGCATCATCATCCCACACTTGCTCATCTCGGTGTAGCCAACCTTCCCCTTGTTTGGTTCCTTTAATTAATTAATTAATTATGGAGACAGAGTCTCACTCCTTCACCCCAGCTGGAGTGAAGTGGTGTGGTCTAGGGTCACTGCAACCTCTGTCTCCTGGGTTCAAGTGATTCTCCTGCCCTCAGCCTCCCAAGTCGCTAGGATTACATGTGCCTGCCACCACACCCGGCTATCCTTGTGTTGTTTCTTACCTTGTCCTTGACCTGGGTTCCAGTGTTGGTTTCCTGTTGCTGCTGTAGAAAATTATCAGAAGCATGGCAGCAGGAGAGAGCACACTGACCCATTTCACTACTGGAGACAGAAATAGGACCCTGTTTTTCCTGGGCTAAAATCAAGGCATCTGCAGGGCTTCGTTCCCTCTGGAGACTCTGGAGAATCATTTCCTTGACTTTTCCAACCTCTACAGGCCACCTGCATTCATGGCTCCTGGCCTTCCTCCACCTTCAAAGCTGGTGGAGTCTCCCATTGCGCTGCTCTAATCCCCACTCCCCTCTTCCTCCTCCTTTCATGTGGACCCTTGTGATTACACTGAGCCCAGCGGGACAGTCCAGGCTGTCTCCCCATCTCAAGGTCAACTCATCAACAACCTGAGCTCCATCTTCCCCTTCAGTTCCTTCCCCTATAACATAAATAGTCACAGACTCCAGGGATTAGAATGTAGTCATCACTGGGGACAATTATTCTTCCCACCACAGCACCCATTTCCCTGTATTCAATCCCCCTTTACCCCAAATATAGTCAGGGCCTGGGTGATGGGACCCTCAAGGACACGCCCACCAGAAGCTCTGGGATTCAGGAGGTGGGAAAGGAGAATCCAAGACAGGAGCCCTCTGACCTGTGGCCATGATCACCAGGGTGTTGCTGGGTGCCGACCACCCACTGGGGTAGTGTGGGTGTGAACCCCGACATCTGTACGTCCCTGTGTGTGCTGGGGTCACAGGGCCCATGAAAAGGCTCTTCCAGAATATTCTGTTGTAGAGCTCAGTGCCAGGCACCCCATCTTCCTTTTACAGACTGAAGTTGTTAAACCCAAGATAAGAATGACACCGAAGAATCACATGTCCTGGAGGCACCACAGAGCTGGGCCAGGCAGACAGCAAGGGCTTGTCCTGACCACCTTGGGGAGAAGGAGGCACCGCCTTAGAGAGGAGGATGTGGAGCCACCCCTCCCTCCCTGTGCTCTGAAGATTCTCCTCGCTTTCCAAGTTTCTATGGCTGCTATCACACCTTGGTGCCCAGGGCTAAAGGAAGGACCCATCCCGCAAACACAAGGTGTCTCCCTACAACAAAAGTGTCAGCTGAGAACTTTGAGCAAGTGCTGAGTAAGAGACTCCTACTAGATTTTAATACTGTAAGATTACTCACATAAAACAACACAGGGTAGACATGGGGTGGAGGGCATGTCTTTGAGAATGGAATATCAGCAGATGCCTGAATGAAAATAAGCAACTGAGCCCCCATCAGAGGATTTGGAATGTCAGGGCCATGGCTGTGGTTTCCCACCTCTTCTGGTGGAGTGACAGCAGCCACACTGCAGCCCCTACCGTCATGGAAACGCTGAAGTGTGAGTAACACCTTTGTCCTCAGAGGATCTGCTGTTCCTACCACTTCCCCACCACGCACCCCAGCTTTGAGCACCCCAGTCTAACCCTGGTCCCCACAGAACTTGACTCTGCCAAGGGAATGAAAGGCCAGGGAGGCGAGGTCGGAACTGTGGGCCGAGCACCCCAGGGTCCCCTCTTCCTAGTTTATGAGAGGCTCCCTGACAGGACTTCCCTCCTGTTTCAGGAAAATCCTCTTATGTGGGGAGATGACACCCTAAGGTTTGGAGAAGGACTCACCCTCATGTGGCCAGGCCCCCTGCAGCAAGAAGAACCCTGGAAAGAAAGATCATGATGGACGATCCATCTGCAGGCAAACCAGCCCTCCCTTGCTGCCCTCACTGGGCTGTGAGTCTTGGTAGGCAGGCCCTTCCTGGACTGAAGTTAAACTCACCCTCAGTGCCTACCTGCACCCAAGAACAGGGCTGTCGGCTGTGCAGAGACCCAGCCTCCAAGCCCAGATCCCCACCACAAGCCCATATCCCCACCACAAGCCCATATCTCCACTCCAGGCCAATATTTCCACCCTAGGCCTGTATCTCCACTCCAGGCCCATATCTCCACTCCAGGCCGATATTTCCATCATAGGCCCATATCGCCAATCCAGGCCCATATCGCCAATCCAGGCCAAGATCTCCACTGTAAGCCCATATCTCCAATCCAGGCCCATATCTCCACTCCAGGCTCAGATCTCCAACCTAGGCCCATATCTCCAATCCAGGCCCATATCTCCACACCAGGCCCATATCTCTACTGAAGGCCAGTAACTCCACCTCCAGGCCCATATCTCCACTCCAGGCCCAGATCTCCACCCCAAGCCCATATCTCCACCCCAGGCCCATATCTCTACTGAAGGCCCGTAACTCCACCTCCAGGCCCATATCTCCACCCCAGGCCCAGATCTCCACCCCAAGCCCATATCTCCACTCTAGGCCCATATCTCCTCTCCAGTCCCATATCTCCACAACCAGGCCCATATCTCCATCCTAGGCCCATATTTCCACTCTAGGCCCAGATATCCACCTCTAGGCCCATATCTCCACTCCTGGCCCAAATCTCCACTCCAGGCCCATGTCTCTACTATAGGCCTATAACTCCACCTCCAGGCCCATATCTCCACTCCAGGCTCCTATCTCCCCTCCAGGTTCCTATCGGCACTCCAGGCCCAGATCTCCACTTCTAGGCCCATCACTCCATCTCTAGGCCCATATATCCACTCCAGGCCCAGATCTCCACTCCAGGCCCACAACTCCACCTCCAGGCCTATATCTCCACCTCTGGGCCCAGATCTCCAACCCCACACTCCCTTCCTCTATTCCCTTCCAGGACTCACCAACACACGCCATGCTGACGACCGTGAGCGACATGGTGCTGCCGGTGCAGACAGGCGGCCGTGCCCCAGCTCAGCTCAGCAGCGCACAGGATGTTATTTGGCGCCCTGCCCATGCAGTTTACATGTTGACCACATCATGGGAGGGTGACGTACGCAGGCTCATTCTACCTTGCATGAGGCCCAGTGGGTGCTCGCTCAAGAGCGGAACACGGCTTCCTGGAAATTGTTCTCACTAGAATTTACACCTAGCGTCCTTCACTATGACCAACTCAAAACACGTCTCAGATCCAACCTCCTGAACACGAGATGCCTAAAATCTGTGCTAACGTGAAAGACTTTTCATGTATTTTTATTGTTTTTATCTGAGATTCAAACTCTTCTTCATGTGTAATATGCAAAATATTTAATAGGTATTATTAAGGTTTTCAGAGTCATTGTGACTAATAAACCATTAGAATTTTTCATGCTTGTATTTCTAGTATTACAGCAGAACCAGTTAAAATGATTTAAATTCCCAGGGAAGGATTATGCAATTATTTACAATCTTAGAATTGTACTTTATCAGCAAAAACCACACCTGTAAATTCTGGAGTTTTGTAGTTTAATCTAAAATTTGTCTCATGACCCAAGATTCCAGAGTCCCAACTCTGGAGTTTGATCTCTCTCTGTCTCTCTGCCTCCCTCATTTTAAATTTTACAGAAATATCCAGTAACATAATGCTATAGAAAATCAAGTTTCCCCAGCACGTCGGGAAGCCGAGGTGGGCGGATCAACTGAGATGAGGGGATTGAGAGCAGCCTGGCCAACATAGTGAAACCGTGTCTCTGCTAAAAATCCAAAAATTAGCCATGCCTGGTGGCAGGCACCTGTAACGCCAGCTACTCAAGAGGCTGAGGCACGAGAATCGCTTGAACCTGGGAGGCGGAGGTTGCAGTGAGCTGAGATTGTGTCACTGCAGTCCAGCCTGGGCGACAGAGCAAGACTCCGCCTCAAGAAAAAAAAAAGCAAATAGCCTATAATAACAAATTAGAGGGCTCTGGCTACTAAATTTAAAGGGTTCTATAAGGCTACATAAAGTGTAGCATCATCAAGTGTGTGGACACAGACAGCCCCTTAGCAGAAACTGTCTAAAATACATCCATGTACACACAGTCCCTTTAGAGTTGACAAAGGCTGCCGTGTGGTTTAAGGTGGCATAGAATGTCTTCTCAATAAATAATATTAAACCAATGGGTTACACCTAGTAAAAAATAAATCTAACTCACACTATAAAAACACTTCTTAGTTTTTATCTAGTTGTACATTTTTTGATTTATATTTAAATTTGAGAAATAAAAGTCATATACGGTCATCCTTCACTATTCGTGGGTGATTGGTTTCGAGATCTCCACTCAGATACCAAAATCTGTAGATGCTCAAGCCTCTTATATGAAATGGCACAGCGCTTGCAAATAACATATGCACATCCTCCTGTATACATGAAATCATCTCTTGATTACTTATAATTCCTGATACAGCCTACACACAGCTTCATTTGTGTCCATTCAACATAGTTATGAGTTTTGGAACTCTGTGGATATTTTCTCTGAATATTTTTGATTTATACTTTGTTCAATAAAGACCTGTAAACCCCACAGATACGGAGGAGTGACCGTATATTTATAGTATGAAAGATGATGTGTTGATATGTGTCCCCATGGAGATGAGACTAACAAGGCCTATGACTCTACAAATGTTTCATCGTGGAATGACTCTGCCAGCTTTCCAGGTCTGCAGAGAGTAACAATGTCACTTGTTCATGTGATTCCCGATCCTTGGAACCTCCTATGTGCTGCATCTTTGGATGGAAATTGGAGTCCCAGAGACAAATGAGGCTCCACACTGCTTCCAGAAGCTCAGAGTCCAGAGGTGAGAACCCGGTGGAGAACAGATGGGATTATATGGACATGGTACTGATAACACCGGAAGCCTTAGGCAAGAAAAGAGTCCCATTACCTAAACCATGAGGGCAGACATGTTTATTTGAAGGAGGGAAAACTACATTGAAATTATTTTAAAAAATATATAAGTTTTACTGCTGACAGAAGGCTGAAAGCTAGTCTGAGGGGAGGTGGAACAGCATGAGGGAAGGTGGAACAGCACGTGTCTAAGTGCCGTGTTAAGAGGGAGCCTCTTGTATGTTTGGAATTGTGAGTTCCTCAGTGTGATTGCAGCCTCAAGTAGACTAGGAAGTAAGCCAGTTAGGTTGGAGAGGTGGGCAGGGGTCAAGTGAAATGGAGAATTGTGGGCTAAGCAAAGGAGTGTGTTTTCTCTCCAGCAGGCAGTGGGGACCTTAGACATTTGTAAGCAAGGGAGAGGCACGTTCAGATTTGTGGTGTGAGGAAGAGCGATGCCCTAAGATGCAGACTCACGCCTTCAGATTCCAGCTGCTGGTACATTGGAGCTGGCAACCCAGTTTTGAGACAGGGCTGTTGTCTCCCTAGAAGATCCCCTCAAGGCCTGACTGTGGTGCTCATGGGCAGGAGACAACTTTGGATCAGGGCTCAGCATTTGGAAGTTCCGTGTACACGATGATATCTGTTGGGGGTGTCTTGGGCCTCTGAGAAGGGCGAGTGATTTTTCTCTGTGTGAAAACGCAGTGATTCAACTGTGCATATGTCACCTCCTGAGGGTCTTGTTCATCAGAGTCCTGGAGAGAGGGAAATGCTGAGTGAGGGAGGGTGCTCACATTTTCCAGGACTCTTTGGGAATAACACTAGCCACGAGGCTGGGCCGAGGAGCACCTACCTCCCTGTTCACTGTTCTGTTCCCTGCAGGCTCTTGGTCCATTACAACAGCATCTGTAGAAGACGGAAGTCAACAAAACAGCTCAGAGGGCACTTCTGGGCCCTCATTTCATAAGCAGATACCAACATACAGGGGGAGACCATAGGAGCCTGAGGTCCCTCAGTTGCCAACAGCAGACTCAGACATTCTATCTCTCTGAGCTCAAGGACCCATCCCATGAATAGCTCTGAGTTCCCATCCCATTGATTCTGTCTCCCACTTTCTGCCTGTCATGGAACCTTCTCCTGGATGTGAGTGGCTGCAGGGGACATGAGGATACAGTTCAGAATCAGGCAATGGTCTGTGAGCTGAAGGCAGGGACAGGGAGTCTGGTGCTCTCTCTAGAAAGTCCTCCCTCTGTGGCTGCTGCCTTGGGCCAGGGACCATCCTGTCTGTGAGGAACACACACCTGAGTGCTCCCATCCTGCTTCCCCACATGGCCCTGAGCTCTCTGGCCTCTGCTTCGTGAGACTTACTTTTTTTGTTGCAGCACCAGCGATGAAGGAGAAAGAAGAGGAGGAGGATGAAGAGGATGATGACCACTGAGGTCCCAATCAGAACATGCAGGTGTCTGGGGTTACCTGGAAGAAGAGGAGACACCAATAAGAAGCTAATCATAGCAGTTCCTCTTTATGAATTGTCTCACATTTCTTGATTGACAGGTAACCACATACAACACCCCTTTAGGACAAGCACCCAGATGGAGGGAGACCCAGCTTTCTCCTGCTTTCTCAGTTATAGCTCTCATAGTAACCATAGAACGTGTTGAGGATACAACTACTTTAGTTGAGATGTTTGACCCCTTCAAACCTCACATTGAAATTTCACCCCCACTGTGGGAGGTTGGGCCTCTTGAGAGGTGTTTGGGTCATGGAGGTGGATCCATCATGAACAGACCAATGCTGTCCCAAGGAGACGGGGTTAGCAAGTTCCCCTTCTATTAGTTCCTGGAGAGCTGGTTGTTCAAAAGAGCTTGGAAGCTCCATCGCTCCCCCTCCCCCTTGCTCCCTCTCTTGCCGTGTGATCTCTGTGGTCTCTGCACAGACAGACCCTCCTTCCCTTCTGCCAGAGTGGGAGCAGCCTGAGGCCGTCACGAGAAATAGATGCTGGTGCCACGCTTCCAGTACAGCCTGCAGAACTGTGAGGCAAACCAATCTCTTTTCTCTAGAAGTTACCCAGGCTCAAGTGTTCCTTTAGAGCAACAAAAATGGACTAAGACAGCAACGTCCTGAGATCAGGAGGAACGTCTCAGAACAGCCTGGGCTGTCTTCCTGTTCTTCCTGGAGGAGGACGTCATGCAGTGCTTTAGCTGAGTGCTTCCTGTGGCTCCACAGTACAAAACCCAGGCTGGGCTGCTCTCTGGCTTCCCCCAGCTACACTGCAAATGGGGTGACTCCATATGTCCCGAGTAGCTTTTCTGAGCCTTGAGGGACTGGCTCACATTGAAATGTAGGTTTCTGTTGTCACTCGCTGCTTATCTGTTAGTAATGAACCTGCCTGTGTAATGTATTCTCTGTGTGTTCTGTCTCCCTGGAGTGACGGTGAGTGATAGGAATTGGCATAAGCCCAGGTGCAGTCCAGGAGGTATTTAGAGTCTTCTCTGGGAAGACTGCACTGGGATTGATACACAGCGAATGTGCTTTAGGATTTCTACATCCACAGCATTCTTGAATCAAACAACTTGCATTCTCCAAGAAAAGGAAACAAAAGTGAAATCAAGATAAAAAAAGCTAAGTAGAATTCTCTTATGTCAAATGGCCAGGAAATAGTGTTGAAGCCCGTGTGAAACGTGCTACTCTTTGTGATCTCGGGAGACACATGTTAGGCTGCTGTTCTACCCGAGAGGCTGGGGGAAGGACCACCCCCTCGGCCATCTATTGCTTCAATACCACCTGTCCTCCTGTGAATTAGTAGGAAAGGGGAGCAGGAGCTAGTGCTGGCACTGATCTCTGATTCCAAGATCTGGACTCACTCCAAGGAGTATCAATGTTTACCTCCCCATAGCCTATCTGAATCTCCACAGGTGATTGGAAGTAGGGGTGAGGTGGGGGATTTGGGTGAGTGGGCAAGTTTTTTGTTGCGATGAACAGAGCACTTTCTCTATTCCACGATCTGTGCTGGAGGATTCTGAGGGCTTTCACATTTTCTATGTGATCTCATTCTCACAGAAAGCCAAATAGGGAAGAGGTTTTAAGCTCATTGCCTAATGGATAAGATAAAGGATCAAAGAAGTAATTATAGAGAAATAGAAAAACGATGATTGGAATTCAGGTGCCTTTGTCATTCGTGTGTGTTTTATTATATTTATGTATTTCTTATTTTTATTTTTTGAGATAGAGTCTCCTTGTGTCCCCCAGGCTGGAGTGCAGTGATGCAATCTCCACTCACTGCAACCTCCACCTACTGGGTTGAAGTCATTCTCCTGCTTCATCCTCCAGAATAGGAGCTGGGATTACAGGGATGCACCATCGTGCTCGGCTAATTTTTGTATTTTTAGTAGAGATAGGGTTTCACCACGTTGGCCAGGCTGGTCTGGAACTCCTGACTTCATGGAATCCACCCACCTTGGCCTCCTGCAGTGCTAGGTTACAGGCGTGAGCCACTGTTCACAGACTTGTATATTATGCTATAATAAGTCTCTTCATTTCCACCACCACTCATATATCTGTCACTCCTTTGCCAGGTATTGATTTATGTGTAGGATGAATAAATCTCAGAAAGAAATTAATTAAGCGAGGATTAAACAAGTAGGAAAATCAAACCCAGTAAGCGTTTCCAGTCAATGATTCTACCTCACAAACATATCTTATATCCATCTACTTCATTCATTTAGTGTCTAAATCAGCACCACATTTCACCAGTGGGGTGGCAATTGCCTTTTCCACGGTCTCCTAGATTCCAGTTATGCAACTGAGCCTCCCTTATTTTCATGTCAGTCATATTAATCATGTAGGGATTCCTGGTTACCCCGAGGTGAATCCAATGGCTGTGAGTGTCAAACACACACTCCTTGTTGCTCCTTAGTTTCCTGTGTACCCAGTGTGCTCTCCGTCTCTCTACAGTCGTCTTGTCATTCTCCCCACATCATTCCCAGCATTTGAGGCAGAGCCTCTTCCTTCCACATCAGATTGTTTTCACCTTTGTGCCTTCACGGCTGACAGCTGTGTGTGCAAAATCCTTCCGCCAATCTTTCAGGGGTTCAATCCGTGTTTTTCATTAATGTCACAAATATCTGAATAGTGAGACCTTCTTTGTCACCTGAAATCATACACTCAGCATTATCTATTATTGATTTTGAATTCTGGCTGGGCACAGTGGCTCACGCCTGTAGTCCCATTACTTTGGCATGCTGAGACGGTCGGATCACTTGAGGTTGGGAGTTTCAGACAAGCTTGGCCAACGTGGTGAAACATCCTCTCTACAAAAAATATACAAAAAGAATTAGCCGGGCACGGTGGCAGTTGCCTGTAATCCCAGCTACTCGAGAGGCGGAGGCAGGAGAATCACTTGAATCCAGGAGACGCAGGTTGCAGTGAGCCAAGATCGTGACACTGCACTGTAGCCTGGAAGACAGAGGGCGACTCTGTCTCAATAAACAAAAGAACAAACAAAAAATAGATTTCATGCACAGATGCTTCCCAATGGATCATTCATTTATAGATCCACTTGTGCATTCATTTTCTGCCCTCCCATTTAACCATCTGCAATATCAGTGTCCCAAGGGCAGAAGCCAAATGCATCTTGTTCACCGTTTGTGGAAGGCAGGAGAATGCTGTCCCACCCCAAAATGTCCCTGTCCTAGCCTCCATAGCTTGTGAATATGTTATTTTACATGGAAAGGAGGAATGAAGATTGTAGATGGAATTGCGGTTGCTAATCAGCTGAACTTAAAACAAGGGTATCCTGGATGATT
Organism: Homo sapiens; assembly: GCF_000001405.40. Lineage (NCBI taxonomy): Eukaryota > Metazoa > Chordata > Mammalia > Primates > Hominidae > Homo > Homo sapiens. The sequence goes on along the minus strand of NT_187693.1, from coordinate 730,882 downwards.
TCCAGGAGATTATGAGGGATTTTCATCTTGGTGAACCCAATAGAATCCCCAAGTTTTCAAAAGATAAGGAAGAAGGGAGAGCAGCATTCAGAGAAAGAGGTGTGGTAAGGAAGAAGGCACTGAGTGATGCCATGTGAGATGTGACCAGTCTTTGTGGGCTTTGAGGAAGGAGGAAGGGGAACAGGAGCCTAGGAACTGGGAGCCTTTAGAAGCTGGGATAAGTGAGAAGCAGATTCTTGCCTGGAATCCTCAGAGGGAAGGCAGCCTTGCTGTCACCTTGATTTTAGCCCAGTAAGATGCACTTCCTACTTTGAGCTACAGCACTGTAAGATAATTAAAAAACCGTTTTGTTTTCACCCACGAATCTTGTGGAAATTTGTTATGGCAACAATAGGAAAAGGTTCCGCACTGCACAGCCTGAGCATGGGGCCGTGGCTGAATGAGTCAGTGAGTCGAAGTGTGCGTGCATGAGCTCCGTTCTCTGTTACGGCAAGGCTGTTGCTCTGCTGAGTCAGCCAGGGTTGCTTCATGACCAACAGTAATTCATTCCTTGGCAAGTGGAACTTCTCTAAAACACCTCGCCCTCATCAGATGTTCCCTTCCCTTCCCTCTCTCAAGCCCCCAGGAATTTATCCTCCAGTTAGGAATGCAGGCAGAACAAACATTGCATTTTTCCTGAGAAGGATGTCAGATTGGCAATCATTCTTCTAGCTTGTAGGAGGTCTCAGCTCCATAAAATGAGAGATTAAGAGATTTCACTGAGCCCTAGGTTGGGCCCAGATCCCTTTCGCTGTTGGAGTATCTGGAGTTCGGAGATGGTAGAAGACAGGCGTACAATGTCAGAGCTGCGAGATGCTGAGTCAATGCCTGCATCGAAGGTTTCTACCTCCCCAGGTTTCCAAAAGCGGATATAAGAGGGTTCTGTACTCACCGGTTTCGGAGCTTGGTTCAGTGGGTGAAGGCCAACTATTTGAAGGGTTTCCTAGAACACGAGACAGGAGAGAGGTGAGGAAATGAGGGTGTCTGTCCTCTACTCAATGGAAATCTTTGAGGTTGGTTCATGGCCAACACTCTGTTATCTAATATTGGGCCCTGGGAGTCCTGGGATCCTTTTTTCCGTAATTTTTGTATGTGACGCCCACTGTCTTGAGACTTCAAGGTATAAAGAGAAAACAGGAGCATCACACTACCTGATCTCAAAATATGTTACAGAGCTGTAGTAAGCAAAACAGCATCACATTGGCATAAAGAAAGGCACGTAGAACAATGGAGCAGAATGAAGAACACAGATATAATCCATGCATTTACCTCCAATGTTTTTTTCTTTTTTCTTTTGAGATGGAGTCTCGCTCTGTCACCCAGGCTGGAGTGCAGAGGTGCAATCTCGGTTCACTGCCACCACAGCCTCCTGGGTTCAATCAATTCTCTGGCCTCAAACTCCTGAGTAGTGGTATTACAGGTGCTGACCACCATGCTCAGCTAATTTTTATATTTTTAGTGGAGACAATGTTTCATCACGTCGGCCAGACTAATCTTGAACTCCTGGCCTCAGGTGATCCACCCGCCTTGGGCTCCCAAAGTGCTGAAATTGCAGGTGTCAGCCACCATGCCCAGCCCATCCAATGGACTTTGACAAAGGTGCCAAGAACTCACAATCAGGAAAGGACAGTCTTTTCAATAAACAGTGCAGGGAAACCTGGACATCTACATGCAGAGGAATGAAACTGCACCTCTACCTGTCACTATACACAAAACTCAAATGAAAATGGATTAAAGATGTGAGTCTAAGGCCTGAACCTATGAAACACGTAGAAGAAAATATTGGGGAAATGCTCCAGGACATTTGTCTGAAGGAAGACATTTTGTTTTAAACCTTCAAAACACAAGTAATCGAAGCAAAAATAGACCATTGGGATTACCTCAAACTAAGCAACTTCTGCACCGCTAAAAATAAACCAACAAAGTGAAGAGACAACCCACAGATTGGGAGCAAATATGTGCAAACTATGCATCTGAGATGGGATTAATAACTAGAAATATAAGAAGCTCAAACAACTCAATAAAACAAACGATTTAATTGAAAAAGGAGCAAAACACATGAAATTTCCCCACATACTAAAAAGTGCTCAGTTTCACTCATCATCAGAGAAACACAAATTAAAATCAAAGTGAGTTTTCATCTCACCCCATTAAAATGGATTTTAGGCCGGGCGTGGTGGCTCACGTCTGTCATCCTAGACCTTTGAGAGCCTGAGGTGGGTGAACCTCATAAGGTCGGGAGTTTGAGACCAGTCTGACCCACATGAAGAAACACTGTCTCTACTAAAAATACAAAATTTAGTTGGGCGTGGTGGCGTGTGCCTGTAATTCCAGCTACTCGGGAGGCTGAGGCAGGAGAATCGCTTGAACCTGGGAGGTGGAGGTTGTGGTGAGCCAAGATCGCACCACTGCACTCCAGCCTGGGTGACAAGAGCGAAACTCCATCTCAAAATAAAATGAAATAAAATAAAATGGCTTTTAGCTGCAAGACAGGCAAAGGAAATCCTGCCAAAGTGGTAGAGAAAGGAGAACCCTAATACCCTGTTGGTAGGAGTGTAAATTAGTACAGCCTTTACGGAGAAAAGTGTGGAAGTCCTTTAAAGAACTAAAAAGAGGTTGGGTGAGGTGGATCATGCCTGTAATCCCGGCACTTTGGGAGACCGAGGCGGGCACCTCAGTTGAGGTCATGAGTTTGAGAGCAGCCCAGCCAACATGGGGAAACCCCATCTATACTAAAAAAAACAAAAAGTAGCCAGGCATGGTGGCGTGCACCTGTAATCCCAGCTACTAGGGAGGCTGAGGCAGGAAAATCATTTGAACCCAGGAGGCGGAGGTTGCAATGAGCCAAGATGACTTCACTTGTACTCCAGCCTGGGCACAGAGGGAAACTGTCTCAAAAACAAAAACAAAACAACAAACGAATAACTAAAAAGAGAACTTTCATAGTATCCAGCAATTTCACTACTGGGTTTATATCCAAAGGAAAGTAAATCAATATATCGAAGTGATATCTGCACTCGTATGATTGGTGCAGCACTGTTCACAGTAGCCAAGATGTGGAGTCAACCTACCTGCCCATCAGTGGATGAATGGATAGAGAGAATGTAGTACATACGCACAGTGGAGACTACTCATCCATAGAAAGAATAACATCCTGATATTTGCAGCCACATGGATGGAACTGGAAGTCATTACAAAGATTCCCATTTCTCACCCATATACAGAGCTAAAAGGTGGATCTCATGAAGGTAGAGAGTAGAATGGTGGCTTCCAGAGGCCAGGAATAAAAGGGTGGAGGGTAAAAAAAAAAAAAAAAAAAAATATATATATATATATATATATATATATATATATATATATGTTTATATATGTGTGTGTGTGTGTATATATATATATATATATATATATATAAATGTATTTATGACCACTAGACTTTACACTTAAAAATGGTAAATGTGGCTGGGCGTGGTGGCTCATGCCTGTAATCCCAGCACTTTGGGAGGCAGATGCGGGTGGATCACGTGGTCAGGAGTTGGAGACCAGCTCGACCAACATGGTGAAACCCCCTCTCTACTAAAAATACAAAAAGTAGCCTGGCGTGGTGGTGCGCGCCTGTAGCACCAGCTACTCAGGTGGCTGAAGCAGGAGAATCACTTGAACCCAGGAGGCGGAAGTTGCAGTGAGCTGAGATTGTGCCACTGCACTCCAGCATAGGGGACAGAGCTAGACTCTGCCTCAAAAAAAAAAAAAATGTTAAAGGTGGTAAGCTATATAGGTATATTTATCCTCAATAAATATTTCTTCAAACAAAAGTAAAGGGTGTAGGGGTTGCTGGTGATGACATCCCTGTGTGGGTGAGAGGCCAGGATGGGCTTCTGGGAAATGGGTAATGTTGAGGGGCTGAGGGAACCTCTGATCTTCCCAAACTGAGCCCAGTCTCTCTCCTCTGGGTCTCTCCTGACCGTTTTCTCCATCTGCCTGTGTGCCTGGAGCCCTGGCCGCGGGCCTTCATGCAGGCCGTGTAGGAGGGTTTGGAGGTGCCCTGTCTGCCATCCTGTGCCCTGATCCCTCCCTCACACCCAAGCTTCGTCTTCTCTCTGCATCTGTCCATGCTTCTCTCCATCATCAGCAGGAAGCTCCTCAGCTAAGGCTCTAGGATCATAGGACATGAGACAGATATGGGGTTTCCTCACCTGTGACAGAAACAAGCAGTGGGTCACTCGAGTTTGACCACTCGTATGGAGAGTCACGGAAAGAGCCGAAGCATCTGTAGGTTCCTCCGTGGGTGGCAGGGCCCAGAGGAAAGTCGGCCTGGAATGTTCCGTTGACCTTGGGCCCTGCAGAGAACCTACGTTCATGGGCCTCCCCCTCCCTGGATAGATGGTACATGTCATAGGAGCTCCGGGAGCTGCAGGACAAGGTCACGCTCTCTCCTGCCAGAACCGTGGGGCCCGGCTGGGCTGAGAGAGAAGGTTTCTCATATAGACCTGGAGGAGAAGAGGCATTTTCCTTACGGAGGATCTTCCTTGTCACAGCTCCCTTCACCTGAGCTGAGAACTCACTCCCCTGCTCTATGACCTAATGCTCTCTCTCTCTCTCTCTCTCACCCTCCACCCCATCTCTCTTCATGTCTATTTCCTTCTTCCACCTTCTCTGTCTCTCTAGGTCTCTGACCTCGCTTCCCCACCTCTAGATATGTTTTCCCTTTTTGGATTCTTTTATTCTCTCTGACTCTCCTTGGATTGGTTGACTTGATGTTACTTTTTTAAATTCTAAGTTTCTCACGTTGTGTCCTGTTCATAACTTTCTGCATATTTCTATCTATTATCTGTCGATCTATCTATTTATCTATTCGGTGCCTATCTACAAATTCTCTACCTGTCATCTATATCTATATATCATCTATGTATCTATCACTTGTCTATCTATCCATCAATCATCTGTTATTTATATGTATGTATCATCTCTCTCTCTATGATTTCTGTCTGCCTCTCTATCTGTACGTATTATCTGTCTTCATCATCATCATCTCTATGTATTATCTATTAATGAATCAATCAATCATCATCTATGTATCTTTAACCTATTATCTATCATCTACCTATTTATCATCTATCTATATCTATCCATCTATCATCTGTCTTGCTCTGCCTCTCGGTCTCTCTAGTTCTCTTTGGAATCTCTGCAATTCATCCCCACATCTCCATCTTTCTATGTCCTTGTGCCTCTCTCTCAGGACTCTAATTTTAGTGCTTTTCTCTGCTCCCTGCCATCATTCTCACCACTCCTCTGCCCTCTTTTCTCTCTCTTTATGTGTCTGTGAGTCTCTCAATCTCCTTCCTCTGGCTCATTCTCTGTGTGTTTATGTCTTTGCTTTTTGGTGTTCCTGATTTTTCTCTGTGCCTCTCAGTGATCCTTTCATATGTGGGGTTATTTGGAATGTGAGCCACAGAATCCAGTCTGGAGACCACAAGTTCACACAGCATACAGGGGTTGGTGTTGTGGGGCCATGATATCCTGGGACGATTACTCTCCATTACATGGAAGGCAGAGGTGTCAGAATAAACATGGCATCTGTAGGTGCCACAAGGCCTGAGGCCACAGGGCCCAACTCAGGTCATAAATATGGGTGTCCTTGGGTTCTCCTGGTAGAGAACACTTTGTGGAGGTAAAACAGAAATGAAACTTCTAACCTGTGCCAGGTCTGTGAGCAAAGTCAGCATGGAGGGACACCTCTCTCTGGGACATGTCTGTCTGTCTGTCTCTTTTAACTCTTTCTGTCTTTTCTAACTCCCTGTATGGCCCCTGTGTCTGTCCTCTGTTATGACACCTGGTCTGTACTTGTGTCTCCTGTTTCTCTGTCTCTGTTGGTACAAACCTCAGCAAGTCAGTCTCTCTCCATAAGAATACCAAGCTCATCTTCCTTACAACTACCTGGGGGTTCCAAGTCGTGGATCATTCACTCTGCATCCCAATGACAATGAGAATGTCCGGACACTCTCACCTGTGATGACGATGTCCAGAGGGTCACTGGGAGCTGACAACTGATAGGGGGAGTGAGTAACAGAACCGTAGCATCTGTAGGTCCCTGCAAGGTCTTGCATCATGGGACCGATGGAGAAGTTGGCCTTGGAGACCCCATCATGGTGCTCTCCAATGAGGTGCAAAGTGTCCTTAAACTTCCCTTCTCTGTGCAGAAGGAAGTGCTGAAACCTGACATCTGACCAACATTGCAGGATGACTGTCTCTTCTGATTTCACCAGGGGACCTGGGTGGGCCAGGAGGGAAGGTTTTCTGTGGACTCCTAGGAAGAGAGGTTGTGAGTTTAGAAGGTGTCTCTCTTTATCATCCCATCCATGGCACCTAGAATGAGTGAGGCTTCCCCTTGCTGGTGTCTGTCTCTCTCCTTCCTCTCTGTGTCTTCATGTTCTTTTCTGTGCCCTTAACTCCTGGTGCAGGTCCTTCCATCTGTCTCCCTCCCTCTTCTCTGTCCCTCTGTCTCTAGTAGCCTCTGATTCCCTTCCCACTGGGCTGAGCCTCATCTCTTGGGGTGTTGTATCTATTTCACACTAATGTATTTCCTGCTGTTTATGTGGGGGTGAAAGAGGAACCAGGATAGGCTGCACATCCAGGCTCTTATCAGCCTGGTTCAATCTCTTTTGGATGAATTGCAATCCTTGGCAGAAGGTATGAACTGATGAATAAGGCAGGCACCAGTGTCCACACACCCTGTTCCTGGTGGGGACTGGGAGCCACTCTTGCCATGCCTGTGCCTTCTCCATGGTGCCAGCTTCCATAGGCTGGCTCCTGGTGCTGGTTGGAGGAGTATCAACCCCTCCCTATGTGGATGGAGCCTGGTGGTGGCATCATCATCCCACCCTTGCTGATCTCAGGGTAGCCAACCTTCTCCTTGTTTGGTTTCTTTAATTAATTAATTAATTATGGAGACAGAGTCTCACTCCTTCACCCAGGCTGGAGTGAAGTGGTGTGGTCTAGGCTCACTGCAACCTCTGTCTCCTGGGTTCAAGTGATTCTCCTGCCCTCAGCCTCCTGAGTCGCTAGGATTACATGCACCTGCCACCATGCCTGGCTTTCCTTGGGTTGTTTCTTAACTTGTCCTTGACCTGGGTTCCAGTGTTGGTTTCCTGTTGCTGCTGTAGAAAATTATCAGAAGCATGGCAGCAGGAGAGACCACACTGACACCTTCCAGTACTGGAGACAGAAATTGGACCCTATTTTTCCTGGGCTAAAATCAAGGCATCTGCAGGGCTTTGTTCCCTCTGGAGACTCTGGAGAATCAGTTCCTTGACTTTTCCAGCCTCTATAGGCCACCTGCATTCATGGATCTTGGCCTTCCTCCACCTTCAAAGCTGGTGAAGACTTCCACTGGACTGCTCTAATCCCCACTCCCCTCTTCCTCCTCCTTTCATGTGCACCCTTGTGATTACACTGAGCCCAGTGGGACAGTCCAGGCTGTCTCCCCATGAGCTCCATCTTCCCCTTCAGTCCCTTCCCCTATAACATAAATAGTCACAGACTCCAGGGATTAGAATGTAGTCATCACTGGGGACAATTATTCTTCCCACCACAGCACCCATTTCCCTGTATTCAATCCCCCTTTACCACAAATACAGTCAGGGCCTGCGTGATGGGACCCTCAAGGACATGCCCAACAGAAGCTCTGGGATTCAGGAGGTGGGACAAGGAGAATCCAAGACAGGAGCCCTCTGACCTATGACCACGATCACCAGGGGGTTGCTGGGTGCTGACCACCCACTGGGGGAGTGTGTGTGTGAACCCCGACATCTGTATGTCCCTGTGTGTGCGGGGGTCACAGGGCCCATGAAAAGGCTGTTCCAGAATATTCTGTTGTGGAGCTCAGGGACAGGCACCCCACCTTCCTTTTACAGACTGAAGTTGTTAAACCCAAGATAAGAGTGACACCGAAGAATGACATGTCCTAGAGGCACCACAAGGCTGGGCCAGGCAGACAGCAAGGGCTTGTCCTGACCACCTTGGGGAGAAGGAGGCGCCGCCTTAGAGAGGAGGATGTGGAACTGCCCTTCCCTCCCTGTGCTCAGAAGATTCTCCTCGCTTTCCACGTTTCTATGGCTACTATCACACCTTGGTGCCCAGGGCTGAAGGAAGGACCCATCCCGCAAAGACATGGTGTCTCCCTACAACAAAAGCCTCAGCTGAGAACTTTGAGCAAGTGCTGAGTAAAGAGACTCCTACTAGATTTTAATACTGTAAGATTACTCACATAAAACAACACAGGGTAGACATGAGGTGGAGGGCATGTCCTTTGTGAATGGATATCAGCGGATGCCTGAACGAAAATAAACAACTGAGCCCCCATCAGAGGATTTGGAATGTCAGGGCCATGGCTGTGGTTTCCCACCTCTTCTGGTAGAATGACAGCAGCCACACTGCAGCCCCTACCATCATGGAAACGCTGAAGTGTGTGAGTAACACCTTTGTCCTCAGAGGATCTGCTGTTCCTACCACTTCCCAACCACACACCCCAGCTTTGAGCACCCCAGTCTAACCCTGGTCCCCACAGAACTTGACTCTGCCAAGGGGTTGAGAGGCCAGGGAGGCGAGGTCAGAAATGTGGGCTGAGCACCCCAGGGTCCTCTCTTCCTAGTTTATGAGAGACTCCCCGACAGGACTTCCCTCCTGTTTCAGGAAAATCCTCTTATGTGGGGAGATGACACCCGAAGGTTTGGAGAAGGACTCACCCTCATGTGGCCAGGCCCCCTGCAGCAAGAAGAACCCTGGAAAGAAAGATCATGATGGACCATCCATCTGCAGGCAAACCAGGCCTCCCTTGCTGCCCCCACTGGGCTGTGAGTCTTGGCAGCCAGGCCCTTCCTGGGCTGAAGTTAAACTCACCCTCAGTGCCTACCTGCACCCAAGAACAGGGCTGTCGGCTGTGCAGAGACCCAGTTTCCAGGCCCATATCCCCACCCCAAGCCCATATCTCCACTCCAGGCTGATATTTCCACCCTAGGCCCATATCGCCAATCCAGGCTCAGATCTCCACCCTAGGCCCCTATCTCCAATCCAGTCCCATATCTCCGCCCCAGGCCCAGATCTCCACCCTAAGCCCATATCTCCACTCCAGGCCCATATCACCTCTCCAGTCCCATATCTCCACACCCAGGCCCATATCTCCTTCCTAGGCCCATATCTCCACTCCAGGCCCAGATATCCATCTCTAGGCCCATAACTCCACTCCTGGCCCATATCTCCACTCCAGGCCCATATCTCTACTGCAGGCCCGTATCTCCACCTCCAGACCCATATCTCCACTCCAGGCCCATATCTCCACCTCCAGGCCCATATCTCCACCTCCAGGCCCATATCTCCACTCCAGGCCCATATCTCCACTCCAGGCCCCTATCTCTACTGCAGGCCCATATCTCCATCTCCAGGCCCATATCTCCATCTCCAGGCCCATGTCTCCACTACAAGCCCATATCTCTACTGCAGGCCCATATCTCAACCTCCAGGCCCATATCTCCACTCCAGGCCCAGATCTCCACTCCAGGCCCAGATCTCCACTTCTAGGCCCATCACTCCATCTCTAGGCCCATAACTCCACTTCCAGGCCTATATCTCCAACTCTGGGCCCCGATCTCCATCCCCGCACTCCCTCCCTCGATGCCCTTCCAGGACTCACCAACACACACCATGCTGACGACCATGAGCGACATGGTGCTGTCTGTGCAGACAGGCGGCCGCGCCCCAGCTCAGCTCAGCAGCGCACAGGATGTTATTTGGCGCCCTGCCCATGCAGTTTACATGTTGACCACATCATGGGAGGGTGACGTACGCAGGCTCTTTCTACCTTGCATGAGGCCCAGTGGGTGCTCGCTCAAGAGCGGAACATGGCTTCCTGGAAATTGTTCTCACTAGAATTGACACCTTGCGTCCTTCACTACGACCAGACTCAAAAGACGTCTCAGATCCAACCTCTCATACACGAGATGATTGAATTCTGTGCTTACATTAAAGATTTTTGATGTATTTTTGTTTTTATCTGAGATTCAAACTCTTCTTCATATGTAATGTGCAAAATGTCTAACAGGTATTATTAACATTATCAGAGTAATTGTGACAAGAAGCCATTCTAATTTTCCTGCTTGAGTTTCTACTACTAAACCAGAGGCATCAGAATAGCTTGAACCTGGGAGACGGAGGTTGCAGTGAGCTGAGCTCAAGCCACTGAACTCCAGCTTGGGTGACAGAGGAAGAGTCTGTCTCAAGAAAAAAAAAAAAAGCAAACTAAATAACCTATAATAACAAATCAGAGGACTCAGGTTACCAAATTTTAAGGGGTTCTATAAGTTTATATAAAATGCAGCATCCTCATGAGAGGGGATACAGAGAACCACTGGACAGAAAACTGTGTCTAAAATACATCTGTGGATACACAGTCCCTTTATAGTTGACAAAGGCTGCCATGTAGTTTAAGGTGGAATAGAATATTTTCTCAACAAATAACACAGGACCATAGGGTTACACGTAGGAAAAAATAAATCTAAACTTATCCTCACACTATAAAAACACTTCTTATTTTTTATCTTGTTGTTGTAAATTTTTTATGCTTTATTTTTAAGATTGACAAATAAAAATTATATACCATGGTCCTTCACTATACCTGGGTGATTGGTTCCAGGATCCCCATTCAGATACCAAAATCTGCAGATGCTCAAGCCCCTTGCATGAAATGGCATAGTGAAGCTGGGCACCGTGGCTCACGCCTGTAATCCCAGCACTTTGGGAGGCTGAGCTGGGTAGATCACAAGGTCAGGAGTTCAAGACCAGCTGGTCCAACATTCTGAAACCCCATCTCTACTAAAAATATACACACAAAAAAATTTATCTGTGCAGGGTGGCACGTGCCTGTAATCCTAGGGGAGGCTACTGGGGAGGCTGAGGGAAGAGAATCGCTTGAACCTGGAAGGCGGAGGTTGCAGTGAGTTGAGATCACGCCACTGCACTCCAGCCTGGGTGAGAGAGTGAGACTGTCTCAAAAAAAAAAAAAATAGCATAGCAATTGCATAGAACCCATGCACATCCTCCTGTATACATGAAATCATCTCTTGATTACTTATAATTCCTGACACAGCCTACACGCCACTCAATTTGTGTCGATTCAACATAGTTTTTTGCTTTTTGAAACTTCGGGGATTTTTTTTCTCAAAATATTTTTGATTTATTGCTGATTCAATAAACATGTGTAAACCCCAGAGATATGGAGGAGTGACTGTCTATTTATAGTAGTATGAAAGATGATGTGTTGATACGTGTCCCTGTGGAGATGAGACTAACAAGGCCTATGACTCTACAAATGTTTCATCGTGGAATGACTCTGCCAGCTTTCCAGATCTGCAGAGAGTAAGAATATCACTTGTTCATCTGATTCACCATCCTTGGAACCTCCTATGTGCTGCATCTTTGGATGGAAATTGGAGTCTCAGAGACAATTCAGGCTCCACCCTGCTTCCAGAAGCTCAGAGTCCAGGGGTGAGAACCCAGCGGAGAACAGATGGGGTTATGTGGACGTGGTAATGATAACACCGGAAGCCTTAGGCAAGAAAAGAGTCCCATTGACGAAACCATGAGGGCAGACATGTTTACTTGAAGAAGAGAAAACTACATTGAAATTATAAAAAAAATTTATAAGTTTTACTGCTGACAGAAGGCTGAAAGATACTCTGAGGAAAGGTGGAATAGCACGTATCTAAGTGCCGTGTTAAGAGGGAGCCTCTTATATGTTTGGAATTGTGAGTTCCTCAGTGTGATCGCAGCCTCAAGTAGACTAGGAAGTAAGCCAGTTAGGTTGGAGAGGTGGGCAGGGGTCAAGTGAAATGGAGAATTGTGGGCTAAGCAAGTGTGTTTTCTCTCCAGCAGGCAGTGGGGACCTTAGACATTTGTAAGCAAGAGAGAGGCATGTTCAGATTCGTGGTGTGAGGAAGAGCGATGCCCTAAGATGCAGACTCACGCCTTCAGAGTCCAGCTGCTGGTACATGGGAGCTGGCAACCCGGTTTTGAGACAGGGCTATTGTCTCCCTAGAAGATCCCATCAAGGCCTGACTGTGGTGCTAGTGGACAGAAGACAACTTTGGATCTGCGCTCAGCATTTGGAAGTTCCGTGTTACACGCTGGTATCTGTTGGGGGTGTCTTGGGCCTCTGAGAAGGGCGAGTGATTTTTCTCTGTGTGAAAACGCAGTGATTCAACTGTGCGTATGTCACCTCCTGAGGGTCTTGTTCATCAGAGTCCTGGAGGGAGGGAAATGCTGAGTGAGGGAGGGTGCTCACATTTTCCAGGACTCTTTGGGAATAAGACTAGCCACGAGGCTGGGCGGAGGAGCACCTACCTCCCTGTTCACTGTTCTGTTCCCTGCAGGCTCTTGGTCCATTACAACAGCATCTGTAGAAGACGGAAGTCGTCAAAACAGCTCGGAGGGCACTTCTGGGTCCTCATTTCATAAGCAGATACCAACATACAGGGGGAGGCCATAGGTGCCTGAGGTCCCTCAGTTGCCAACAGCAGACTCAGACATTCTATCTCTCTGAGCTCAAGGATCCATCCCATGTATAGCTCTGAGTTCCCATCCTATTGATTCTGTGTCCCACTTTCTGCCTGTCATGGAACCTTCTCCTGGATGTGAGTGGCTGCAGGGGATGTGAGGATACGGTTCAGAATCAGGCAATGGTCTGTGAGCTGAAGGCAGAGGCAGGGAGTCTGGTGCTCTCTCTAGAAAGTCCTGCCTCTGTGGCTCCTGCCTTGGGCCAGGGACCATCCTGCCTGTGAGGAACACACACCTGAGTGCTCCCATCCTGCTTCCCCACATGGCCCTGAGCTCTCTGGCTTCTGCTTCGTGAGACTTACTCTTTTTGTTGGCACACCAGCGATGAAGGAGAAAGAAGAGGAGGATAGCAAAGGGGATGATGACCACTGAGGTCCCAATCAGAACGTGCAGGTGTCTGGAGTTACCTGGAGGAAGACAAGACACCAATAAGAAGCTAATCATAGCAGTTCCTCTATATGAATTGTCTCACATTTCTTGATTGACAGGTAACCACATACAACGTCTCTTTAGGACAAGCACCCAGATGGCGGGAGACCTAGCTTCCTCCTGCTTTCTCAGTTGTAGTAACCATAGAACGTGCTGAGGATACAACTGCTTTAGTTTAGATGTTTGACCCCTTCAAACCTCACATTGAAATGTAACCCCCAGGGTGGGAGGTTGGGCCTCTTGGGAGTTGTTTGGGTCATGGAGGTGGATCCATCATGAACAGATCAATGCTGTTCCAAGGAGACGGGGTTAGCAAGTTCCCCCTCTATTAGTTCCTGGAGAACTGGTTGTTAAAAGAGCTTGGAAGCTCCATCGCTCCCCCTCCCCCTTGGTCCCTCTCTTGCCGTGTGATCTCTGTGGTCTCTGCACAGACAGACCCTCCTTCCCTTCTGCCAGAGTGGGAGCAGCCTGAGGCCGTCACAAGAAATAGATGCTGGTGCCATGCTTCCAGTACAGCCTGCAGAACTGTGAGGCAAACACATTTCTTTTCTTTAGAAGTTACCCAGGCTCAAGTGTTCCTTTAGAGCAACAAAAATGGACTAAGACAGCAACGTCCTGAGATCAGGAGGAACATCCCAGAACAGCCTGGGCTGTCTTCCTGTTCTTCCTGGAGGAGGACGTCATGCAGTGCTTTAGCTGAGTGCTTCCTGTGGCTCCAGGGTACAAAACCCAGGCTGGGCTGCTTTTTGATTTCCCCCAGATACACTGCATATGGGGTGACTCCACATGTCTCGAGCAGCTTTTCTGAGCCTTGAGGGACTGGCTCACATTGAAATGTAGGTTTCTGTTGTCACTCGCTGCTTATCTGTTAGTAATGAACCTGCCTGTGTAATGTGTTCTCTGTGTGTTCTGTCTCCCTGGAGTGACGGTGAGTGATAGGAATTGGTATAGGCCCAGGTGCATTCCAGGAGGTGTTTAGAATCTTCTCTGGGAAGACTGGATTGGGATTGATACACAGCGAATGTGCTTTACAGTTTCTACCACCACAACCCTCTTGACTCAAAAAAAATTACATTCTCCAAGAAAAGAAAGAAAAAATGAAATCAAGATAAAAAAAGTGAAGTAGAACTGACTTAAATCAAACAGCCATGAAATAATGATGTAGCCCAGGAACAACATGCTACTTTTTGTGATCTGCTGAGACATATATTAGGCTGCTATTCCACCCGAGAAGCACGGGGAAGGACCGCCCTCTCCGTCGTTTATTGTTTCAATACAGCCTGTCCTTCTGTGAGTTAGTACGAAATGTGACCAGGGGCTAGTGCTGGCACTGGTCTCTGAGTCCAAGATCTGAGCTCACTCCAAAGAGTATTAGTGTTTACCTCCCCATGATCTATCTGTATCTCCATAGGTGATTGGAAGTAGAGATGAATTGGGGGATTTGGGTGAAGGGGCAAGTTTTATGCCATGAACAGAGCACGTTCTCTATTCCAGGACCTGTGCTGGTGGGTTCAGGAGGCTTTCACATTTTCCATATGATCCCAAGCTCACAGAAAGCCAAATAAGGAAGAGGTTTAACCTGATTGTTTAATGGATAAGATAAAGGGTCAAAGAATTAAACACAGAGAAATAGAAAAATGATGGTTGGTATCCAGTTGCCTTTGTAATTTCTGTGTGTCATAATTATGTATGTTTTATTTTTATTTTTTGAGACAGAGTCCCCCTGTGTCAGGCTGGAGTGCAGTGATGCGATCTCAGTTCAACCTCTGCCTCCAGGGTTGAAGCCATTCTTCTGCTTCAGCCTCCCCAGTCGCTGGGATTACAGGCAGGTGCCAATGCACCAGGCTAATTTTTGTATTTTTAGTACAGACGGGGTTTCACCATGTTGGCCAGGCTGGTCTCAAACTCCTACCCTTAAGTGATCTACCCGCCTTGGCCTCCCAAAGTGTTGGGTTACAGGTGTGAGCCCCCATCCACAGTCTTGTATATTATATTATACTAGGTCCCTTCATTTGCACCACCCCTCATGTGTCTATCGCTCCTCTGCCAGGTATTGATTTAGATGTAGAAAAAAAACACATCTCAGAAAGAAATTAATGAAACAAGGATTAAACTACTAGGAAAAATCAAACCCAGCAAGCCCTCCCTGCAAATGATTCTACCTCACAAGCATAGCTTATATCCATCTTTCATTCATTTAGTGTGTAAATCAACCCTACGTTTCACCAGTGGGGCGGGAATTGCCTTTTCCACGGTCTCCTAGATTCCAGTTACGCACCTGGGCCTCCCTTATTTTCATGTCGGTCACTGTTAATCAGGTAGGGATTCCTAGTTAGCTCTGAGTTGAATCCAAGGGCTGTGAGTATCAAAAACATGCTCCTTGTTCCTCCTTAGTTTCCTGTGTACCCAGTGTGCTCTCCATCTCTCTACAGTTGTCTTGTCATTCTCCCCATCTCATTCCCAGCATTTGAGGCAGAGCCTCTTCCTTGAACTAAGAATGTTTCCACCTTTGTGCCTTCACGGCTGAGAGCTCAGTGTGGAAAATCCTTCCGCCAATCTTCCAAGGGTTGAATCCATTTTTTCCATTAAGGTCACAAATATTATCTGATCAGTGAGACCTTCTCTGTCACCTGAAATTATATACTCAGCATTATCTATTACTTATTTTAAATCCTGGCTGGGCGCAGTAGCTCTCGCCTGTAATCTTTGCACTTAGGGACGCTAAGGCGGTGGGATCACTTGAGATTGGGAGTTTGAGACAGCCTGCACAACATGGTGAAACCTCATTTCTACTAAAAAATATACCAAAAAAATTAGCCGAGTGTGGTGGCGCACAGCTGTAATCCCAGCTACTCGGTAGGCTGAGGCAGGAGAATTGCATGAACCCAGGAGGCAGAGGTTGCAATGAGCTGAGATTGTGCTACTGCACTCCAGCCTGTGGAACAGAGAGAGACTCTACTCAAAAAAAAAAAAGAAAACAAAAAACACACACACACACAAAAAACCCCAGATTTGGTGCACAGATGCTTCCCAATGGATCATTCATTTATTGGTACCCTTGTGCATTCATTCTCTGCCCTCGCATTTACCCATCTGCAATATCAGCGTCCCAAGAGCAGAGGCCAAATGCATCCTGTTTACCATTTGTGGAAGGCAGGAGAATGCTGCCCCACCCCCAAAATGTCCCTGTCTTAGCCTCCATAGCTTGTGAATATGTTATTTTACAGGAAAGGAGGAATGAAGATTGCAGATGGCATTACGGTTGCTAATCAGCTGAACTTAAAAAGAGGGTACGCTGGATGATTTTAGGGAGATTGAGATGGATTATCTTGGTGACCCCAATAGAATCCCAAAGTCCTTAAAAGATGAGGAAGAAGGCAGAGCAGGATTCAGAGAAAAAGGTATGGGTAAAGAAGAAGAGTCTGAATGATGCCATGTGAGACGTGACCAGCCTTTGTGGGCTTTGAGGAAGGAGGAAGGAGGAAGGGGACCAGGGGCCCAGGAACGTGGGAGCCTCTAGGAGCTGGGAAACGTTAAGGAGCAGATTCTTGCTTGGAACCTTAAAAAGAAATCCAGCCTTACTGTCCCTTTGATATCAGCCCAGTGAAATGCAGTTCATACTTCTGAGTTACAGCACTGTGAGATAATTAAGAAAAACATGTTTTCATCCACGAAGCTTGTGGAAATTTGTTATGGCAACAATAGGAAAAGATTCCACACTGCACAGCCAGAGCATGGGGCATTGGCTGAACGAGTGAGTGAGTGGAAGTGTCGTGTGCATAAATAAGCTAAATTCTCTCTTACTGCACGTCTCTTGCTCTGCTGAGTCAACCAGGGTTGCATCTGGTACACTGCTGATACGAATGCAAATTAGTACAGCCATTACAGAGGAGAAGAGTATGGAAGTTCCTCAAAAAATAAAATGAGGTCGGGCACAGTGGTTCATGCCTGTAATCCCAGCACATTGGGAGGCCGAGGTGGGTAGGTCACTTGAGGTCAGGAGTTGAAGAGCAGCCTGGCCAATATAGCGAAACTCTGTCTCTACTAAAAATATAAAAATTAGCCGAGTGTGGTGGTGGGAGCCAGTAACCCAGCTACTTGGGAGGCTGAGGCTGGGGAATCTCTTGAATCCTGGAGGTGGAGGTTGCAGTGAGCCCAGATGGCACCACTGCACTCCAGCCTGGGCAACAAGAGTGAAACTGTCTAAAAAAAACAAAAACAAAAACAAAAACCATAAAACAAAATGTAAAAAGACACTTCCAGAGGATCTAGCAATTCCATGACTGGGTGTAAACCCAAAGGAAAGGACATCAGCGTATCGAAGTGACATCTGCACTCCCATGACTGTTCCAGCAGTGTTCACAGTAGCCAAGATGTGGATCAACCTACCCGCCCATCAGTGGGTGAATGGATGGAGAGAATGTGGTACACACACACAATAGGGACAACTCATCCATAGAAAGAGTAACATCCTGTCATTTACAGCCACATGAATGGAACTGGAGGTCATTACAAGTATTTCCATTTCTCACTCATATGCAGGAGCTAAAAGGTGGATCTCACAAAGGTAGAGAGTAGAATGGTGGCTACCAGAGGCCAGGAAGGGAAGGGTGGAGGGTAAAAAAAAAAGAATACTAATTAATTAATTAATTAATTTTGAGAGAGTGTCTCTCTCTGTTGCCCAGGCTGCAGTGCAGTGGCATGATCTCAGCTCACTGCAACCTCCGCCTCCTGCAATTAAGTGCAACTCCTGCCCAACCCTCCCAAGTAGCTGGGACTACAGGCATGTGCCACCATGCTCGGCTAATTATTATCATTATTATTATTATTTTGTATTTTTAGTACAGATGGATTTTCCCCATGTTGGCCAGGGTGGTCTTGAGCCCCTGATCTCAAATGATCCACCTGCCTTGGCCTCTCAAAGTGTTGGGATTACAACAGTGAGCCACCGTGCCCAGCCTATAAATGTATTTATGAACAGTAGACTTCAAACTTAAAAATGGTAAAGGTGGTAAATTACATAGGTATATTTCACCTCAATAAATATTTCTTCAAACAAAAAGAAAAGGGTGTAGGCGTTGCTGGTGATGACATCTCTCTGTGGGTGACAGGCCAGGATGGGCTTCTGGGAAGTGGGTAAGGTTGAGGGGCTGAGAGAACCTCTGATCTCCCCAGGCAGAGCCCAGTCTCCCTCCTCTGGGTCTGTTCTGACCTCTTTCTCCATCTGCCTGGGTGCCTGGAACCCTGATCAAGGGCCTCCTTGCAGGCCATACAGGAGGGTTTGGAGGTGCCCTGTCTGCCATCCTGCCCCCTGACCCCGCCCTTACACCCATGCTGTGTGTTCTGTCTCGGCATCTGTCCATGCTTCTCTCCATCATCAGCAGGAAGCTCCTCAGCTATGGCTCTAGGATCACAAGACATGGGACAGGCATGGTGTTTTCTCACCTGTGACAGAAACGGGCAGTGGGTCACTCGGGTCTGACCACGCGTGGGGCAGGGCACGGAAAGAGCCGAAGCATCTGTAGTTCCCTCCGTGGGTCACAGGGCCCAGAGGGAAGTTGGCCTGGAATGTTCCATTGACCCTCAGCACCGCAGTGAGCCTAAGTTCACCGGCCTCTGCCTCCCTGGATAGATGGTAAATGTCAAACAAGCTCCGGGAGCTGCAGGACAAGGTCACATTCTCTCCTGCCTGAACCGTGGGGCCCGGCTGGGCTGAGAGAGAAGGTTTCCCATATAGACCTGGAAGGAGAAGAGGTGGTTTCCTCAGGGAGGTTCTTCGTTGTCACAGCTCTCCTCACACCTGAGCTGAGAACTCACTCCCCTGCTCTATGACTTAATGCTCTCTTTCTCTCTCTCACCCTCCACCCCCATCTCTCTTCATGTCTATTTCCTCCTTCCACCTTCTCTGTCTCTCTAGGTCTCTGACCTCACTTCTCCATCCCTAGCTATGTTTTCTTTTTTTGTACCATTTTATTCTCTCTGACCCTCCTTGGACTGGTTGACTTGATCTTCCTCTTTCTTTAATTCTGAGTCTCTCACTTTCTGTCTTGCTCATAACTTTCTGCATATTTCTATCTACTATCTATTGATCGATCTATCATTTATCTATGTATGTATCTATCATCTATCATCATCTGTGTATCTATGACCTATCTCTCTGTTATCTATCATCTATCAATCAATGTATGTATGTATGCATCTATCCATCTATCATCATGTGTTTATCTGTCTTTCTATCTCTCTATATCTATTTATATATCATCTGTCTGTCTTTCTACTTGTCTATCTATATCATCTATCAGTCATTCATCATCTATTTGTCTATCACCTGTCTCTCTATTATCTATCATCTACCTTTTATCTTTCATCTATCTATATCTATCTATCCATCTATCATCTGTCTCTCTCCATCTCCTTGTCTTTCTCTGCCTCTCAGTCTCTCTAGTTCCCTTTTGGAGTCTCTGCAATCCATCCCCACATCTTTATCTTTCCCTGTCTTTGTGCCCCTCCCTCAGGGCTCTGATTTTAGGGCTTTTCTCTGCTTCCTTCCATCATACGCTCCACTTCTCTGCCCTCTTTTTCTATCTCTTTATGTGTCTGTGAGTCTCTCA